>NC_000015.10:26913237-27216267 GCF_000001405.40 Homo sapiens | reverse complement strand
TTATCACTGACTCCATTACCTGATTTGCATTTTCAACCTGAGTTTGCAGAGGGCCCTGCACCCGAATTTGGTCTGCAATGCCCACAAAGGCAGCCTGGGATCCACCTCCTTAGTTCTTGCCATCTACAGGACGGCTACTCTCTGCTCTGGGCAACATGCTGCAACTGAGCAAATGCTCCATTAGAACATCAGTGAGGCAGAGATCTTTGCAGAGTCTCCTTGATAGCATGGAGGTTTATCCCAGCCAATTCCTTCCATTCATTAAGTGACATAAATGGGACTGAAGCCACCCTTCACCTCTTCTGGGCCAGCAAGCACAGCTCAGAAAAAGACACGAGTATAGATTATTTGTAAATTGCACACCTAATTATAGGTAACAACACGCACATATTCACCAGTGCCCAAAGAACTACTTGGAAGGAGAGGACATGGCTTAGTCGAATCCATCCCTGGGACTACAAAGGCACAGCAAAGCTTACTGACATCACACAGGGTCACTGCCCACATTCATCCAGCACAAACTGGTCATGGCATGACCCACACCCCTGACTCGAGCAATCAGAATGCCCTGGTCTTCATCCTGTCATTCATACCTGAGAAATGGACTTCAAGCCTCCCATGCAAGTTTTGCAAATGTGTTTAATAACGGGTGCAGCTAAGAAGAGGAAAACTGTGCCTTTGCCATCCTAAGACAAAGGGGTCTTAGGATCCTTGCAATGTTCAGGAAGAGGTTAGAACAATCTATTAAGGTTAGACATAGAGCCTAAATTGGGTCAGAGCTTGCAGACAGTGTAACTGCAGGGTAGCATAGATAATGTTAAATGGCAAGAATGGGGTGCATCTGGGAGAGCCCTTGCTTCTCTCCAATCCTGGCCCTTAGGAAATGCACTGAAAAGTACATGAGGAGGGCTTGCCAAGGCAAATGTAACATGTTTTTGAGGGCAGCAAAGTCAGAGCACCCAACAGTTATCAAGAGAAAGAGAAGCCAGGGAGTTCAGGGGCTGTGGAGGCAAGGGGCCCTCATCACCCTGCCAAGAGCCTCCCTGACTCCTCTTCCTCCTTCAGAGTTCTCACTTCCCCCTGCAAGGAGTTATCTAAAACATGCCAGCTGCTTCTTTTTAAAGGCATATTGGAGGAATATGACATAGAGTAAAAATTAGCTAAGAAACTGGCAGACTTATCTAGGACAAAAGAAAAAGAAATGAAGGCCATGGAAAGAAATGCAAAACACAAATCTGCAATCTGGCCATCCTCGTAGTGTGTGTGCATTTACACAATACCAACGACGATACTAATAGCCATAGGGTTCCATGCAACTCATTTTAATAGCTAATCACAGGATTTGGACCTTTTGGGTTTTGCTATGTTTCAGTTTGTTTTTCGAAGAACAGACTGGCAGAGAAGGAGCTTTACTCTCCCTGAAGCTCTCCAAAGAAGGAGATGAGTCTCACCTCACCAGCAGGGCCTGCACAAATACTCAATACCCTGCAATGTTGTTTCAATACCAGTGACCAGGATTCTCAAAGGCTATTTGATGAAATGAGTCAAGCTTCCTACCAAAAAAAAAAAAAAATGTGGATGTGAGAGTTTCAGTTAGATTTATGGCTAAATTTGTTTAGAAATTTTTGAATTAAAGAAGCTAGTTAAGAAGATGAGGAACCTGCATTTAACCTTCTAATTCATTTAGAAATGTATAGAAATAAATGTATAGAAAGTATACAGAATTTTTTTTAATAACAAGATTCAGCTTTTTTCTTCATACGTAGCTTACCCAAAACTGAAAAGTTAAGTCAGAGGCTATCGCCCTAAATGCCTACACTGTTTTTGTTTGAGTATTTAACCGTAAACCTTGCCTTTAGGAAAAGGGACCAGGGCTCAGGAGGAGAGGAGGATCTGTCCCCAGCATACCCGACGCGGCCATCATGGCCATTACAGGGGCCTTGTCGGCATCTCATGGCCATCTCCTTAAGTAAGTAGCCTTGCATCTAATCAGAATGTTCATTTCACATTCCGTGGTTAAAAACACTGCTGTTGCTATGACTACCATTACTAGATAACTGGCAACCCCCACCTGTTTAACAATGCCTTCTGTCTTCACAGCAACCCTATAGACTGAATCCTGACATTGAGCCCATCAGAGGTAAGTTGGCTCCGAGAGGTGAGGTGACTTCTCCAGATTGCCTCAGTTAGCAAGACTGAGACTCAATCACACATCTTAGCGAAGCCAAAGTCTGTGATTTTACCTGCTAAAAAATACTGCTCTACTTCACCAAATCCATGGTCAATAATAGACTGTTACCTTGGAAGCACTCCGTAACAAACTTTGGAAACTCTGAGTTTCCCCCTTCGCTGAAACTCACCTCCAATCCCAGGTTGCAAACAAGCAAACACACCTGCTCCACGTTCCTGCCTGTGCAGCTTTCACCACAAGTGTGGAGCTGAATATGTGGAGCAGTGGAGTTTGAAGGCCAGTACAGTGGTGAAACATTACATGGTTGAAACAAAGTTCCAAAAGGTGCTCACCGTCTGAGCTTTGGAAATATAACTTCATGGGAATGATTTCCTTTAAGAAGCTCTGTGCATAAGTGTTACAGTTTATGGGAGGCCGCTGTTTTGGATGAGCCCCTGCACAAGGCCCCAGCATCTCAGAACAAACCAGGATGGCCTCACTCATGTTCCACATAATCCAACTGAACTTTGAAACAGGCCAGTTTTCAAAAATCCCCAAGAGGTTCTAGTTTATCTGAGTTAATGTAACAATGAAGTCCCCTGTGTTTTAACGCTATGAGGAAAGTAACTGAAATGACCAGTCCACTCTTTGCTCCCTGTTTCTGCTTTCTTCAGCCCTTTTGTGCCTAGGAAGCCAACCTCATCAGCTCATTTCATCTGAACACTTACTCTGTTTTACAGAATGAGGAGCTTCTCAATTCTAGAATTGCAAATAAAAGCCAATTAATCTTTAAACTAAATTGGTGGTAACTGTATTTTGACATAACCATGAAGAGAAGCTGAAATTATGTGAAGCCTCTCACTAGTTGTGACTAGTTGTCTCTTGTCCCACACCAGGCAGTTGTACTTCTCCTCCTTTTTGTCACTGAGGAGTTTTAGATGCCTCCTCCCCTGGTGGTCCTTAGTCACATCTCTAAGCTAAACATGTACCTTCAGACATTTGGCCCAAATGCATTTTCTTATGTAATACAGCACTAGAGTAGACTGAAGTAAAGAGAGTGTACAACTAGAGAGGAATTGTTAAAGTATGAATGGCCAGGAGACATTGGAGAGGGGATGGATAAACACAATGTGGCATGTGGTATATCTATACAGTAGAATATTATTCAGCCTTCAAAAGGAAGAACCTTCTGACACATGCAACAACATGGATGAGCCTTGAGGACATGATGCTGAGTAAAGTAAGTCAGTCACAAAAGGACAAATACCATAAGACTCCACTGGTATGAGATCCCTAGAATGACCCCAGAATGATCAAAGTCATAGAGACTGAAAGGAGAACAGTTGTTGCCAAGGTCAGGGGGAGGGAAAGGGAGTTAGTGTTTCGTGAGTACAAAGTTTCAGTGTGGGAAGATGAAAAGGTCCTAGAGATGGGCGGTGGTGACGGTTGTACGACAACGTGAATGTGCTTCACACTAGTGAATGGTCCCATGAAAATGGCTAAGATGGTACGGTGGATGTGTATTTCACCACAAAATAATGAGCATGAGGATTTTCTTTAAAATCTCATTCTGACAGAAGAAAATGACATCTCAAAAAATAATAGTGTAAAGGATTTCCTAAAAGAAACTTACCCCATAACTAGGGCTTCAGTTAAAAATTATTTCCCCAAATACTGAATGGATATGCTGTAAACAAAGCCAAGACTTCAACTATCATTTAAGCCTACTGAAACTGAGGTGAAGAACTGAGGAAGCTGGGCCAAATATCAGCTACTTGATCATTTAAATGCCTTATAATTGAGCTGAAACACCCGGAGCGATGCCAGATTCCTGAGTCCCTGTCAGTAGATTACATGTATGCCACTGTTTGTCCCTCAGACACTACTGCTTCCGTAATCACTTGTCTTCCCCTTTAGGTCCTGGGAAGACAGGTGTATACAGTTACACTGATTTGTTTTCTCTAGACTTGACATCAGCTTGAAAACAACTGCAGTTTATATACCAATTTTCCTTTCATCCCTTGGGTCTAGCCACCATAGCCTCTGCTCTGTTTTTCAAAGGAAACAGAGCCAACACTGAAGGGATATTTTAAGAAATTCTTCTTCACTGTAGCTGGGTCGGCCTCCAGGCTCTTACAGATGACCCTCGAGTGATCTGCAACAGCAAACAAGAACTAGTTTCTCAGGGGATGGGCATGGTAACTCATCTAGAAATAAGTTAGATGTGGTTCCATCCTCTAGGAGAATATACTCAATGTAGTAGTTTTTGCAGATAAATGACAGTAATTCATGCAAGCTCATGAATATATAGTAAGTCCTGCAGAAAAGCACAAAAGCACAATTCTAGGTGGGAGGATGGAACTGGCTCCACAGAGAGGTGGACTTGGATGTGGATAACTTTTATCACACTGCACAGAATGCTTAGGGGTGGTTAGCAGGCTAGTCTAGCTAGCCTCAAAAAAGTTGTAATTCTAAATTGTACTATCAATTCAGTAAAAGGAAAACCATTTTAGCTTAAGCTGTTAGTCATTTTGCAATGTATCTGTGTATAGCTGCAGAGCAATAGTCCTCAAACTTAATTCAGCATGACTATAATATAAAAGGATACATTTTTAAAAACTGTATCTGATTTAGAAGTATTTAAATTCAGTTACTCTAAAGTGTATTTGTTTTTAGGATGGGGCGGCTCCACGCTTCACGGATTATTTGTTTCCTAAGCAGTCCTTCTCTCTTACATCAAACGTCTTGTTGTCTTGTTGATTCCATTGTAAATGGTTTCACAGTTCCTGTTGAATGTTTCATTTCTATAATAATGTTTTGTAGGTTATTAAATAATAAATCATGGCACTGCTTCTGTGATCTAGCAACAGAGTGGATAAGAGCAGGAAATCTAGAGGCAGATCCACTCCTGGAGGGCCTTGGGTGGGATCCAGGACACACTCGTGTGATGAGGACATTCAAGATGCTGGCCTGCCAAGCAGCGGTGTTTCCTCATTGGTTCATTCCTTTCCATGTCTTTTTCTACCTCTAGCTCCTACAATGACAAAAATCTACTCCCTTACAGGCTAAGACATGCTCTGATAATTCTGATATTTCTCTACCCCCTCTTTTATTTCTACTTTCTGGAAAATAGTAAAATAGTCCTTAAGGAGACACCTTAATTGTGTATCTTCTAAGAAATTTGGAGAGACCTATGTAGAGAGGAAATGGAGAAAATATTTCCCGGAAACAGGCCTTCTGGTCTACTCTAACAACTCTTGTCAAGCAAAATGCTCACACAGCGCCAGCCCACTTGGCTCCTCCCAGTGGAGGCTGTGTCCCCAAAGGGGCCTGCTCGAATCTTCATGGGGTGTTCTTTTCAGAGCTGTGGGAACACCACACCTCCCACCCTGCTGACACTTGACTTCCAAAATGGCAGTGTTTAAACATTCAACATAAACCATCACTGAGTGCATGTTCTGCTGTCTGCATGCACTCTGAGAATACATACTAGTCTCCATTTATCAGGCACAGTAGACGTGGTGCTTGTCAGGGTGGGCAATGCTCTGGAAGTGCAATTGTGTATCAATTTGGGGTTGTCATGTGAGCACGCGTGTGTGCATGTGTATGTGTGTGCACGCAGGTGCGCGTGTGTGATGGAAAGAGAATGCACACACGGCAGGCAGCTCAAAGCCAGGAGGACAATAGCAGGATATGCCCTTGAAAACTACATGAGTCAAAAGGAGAAAATCTCCCACATGCAGGAAAACGTGTTCATGATTACTCATCTAAACTCACTTATTTTCGCATCTGTAAGACAGAGACTGTGCATGTGGTCTGAAATACGGAGATAAAAGTTCCAAAGGAGTTACAGGTGTTCTTGGTGCTGAGGAGGAATGGGGGCCCTTTTCTCTGAGGTGGCTGCCTGTCCACATTCACCCGACCCTTGGAGGTCCCTTCAAAGGAAGGCCACCTCCTTTGGAAGCTTTCAGCATCCTGCTTCAACATCCCATAGTTATGGTCCAAACTGTGTCCCCCCAAATTCATATGTTGAAATCCTAACCCCCAAAGTGACTGATTTTGGAGGTGAAGCCCTTAAAAAGGTAACCTGGGTTAAATGAGGTCATCAGGGTGGGCCCTGACCCTATATAACTGATGTCCTTATGAGAAGGAGATCGGGACACACAGACGGACACCAGGGATGCACGTGCAGAGGAAAGACCGTGTGAGGACACAGCAGGAAGGTGGCTGTCTGCAGGCCAAGGAGAGAGGTCTCAGAAGACACCAACCTGGCTGACATCTTGATCTTGGACTTCCTGCCTCCAGCACTGTGAAACAGGAGATGTGTGCTGTTTGAGCCCCCAGTCTGTGGCATTCTCTTACAGCTGCCCCAGCCACCAGCAAATTCCCCTTCCTAGGGTTCCTGTGGCCTCGCTCTGGTGGCCTCCAGAGACAGCTGCCCTGTATAAGACCAGGGAGGCCCACCCACCTGGGCACAGCCCAGCACCCAAGGGAATGGGCTCATGTGTGGTGCCCCTGCTGGGTACTGGGGCCTTTCCTTGTCTTGAGGGCAGCCCTGACCCAGGTTTCTGGCCTCAGAGACATCTTCCTCTTACATTGCTTGCGTAGACCAAAACTGTTAAGAAGCACCGGCCGGGCCGGGATAGCGCCACTGCACTCCAGCCTGGGCAACAGAAGAAGAGTCCATCTCAAAAAAAAAAGAAAAGAAAGAAAGAAAAGAAAAGAAAGAAGGAAGGAAGGAAGGAAGGAAAGAAAGAAAGAAAGAAAGAGCATTTCCCAGTGCTTAAGAACACTGCTTCCCATTGCCCAGAAAGGGGCCATCATCTGCGTGCTGCTCAGAACCACTCTTCGTTTGGCCTGGCTGGCCTGAACTCCTTCTTTGGATGACAGGACTCTCCATTCTGTTTTGGACAGCAAGTGGGTGCTGTGACTGATGGCCAATGATCAGGACAATGATGCAAATGTTCCAAAATCCCTCGCAGACACAGATCTCCATTTCAGCCACGGTGAGCTGGGTGTGCCCTGAGCAGCCGTGCTGGCCTCTGTCTCCATTTCCATGTGGGGAGGAAGCATCAGCAACAAGGTCCGCCAGGCTCAGGGAATCAATGGCTCTGTGAACTTGGGTGAGTTTCTTGCTCTCTTTTTTCTTCAGTTTCTTTGTATACAAATGTGAAATTATATGTGTGGCCAGGGTTGCTCTGTAGTGTCCTCCAAAAATTCAGATCAGATTATATTAGTTTCTTTGCATAGAATCCGTATATGACATCCCACTGACCTCAAGATTAATTTCTGGCTCTCAGCAGCACTCATTCATTCATTCACTTAACAAACATTGATCTCCTATGATGTACCAGGCATTATTTTATTTGGTAGGAAAACTTCAGTGAATTAAAAAGGACAAAAGGGCCTGCCAGACTCCCCCTTGCTGGCTCCTGCACAGCATGCCGGGCCCCACTGCTGCCATGACAGGCCCTTTCAAACGCTCCATGGAAGATCTCAGTGACCTGCTCTCAGACAGCAGTGGCTGCTACAGCCTCCCAAGCCAGCCCTGCAATGAGGTCACCCTGAAGATTTACATGGGCAACACATCTGTGGATCAGGATATCCCCAAGCTTCAGAAACTAGGCAGTATTCATGCCCTGAATACCACTGAGGGCAGGTCTTTCATGCACATAAACAATGCCAACTTCTCCAAGGACTCTGGCATCACCTACCTGGGCATCAAGGCCAATGAAGTGCAGGAGTTCAACCTCAGCACCTACTTTGAAAGGGCTACAGACTTCACTGACCAGGCCTTGGCTCAAAATGGCCAGGTGCTCGTCCAGTGCTGGGAAGGTTACAGCCATCTCCAGCTCTAGTTATCATGTACCTTATGATTGTCAGAAGTTGGACATCAAGTCCATCCTGAGTATCATGAGGCAGAACTGTGAGATCAGCCCCAATGATGGGTTCCTGGCTCAGCTTTGCCATCTCAATGACAAACTAGCCAAGGAGGGGAAGGTGAAACCCTGGGGTGCCCCTACCACCTTTGCTCGAGAGGTTCAGTGGGAGAGGCCCTGGTTGAAGGTATCCTGTGACACTGTACCCTGATCCCAGCATCACGAGCCACTTGCCCTCAAGTCTGTCTCAACAAGTCCTGGGCCACTTCCCTACATGAAGCTTGCTAAGGAGGGCATCCTTGCTCCCTGGTTGTCCTGTTTCTGTAACTTATGATGTCTTTTCCCTGAAGTGGGGACTCAGAGAGGGAAGTCCTATAGCCTGCATGATTCTCAGTGGCCAGGGCAGGAGGTCTGCAGAAATGTAAGGCCTGGGATGTAAGGGGCCCCTCATGATTGCCCTTCCCAAACCCTTGGATACTTCCTGAGTGAATACCTCAGCACCTTGAGCGCTAGCAAAGGAGCTGTGCAAACACAGGCTCTTCTCCTTACCACATCTGTGCCCCCCTGGTGTCCCCCACAGTTTCCACGTGCTGTGCAGAGATATTGCTGTCGCATCATAAGGTCTGAAGCTTGTCCACTGACAATCCATCAGTTGTCAGTGGACAGAACTTTCCACTAGAGGCTGTATTTTAATTATTTCCTTAGGATTAATGGTACCTACACAAAGAAGCCCTTAGGTGGGCAACAAATTTTCCTGAAGGACTCTCCTAAATTCATAGAGCTTTCAAAATGTGAATCTTTGGAAGGCTTGAGTTCGGAATCCACTGCTTTGGAGTATTTCCCTTGGACCTATCTCAGTCACTTCGTTTGTGAGAAAAGCTATGTCTTGGACATGGTTATATTTTTCCCTTTTAGAAAACAAGGTGTTGAAGTCCAGCCTATTTAAAAACCCCATCATTTGCAAAATTACAAGGGTTTTGTCCTGAATTACAGTGTTGGTGAGCCCAAGGCACTCGTGCTAAGTGCTTTATTTCTTGGTTGCTAGTCCAAGATCAGAAGGAGGAGATAAACCACTGACACTATAAAGCAACTACACAATCAAGTCTACATAACCACCAGCTAACAACATGATGACAGGATCAAATCTGCACATACTGTTATTAATCTTAAACATAAATGGACTAAACACCCCACTCAAAAGGCACAGCGTGGCATCTTGGATAAAGAAGCCAAAGCCAATTGTATGCTATCTTCAAGAGACCTCTCACATGCAGTGATACCCATAGGCTCCAAGTAAAGGGATGGAGAAAAATCTATCAGACAAACAGAAAACAAAAAAAAGAGCACCGGTTGCTATTCTTATTTCAGACAAAACAGACTAAACCAACAATGATCAAAAGGACACAGAAGGATATTACCTAATAATAAAGGGTTCCATTCAATAAAAACACTTAACTATCCTAAATATATATGCACCCGACACTGGAGCACCCAGACTCATAAAACAAGTTTGTAGAGACTAATAAAATCACTTAGATAACCACACAAAATAATAGTGAAATAATTCAACCCCCAACGGACAGTATTAGACCTATAATCAAGGCAGAATACTAACGAAGATCTCGGGATAAAAATTCGACACTTGATCAAATGGACCTAAAAGACATCTACAGAATACTGCACCCAATAACAAAATATACAGTCTTCTCATATGCACACGCCACATACTCTAACATTTACCATATGCTAAGCCCATAAAGCAATTCTCAACAAATTCCAAAAAACGAAATCATACCAGCCACACTTTCAGACCACAGCACAATAAAAATAGAAATAAGTACCAAGAAAGTCTCTCAAAACCATACCATTAGATGGAAATTAAATAATCTGACCCCGAATGACTTTTGGGTAAAGAAGGAAATTAAGACAGAAATCAAGAAATTCTTTGAAACTAATGAAAACAAAAATACAACATGCCAGATCTCTGGGACACAGCTAAAGCACTGTTAAGAGGAAAGTTTATAGTGCTAAATGTGCACATCAAAAAGTTAGAAAGATCTCAAATTAACAATGTAACATCACACCTAGAGGAACTAGAAAAACAAGAGTAAATAAATTCCAAAGTTAGCAGAAGAAAGGAAATAACGAAAATGAGAGCTGAAGTGAACGAAATGGCTTACAAAAGATCAATAAAAATAAAAGGTGGTTCTTTGAAAGAATAAGTAACATTGACAGACAAGTAGCTAGACTAATTTTTAAAAAGAGAAGATCCAAAAACACACAATCAGAAATGACAAAGGAGACATTACCACCAACCATAAAGAAATTCAAAAAACCCTAAGAGTCTGTTATGAACACCTCTATGTACACAAACTAGAAAATCTAGAAGAAATTGATAAATTCCTGGAAACATAAAACCTCCCAAGATTGAACCAGGAAGAAACTGAAACCTGAATTGACCAATAACAAGTTCCAAAATTGAATCAGTAATAAAAAAAAAAAAATCCTACCAACCGGGAAAAGCCCTGGCCCAAATGAATTCAGAGCTGAATTCTACCAGGTATGTAAAGAATAGTTTATACCAATTCTGTGGAAATTATTTCAAAAAAATCAAGGAGGAAGGATTCCTCCCTAACTCATTCTATGAGGTCAGCATCATTCTGATACCAAAACCAGGCAAAGATACAGCAACAACAACAAAAAGAACACTTTAGGCCAATATACCTGATGAACATAGATGAAAAATCTTCAACAAAATACTAGCAAACCAAATCCAGTAGCACATCAAAAAGCTAATCCTCTACAATCAAGTATGCTTTATTCCTGGGATGCAACATTGCTTCAACATATGCAAATCAATAAATGTGATTCATCACATAAACAGAACTAAAAACAAAAAGCACATGATCATCTCAATAGAGACAAAAAAACTTTCTGTAAAATTCAACATCCCTTCTTGTTAAAAATCCTCAAGAAACTAGGCATTGAAGGAACATATCTCAAAATAATAACAGCCATCTATGACAAATCCACAGCCAAAATCACATCGAATGGGTAAAAGCTGGAAGCAATCCTCTTGAAAACCAGAACAAGACAAGGATACCTTCTCTCGCCACCGCTATTCAACATAGTACTGGAAGTCCTAGATAGAGCAATAAGGCAAGAGAAAGAAATAAAAGGCATAGAAAAAAAAGACACACAAATAGGAAGAAAAAAAGTTGAACTATCATTTTCACAGACTATATGATTCTATACCCAGAAAATGCCATCGTTTCTGCCCAAAGACTCGTAGATCCAATAAACAACTTCACCAAAGTTTCAGGATACAAAAATCAATGTACAAAAAATCAGTAGCATTTCTACACACCAATAACACTCATGCTGAGAGCCAAATAAAGAATGCAATCTCACTCACAATGGCCACAAAAAGAATGACATATGTAGAAATACAGCTAGACAAGGAGGTGAAAGATCTCTACAATGAGAATTATAAAACACTGGTGAAAGAAATCAGAGATGACACAAATAAATGAAAAAACATTCTATGCTCATGGATGGGAAGAATCAATATTGTTAAAATGGCTATACTGCCCAAAGCAATTTACAGATTCAATGCCATTTCTATCAAACTACCAATAACATTTTTTTCACAGAATTAGAAAAAACTATTCTAAAATTCATTTGGAACCAAAAAAGAGTCTGAATAGCCAAAGCAATCCTAAGCAAAAAGAACAAAGCTGGAAGCATCACACTATCACTTCAAACTATACTATAACTCTAAGTAAAGCAGCATGGTACTGGTACAAAAACATACAGACCAATGCAACAAGTCAGAGAAACCAGAAATAAAGCTGCATACCTACAACCATCTGATCTTCAACAAAGCTGACAATAACAAGCAATAGGGAAAGCACTCTCTATTCAATAAATGGTGTTAGGATAACTTGCTAGCCACATGCAGAAGATTGAAACTGGACCCCTTTGTTTCACCACATACAAAAATCAACTCAAGATGGATTAAAGACTTAAATGTAAAACCCAAAACTACATAAACTCTAGAAGAAAACCTAAGAAATACTGTACTGGACATGGACTGTGGCAAAGACTTCATGACAAAGACTTGAAAAGCAATTCCGACAAAAATATTGACAAGTGAGACTTAATTAAACTAAAGAGTTTATGCACAGCAAAAGAAACTGTCAACAGAGTAAACAGACAACCTACATAATGGGAGAAAATATTCACAAACTATACACCTGACAAAGGCCTAACTTTCAGAAACTTAACTTCCTTAATAAGGAACTTAATCAAATCAACAAGAAAAAAACAAACAACTCCATTAAAAAATGTTCAAAGGATATGAACAGACACCTCTCAAAAGAAGACATGCATGCAGCCAACAAGCATATAGAAAAATGCTCAATATCACTACTCTTTAGGGAAATGCAAATCAAAACCACAATGAGATACCACCTCACACCCGTCAGATTGGCTGTTATTAAAAAGTCAAAAAAGTAACAGATGCTGGTGAGGTTGCAAAGAAAAGAGAACACATATACTACTGGGGAATGTAAATTAGTTCAGACACTGTAGAGAGCTTTCTGGAGATTTCTCAAAGAACTTAAAACAGACTATAATTCGACCCAACAATCCCATTACTGGGTATAGACCCAAAGACAAAATAAATCATTCTACCATAAAGATACACGCATGTGCATGTTCATCACAGCACTATTCACAATGCCAAAAACATGGAATCAACCTAGATGCTTAACAGTGGACTGGATAAAGAAAAAGTGGTACATACATATCATAGAATACCTGCAGCTATAAAAAAGAATGAAATCATATCCTTTGCAGCAACATGGATGGAGCTGGAGGCCATTATCCTAAGTGAATTAACTCAGGAACAGAAAACTAAATACTGCGTGTTATCACTTATAAGTGGGAGCTAAACATCGAGTACACATGGACACAAAGAAGGGTACAATATACACTGGGGCTTACTTGAAGGTGGAGGGTGGAAGGTGAGAATTGAAAAACTACCTGTTGGGTACTATGCTGATTCCTTGGATGACAAAATTATTTGTACACCAAATCCCTGTAACATGCAATTTACCCATGTAAAAAACCTGCACATGTATCCTTTGAACCTAAAATAAAAGTTGGAAAGGTAAAACAGTTCCATATAGATTAAAGACTTAGTGGTAAAAAATTAGAACAATAAATACTTTAGAAGATAACCTAGTAGAAGTACTGTGTAACCGTTAGGAGAGGTATATCCTATTAGTCAAGACAGGATATATGAGGGGAAATGAACATATTTTACCACATAAAAACTAAAAATTTTGTATGATCATAAAGGAAATGAGAGACTGAGGAAATAACTTCACAAAAATACATAACAGATAAAGAGTAAATGTTCATAATAGTCAAAGAGCAGTTCCTTGATAATAAAACCATATAAAAGAGAAAAGAGGTATATGGGTAAGAATATGATAGGCAATTCACGAAAGATGAACTCAAATGACCAATTAACGTAAGAAATAATGCTGAAAGAAGCAAAAAAATGCAATATAAAGCAATAATATGACACCAGTTTTTCACTGATAAAACTGGAACATCTTAAAATAATGCCAATTTCTGGTGAAGATGTAGGGAAATGGTCACATTTATACAGTGCTGGTGGGAATGTGAATTACCACATCTCTCCTGGAAAGCAACCTGCCAATCTATTAAAATTTACAAATGTGCTTCCAGCCAGCAATGCAAATGCCATAAATACCTTCTACAGAGACACATAATATAATACAGACAAAGATGTTTTGTGTAGCATTACTTGTAGTGGGGAAAACCGAAAGCGGGTAGCCATTACAAATAATGAATGATTTCTGTGTCTGTTGACCTGAAGGATTGACCAAGATGTATTGTTAAGTGAAACAGAAAAAAAATGAATGTATAGAAAAATATCTTTAATAAGAATCTAACCTTATAAAAAGGAAACAAAAATATATATGGGTATATGTCTTTGTATAGGATTATATGATTATAGAGAAATGTATGAAAGGGTATGCATTGGGTCACTTCCGTTGGTTCTCTTGGAGAAGACAAAAAGTTAGAAGATAGAAGCAGAGAGGAGATGGGGAAAGGAAGTAAAAAGGTGATAGCAAAATGAAAATTGGCAATGAAATGCTGCTGAATATACTTGTATGATGGTATTTGTGTTTACATTTTTGCTCTTTTAATGAATTAAACTTACCACAAACTTGTCTATTTTACAGAAATCAGCTCTTAGATTTTCTGTTCCCTGATGTGCAAATTGCTACTTTTAACTTCATGTTTACTCTCTGCCATTCAATTTAGTTTAGTATATTCTGTATCATTTTAAGAACACATAATGTCGCATTTTTATCTGTATCTAAATTATTTACTTTTATATCTACAATTATTTAGAATTATAAGTTCATTATTGTTCCGATTATAAACAGCACTAAAAGGGGAATAAAAGGATAAAAGACCAGAGACCCATATCCTCTGTGACCTAAACCCCTTGTGGCTTGGCTGAAGTCAGCTCCTACACACCCTATAGGGATGCTGTGTAATAGCGCCTCCTCTTTGGACTAATCCAGCTCTCAAGGTGTAAGTGTTACAGACCCTTAATGGAAATTTCTGCTGCTTCTCCTCAGCTCACACTCCCTCCTCCCTCCCTCTCACTTTCCCTCCCCTATTTCCCTCTGTTTTCCTCCTCATCCTCCTTTTCCTTCTCTTTCTCCCTCTCTTCTCTCTCCTCTGTCTTCTTCTCTTTCTCTTCTCTCTCTCTCTGTGGTTCTCTCTCTCTTTCTCTCTCACACACACACACACACACGCACCCCTCACTCCCCATGCCCCACTGGCATCGGGTGTTGAGCTCTGTCCACCAACCTCCCTGTGTTCACCTCTGCTGAGTATCTGCTTGTCTAACTCTCTCCCTGACCTGTCCATACTTGAGGGGCGGGAAGCTGTGTCCTGCAGCTGTGTATTCTGAGGACTCAGCACACTCCCAGAACTCAACAGGTGCTCAACAGAGAATGGTTTATTTTTAAAGTCTTCTTGAGAAATCAAAGCAGACACCATTATCCAAGCAGACAAGGGCTAAACACAAATATTCTGCTCTATTTCTTTCCCCAACTCTACATTTGTTCGGATTAATGGAGACTATTCCAGAGGCAGGGCATGGAGAAGGCTGAGTATCTGTACACAGAATGCAGACATGCTGTTCTTTGTGTCTCATGAAGTATGGATGAGCTAAAAAGCTGAAGACAGCTCAAAGCAGCCAGGAGGGCAGGCAGCCTCAGTAAAAAATTTGTAGTGAAGAAAATCTCGAGGCCTTAAATAAGGACTTCTGTCAGAAGTGAAGACTGTAACCCACGGGTAGCACACCTGGGCTCGAGTCCACCCCGAGGCCAGCTTTTGTGAGTAAAATGTTATTGAGACATCACCATACCCATCATTGCACATAAGTTACAGCTGCTTTCACTGCCTGGCCGTAGTAGGTACCATAGAAATCCGCTGGTCCACACGTCCCAAGGATTTATTATCTAGCCCCTTACAGAAAAACTTTGCCAACTTGCTCCTCTAAGAGGTGAAAAGGGTCACTTTGCCTGTGCCAGAAAATGAGCTCCGTGAAGGAGGGGTCTGTCCCTGCTGTATTCAGTAATGTGTCTGGGGCACCTGGAGAGGCGAGGTTGCATGCAGCACCTAACACACGGAAGGAACAGCCTGCATTCTTGATTCAAAGGCCCACCCAGGAAACACACAGATGAGGTTCTCATTTTACTTCATGTAAAACTCCCAAAAGGAAGCATATATTTTAAGAGTGAAGAATGAGAAGGTAGTGTTTCTAATATGGCTCATGGAATTCCACCTCTGTAATAGACAGAAGATTTAGGGTGAGTGTGACAGCCATGCCTGCCCCCACATAAACTAAATTTAAAGTTAACAGGTCAACAGCTGCACAGAGGCAATGTCAATCAATAAACATTACTGGTCTATACCCACTACAACTTATTTCTTTTAGTGGCCACAGAGCAGCTGGTAAACAATCCTACTTGTTGCTTTGTTTTACTTTTTGTTTGGAAGAGGCAGAGGCAAAGCTTTAGGATTCTGGAAAGAAAGGAAGGAAAGAAGGAAGAGAGAAAGGGAGGGAGAAAGTAAGGGAGGAAGGAAAGGAGAAAGCTAGGAAGAGAGGAGTAGAGGGAGGAAGGAAGGGAAAGAGAGAATGATGACAGGAAAGAGAGAAGGATGAAGGGAAAGAGAAATGGCTGAAGGGAAAGAGGGAAGGAAGGAAGCAGGGAGGGAGGAAGAAAGAAAAAAAAAGACAAAACAAAATACAAACCAGCCACAAAAATTTAAAGGGTAAGTTTCTTAGTCCATTTTGCATTGCTATAAAGAAATATCTGAGACTAGGTAATTAATACGAAGAAAAGGTTTATTTGGTTTATGGTTCTACAAGGCACTGGCATCTGCTTGGCTTCTGGTGAGGCCTTGGGAAACTTTTACTCATGGTGGAAAGGAAGGGGGAGCAGGCACATCAGCTGGCGAGAGGGAGCAAGAGAGATGCCAGGCTCTTCTAATTAACCAGCTCTCTCGTAAACTCATAGAACAAGAATTCACCCATTACCACTGGGAGGACACCAAGCCCTTCATGAGGGATCCACCTCCATGACCCAAACACCTCTGACGAGGCCCCTGGCGATCACATTCAGCATGAGATTTGGAAGGGACAGATATCCAAACTACACCAGTGGATGTAGTTTGGGCTAGAGTCCTCACCCTCCCAGTGGGGAACACATTCTCTTTCGCTCATACTCCATCAAACGGGAATCAAGTTAATCCTAGCATTGAGAAATATTCTGGGAAATGTTGTTTTGTTGCAGTAAGGAACAAATTCATTTAAAAGAAAAGTGCATCCCGTCCAGGACCAGACTCATATAATGGCTATCCTAACAACACAATAAAAAACAAAGCAGTCTGTCAATACGTGGTTCGTTTGTTCCAGTAACCTTTGGCTCTATTTTTCCTTAATTCTTTCGTTTTTATATGCTTAAGTTCTGGGATACATGTGCAGAACGTGCAGGTTTGTTACACAGGTATACATATGCCATGGTGGTTTGCTGCACCCATCAACCCATCATCTACATTAGGTATTTCTCCTAATGCTATCCCTCCCCTTGTCCCCCAACCCCCAAAAGGCCCCAGTGTGTGATGTTCCCCTCTCTGTGCCCATAGGTTCTCATTGTTCAACTCCCACTTAGGAGTGAGAACATGCGATGTTTAGTTTTCTGTTCTTGTGTTAGTTTGCTGAGAATGATGGTTTCCAGCTTCATCCATGTCCCTGCAAAGGACATAAACTCATTCTTTTTATAGCTGCACAGTATTCCACGGTGTATATATGCCACATTTTCTTTATCCAGTCTATCATTGATGGGCATTTGGGTTGGTTCCAAGTCTTTGCTATCGTGAATAGTGCTGCAATAAACATACATGTGCATGTATCTTTATAGCAGAATTATTTATAATACTTTGGGTGTATACCCAGTAATGGGATTGCTGGGTCAAATGGTATTTCTGCTTCTAGATTCTTGAGGAATCACCACACTGTCTTCCACAATGGTTGAACTAATTTACACTCCCACCAACAGTGTAAAAGCATTCCTATTTCTCCACATCCTCTCCAGCATCTATTATTTCCTGACATTTTAATGATCACCATTCTAACTGGCTTGAGATGGTACCACATTGTGGTTTTGATTTGCATTTCTCTAATGACCAGTGATGATGATCTTTTTTTCATATGTTTTTTGGCCACACAAATGTCTTCTTTTGAAAGATGTCTGTTCATATCCTTCGCCCACTTTTTGATGGGGTTGTTTTTTTCTTGTAAATTTGTTTAAGTTCCTTGTAGATTCTGGATATTAGCCCTTTGTCAGATGGATAGACTGCAAAAGTTTTCTCCCATTCTGTAGGTTGCCTGTTCACTCTGATGGTAGTTTCTTTTGCTGTGCAGAAGCTCTTTAGTTTAATTAGATCCCATTTGTCAATTTTGGCTTTTGTTGTCATTGCTTTTGGTGTTTTAGTCATGAAGTCTTTGCCCATGCCTATGTCCTGAATGGTATTACCTAGGAGCTGGATTTTTGAAAAGATTGACAAAATAGATAGACCGCTAGCCAGACTAATAAAGATGAAAAGAGAGAAGAATCAGACACAAGAAAAATAATAAAGGGGATATCACTACTAATCCCACAGAAATACAAACTACCACCAGATAATACTATAAACACTTCTACACAAATAAACTAGAAAATCTAGAAGAAATGGATAAATTCCTGGACACACACATCCTCCCAAGACTAAACCAGGAAGAAGTCTACTCCCTGAATAGACCAATAACAAGTTCTGAAATTGAGGCAGTAATTAATAGCCTACCAACCAAAAAAAGCCCAGGACGAGACAGATTCACAGCCAAGTTCTACCAGAGGTACAAGCAGGAGCTGGTACCATTCCTTCTAAAACTAAGCCAAGCAATATTTATCCTTAATTCTTTCTTTTGAGACAGTTTACAAAAAAAACGCACGTGCAATGTTTACTTCTAAATGCACCGCTCAACATCACCCCAACCCTAAGAACATCAACCCTGAAGGCCGCTGCCTCCAGGGCTCATGCAGTGGCTCTCTCATTCACATGGTACTGATGATAAAAAAAAAAAAAAAATAGCCGTTAAAGGAAATAGAGTGGGGGCTTAAGTTGCTATGGAGAGTGCCATTAGTATTCTCAAAAGCCCTTCTGTGAACATAAACTTCTTCTTGCTCACATAATGGATCAAAAAGGCAAGTTTCATCATGAAAGCTGTTTGGGGCAGAAGCGGGTAGCTAACATTGAATTTTAAATGAAAAGTATATTTCAGTCTTTGGTCTAGAATTTTCATATAAGTACAGATGCTCCTTGACTTCTGATGCAGATATGTCCCGATAAATCCATCATAAGTCCAAAGTATCAGGAATCCAAAACGCATTTAGTACACCAATCAACCCATGATTAAATAAAAAAAATCACAATTCAAATCAGCATAAATCAGGGCCTATCTGTAGATATCTGGGAGGAATGAGAAGGATCGTTCTATCCATTCCTTCTCACACCCTGTGCTTTTAACGTTGCAGAGTGTGACATCCGCCTTTTATTACTTAATAGAGCTGTGTGCTCTTGGGCTATTTGTTTCACCTCACTGGGCCTCACTCTAAAGCATGGCAATAATACTAAATACTGGCAACAGCAGCAACTACATCACCTACTGAATGCTCACTGTGCACAGCACCTCATGCTGAGAGCTCTTATGCATTACCTTCTTTAGGCTTCACAACAATCCTGAGGCTACTGCCCATATTTCAGGAGGAAGAGCTACGATCCAGATGGGATTTGTACCTGGGGCTGACAACCGCAGATCCCAAAGTCTTAACTTCTTTGTGCGTCTGTTACTTCATTGGATTACCATGAAGATTAATTAAATGTTGTCTATTAGGACATAACACAGTGCCTGCCACAGAGGATCCAAGTAGGAATTATTATTAAATTACATAATAAGGTCTTCCTATAAATATACTGATCTGTGAGGTTTTCACTTGGAAAGGAGAAAAGGCAGAGAGGCAGTTTAGAGCATATTTTAGAAACAAGAGCCCTTAATTCCCTGGGGAGGAGGTTATACATAATTTGATAGGCAAAAAAGACACTTCGGCATTTTAAGCAAAGAAATGGCAAGGCTGAGCCCTGGGAGAGTTCCCAGCAGCTCACAGCGAGCACAGTTTGAGCAGACAGCAAGTCGGGCAGGGGCCTGGAGAGAGAGAGAGCAGGAACAGGAGGGCTCTGGGAGGGCTGAGGGGAGCAGGGGAGCAAGGTCTTGGTGATACTCAAACATGAAGGATGCCTAACACTGGTATAAGGAAGAGGGTGTTATTTATAAGAAGAGGAAATCAGACAAAAGAGCTGACCAGGAATGTATAAGCAGGGCTAGGATGGAGCTGAAATGCCACTGGACTCATCTGCAATGAGACATCGGGTTACTGCTCCACTCTTGCAAGGGTGGTGTCAGTGGGGCTGAAGGGATGCTGAGCATTCACTGCCATGTGGCCTTCCAACTACACCTCCAAGGGAAGATGCCTGTGAAAAAAGTATATACAGAATCCAGAGTCTCATAATATCCCAAATCTTCAGTCTACAATAGAAAATTACCCATCATGCTGGCTGGGTGCGGTGGCTGGGTGCGGTGGCTGATGGCTGTAATCCCAGCACCTTGGGAGGCTGAGACAGGCAGATCACTTGAGACCAGGAGTTTGAGGCCAGCCTGGCCAAAATAGTGAAACCCCGTCTCTACTAAAAATACAAAAATTAGCCAGGCATGGTGGTGGGCACCTGTAATCCCAGCTACACAGGAGGCTGAGGCAGGAGAATCACTTGAACCTGGGAGGCAGAGGTTGCAGTGAGCTGAGATCATGCCACTACACTCCAGCCTAGAGAACAGAGTGAGACTCTTTCTCAAAAACAAAAACAAAACAAACAAACAAAAACATGGCCAGGCATGGTGGCTCACCCAGGAATTTGGGAGGCCAAGGCGGGCAGATCATGAGGTCAAGAGATTGAGACTATCCTGGCCAACATGGTGAAAACCTGTCTCTACTAAAAATACAAAAATTAGCTGGGCGTGGTGGTGCATGCCTGTAGTCCCAGCTACTCAGGAGGCTGAGGCAGGAGAATCGCTTGAACCTGGGAGGCAAAGGTTGCAGTGAGCTGAGACTGCACCACTGCACTCCAGCCTGGTGACAGAGTGAGACAGATGGACAGACAGAGAGAAAGAGAGAAAGAAAGAAAGAGAGGGAGAGAAAGAGAAAACAAATTACTCATCATGCCCAGAACCAGAAAGTCACAAGATGCATGGAAAAGAAGATTGACAGATGCCAACATCAAGATGATACAGATGCTGAAATTGTCGGACAAGGATTTTAAAGCAGTTGTCATAAAAATGCTTCAACAAGCAGTTATTCATTCTCTTGAAAGAAATTCCTGAAAGAAATTCCTAAATGAAAAAGCTCAGAAAATAACTAAATGAAAACACAATTTTTAAAAACTCACTGGATGAGCTTAATAGTGAGGATGCCACAAAACAGACTGTATAGAATTGAGGACAGATTAAAATTATTTTACCTAATCTAAACCACAAAGACAAAGTAGATTGTAAAATAAATAATAAACAAACAAACATTCTCAGGGAACTAGTACGACAATTTCAAAAGAGTTAACTTTTATACTGTCAGAATTTTGGAAGGAGAAGAGAGAGAGAGGATTGAAACACTATTGGAAGTATTGCAAGAAATAATGGCTGAAAACTTCTGAAACTTGGAGAAAGATATAAGCCTACATATTCAAGAGGCTAAGCAAACCTCGAGTAAAATAAACCCAACAAAATCCATACTCAGAAATATCATCATGAAAAATAAGGTAAAAAATCTTAAAAGCAGCCAGAGAGAAATAACACATTGCATATAGGTTTAAAAAATGCAAATGATAACACACTTCTCATCTAAAACCATGAATGCTAGAAGGAAATTGGACAATATATTTCAAGTGCTGAAAGTAAAGAGCTGTCAACTATGAATTCTACATTTAGTAGAAATACCTCTAGAAATAAAGGACAAATAAAAACACTCTCAGCCAAAGAACTATCAAGCAAATTTGTGCCTAGGAAATATCCCTTAAGGAGTTGCTAAAGGAAGTTCTCTAAACTGAAAGGACATGACAATAAAGGAAGGTTTGGAACTTCACAAAAGAAAGAAGAGTATGGAAATATGTAAGAGTAAGGATAAAAATATAATTGACAATCCATCTTTACATGAGTTTCTAAAACAGCATTTGATGGTTGAATCATAACACCATCTGATGTTGTGCTCAACGTATATACAGGAAATACCTAAGATAATTATATTCAAAAGGCAAGGAGAAACTAGGGAACTAAATGAAAGTAAAGTTTCTACACATTACTTAATGTGGTAAAACATTGAGACTGTTATAATTTAATTATGTATGTATTTATTCTTACAGTAACCATGAAGAAAATCATACAAAACAAAATATTGAAAGACATTATAAATAAGTTAAGATTAAATTCTAAAAACTATTCAAGTAATCCATGTGAAAACAAGTAAAAAGAAACAGGAATGAGAGACAGAGAAAACAAACATTATAATGGCAACTAGAATGCAAGTATCTCCTAATATATTAATAACTACCTTAAATGTAAACAGCTTAAATTAACATCGAAGCGGGGGAGGAGCCAAGATGGCCGAATAGGAACAGCTCCAGTCTACAGCTCCCAGCGTGAGCGACGCAGAAAACGGGTGATTTCTGCATTTCCATCTGAGGTACCGGGTTCATCTCACTAGGGAGTGCCAGACAGTGGGCGCAGGTCAGTGGGTGCAGCGCACCGTGCACAAGCCGAAGCAGGGAGAGGCATTGCCTCACTCGGGAAGTGCAAGGGGTCAGGGAGTTCCCTTTCCTAGTCAAAGAAAGGGGTGACAGACAGCACCTGGAAAATCGGGTTACTCCCACCCGAATACTGCACTTTTCCCAAGGGCTTAAAAAACGGCGCACCAGGAGATTATATCCTGCACCTGGCTCGGAGGGTCCTACGCCCACGGAGTCTCGCTGATTGCTAGCACAGCAGTCTGAGATCAAACTGCAAGGCGGCAGTGAGGCTGGGGGAGGGGCGCCCGCCATTGCCCAGGCTTGCTTAGGTAAACAAAGCAGCCGGGAAGCTAGAACTGGGTGGAGCCCACCACAGCTCAAGGAGGCCTGCCTGCCTCTGTAGGCTTCACCTCTGGGGGCAGGGCACAGACAAACAAAAAGACAGCAGTAACCTCTGCAGACTTAAATGTCCCTGTCTGACAGCTTTGAAGAGAGCAGTGGTTCTCCCAGCACGCAGCTGGAGATCTGAGAACGGGCAGACTGCCTCCTCATGTGGGTCCCTGACCCCTGACCCCTGAGCAGCCTAACTGGGAGGCACCCCCCAGTAGGGGCAGACTGACACCTCACACGGCCGGATACTCCTCTGAGACAAAACTTCCAGAGGAACGATCAGACAGCAGCATTCGCGGTTCACGAAAAACCACTGTTCTGCAGACACCGCTGCTGATACCCAGGCAAACAGGGTCTGGAGTGGACCTCTAGCAAACTCCAACAGACCTGCAGCTGAGGGTCCTGTCTGTTAGAAGGAAAACTAACAAACAGAAAGGACATCCACACCAAAAACCCATCTGTACATCACCATCATCAAAGACCAAAAGCAGATAAAACCACAAAGATGGGGAAAAAACAGAGCAGAAAACCTGGAAACTCTAAAAAGCAGAGCACCTCTCCTCCTCCAAAGGATCACAGTTCCTCACCAGCAATGGAACAAAGCTGGACGGAGAATGACGAGTTGAGAGAAGGAGGCTTCAGATGATCAAACTATGAGCTACAGGAGGAAATTCAAACCAAAGGCAAAGAAATTAAAAACTTTGAAAACAATTTAGACGAATGTATAACTAGAATAACCAATACAGAGAATTGCTTAAAGGAGCTGATGGAGCTGAAAACCAAGGCTCAAGAACTACGTGAAGAATGCAGAAGCCTCAGGAGCCAATGCGATCAACTGGAAGAAAGGGTATCAGCGATGGAAGATGAAATGAATGAAATGAAGCGAGAAGGGAAGTTTAGAGAAAAAAGAATAAAAAGAAACGAACAAAGCCTCCAAGAAATACGGGACTATGTGAAAAGACCAAATCTACGTCTGATTGGTGTACCTGAAAGTGACAGGGAGAATGGAACCAAGTTGGAAAACACTCTGCAGAATATTATCCAGGAGAACTTCCCCAATCTAGCAAGGCAGGCCAACGTTCAGATTCAGGAAATACAGAGAACGCCACAAAGATACTCCTTGAGAAGAGCAACTCCAAGACACACAATTGTCAGATTCACCAAAGTTGAAATGAAGGAAAAAATGTTAAGGGCAGCCAGAGAGAAAGGTCGGGTTACCCTCAAAGGGAAGCCCATCAGACTAAAGCGGATCTCTCGGCAGAAACTCTACAAGCCAGAAGAGAGTGGGGGCCAATATTCAACATTCTTAAAGAAAAGAATTTTCAACCCAGAATTTCATATCCAGCCAAACTAAGCTTCATAAGTGAAGGAGAAATAAAATACTTTACAGACAAGCAAATGCTGAGAGATTTTGTCACCACCAGGCCTGCCCTAAAAGAGCTCCTGAAGGAAGCACTAAACATAGAAAGGAAAAACCGGTACCAGCCACTGCAAAATCATGCCAAAATGTAAAGACCATCGAGACTAGGAAGAAACTGCATCAACTAGCGAGCAAGATAACCAGCTAACATCATAATGACAGGTTCAAATTCATACATAACAATATTAACTTTAAACGTAAATGGACTAAATGCTCCAATTAAAAGACACAGACTGGCAAACTGGATAAAGAGTCAAGACCCATCATCAGTGTGTTGTATTCAGGAAACCCATCTCACATGCAGAGACACACATAGGCTCAAAATAAAAGGATGGAGGAAGATCTACCAAGCAAATGGAAAACAAAAAAAGGCAGGGGTTGCAATCTTAGTCTGATAAAACAGACTTTAAACTAACAAAGATCAAAAGAGACAAAGAAGGCCATTACATAATGGTAAAGGGATCAATTCAACAAGAAGAGCTAACTATCCTAAATATATATGCACCCAATACAGGAGCACCCAGATTCATAAAGCAAGTCCTGAGTGACCTACAAAGAGACTTAGACTCCCACGCAGTAATAATGGGAGACTTTAACACCCCACTGTCAACATTAGACAGATCAATGAGACAGAAAGTCAACAAGGATACCCAGGAATTCAACTCAGCTCTGCACCAAGCTGACCTAATAGACATCTACAGAACTCTCCACCCCAAATCAACAGAATATACATTTTTTTCAGCACCACACACCTATTCCAAAATTGACCACATACTTGGAAGTAAAGCTCTCCTCAGCAAATGTAAAAGAACAGAAATTATAACAAAACTATCTCTCAGACCACAGTGCAATCAAACTAGAACTCAGGATTAAGAAATTCACTCAAAACTGCTCAACTACATGGAAACTGAACAACCTGCTCCTGAAATGACTACTGGGTACATAACGAAATGAAGGCAGAAATAAAGATGTTCTTTGAAACCAACGAGAACAAGCACGACATATCAGAATCTCTGGGACACATTCAAAGCAGTGTGTAGAGGGAAATTTACAGCACTAAATGCCCACGAGAGAAAGCAGGAAAGATCCAAAATTGACACCCTAACATCACAATTAAAAGAACTAGAAAAGCAAGAGCAAACACATTCAAAAGCTAGCAGAAGGCAAGAAATAACTAAAATCAGAGCAGAACTGAAGGAAATAGAGACACAAAAAACCCTTCAAAAAATTAATGAATCCGGGAGCTGGTTTTTTGAAAGGATCAACAAAATTGATAGACCGCTAGCAAGACTAATAAAGAAAAAAAGAGAGAAGAATAAAATAGATGCAATAAAAAATGATAAAGGGGATATCACCACTGATCCCACAGAAATACAAACTACCATCAGAGAATACTACAAACACCTCTACGCAAATAAACCAGAAAATCGAGAAGAAATGGATAAATTCCTCAACACATACACTCTCCCAAGACTAAACCAGGAAAAAGTTGAATCTCTGAATAGACCAATAACAGGAGCTGAAATTGTGGCAATAATCAATAGCTTACCAACCAAAAAGAGTCCAGGACCAGATGGATTCACAGCCGAATTCTACCAGAGGTACAAGGAGGAACTGGTGCCATTCCTTCTGAAACTATTCCAATCAACAGAAAAAGAGGGAATCCTCCCTAACTCATTTGATGAAGCCAGCATCATCCTGATACCAAAGCCCAGCAGAGACACAACCAAAAAAGAGAATTTTAGACCAGTATCCTTGATGAACATTGATGCAAAAATCCTCAATAAAACACTGGCAAACCGAATCCAGCAGCACATCAAAAAGCTTATCCACCATGATCAAGTGGGCTTCATCCCTGGGATGCAAGGCTGGTTCAATATACACAAATCTATAAATGTAATCCAGCATATAAACAGAACCAAAGACAAAAACCACATAATTATCTCAATAGATGCAGAAAAGGCCTTTGATAAAATTCAACAACACTTCATGCTAAAAACTCTCAATAAATTAGGTATTGATGGGACGTATCTCAAAATAATAAGAGCTATCTATGACAAACCCACAGCCAATATCATACTGAATGGGCAAAAACTGGAAGCATTCCCTTTGAAAACTGGCACAAGACAGGGATGCCCTGTCTCACCACTCCTATTCAACATAGTGTTGGAACTTCTGGCCACGGCAATTAGGCAGAAGGAAATAAAGCGTATTCAATTAGGAAAAGAGGAAGTCAAATTGTCCCTGTTTGCAGACGACATGACTGTATATCTAGAAAACCCCACTGTCTCAGCCCAAAATCTCCTTAACCTGATAAGCAACTTCAGCAAAGTCTCAGGATACAAAATCAATGTACAAAAATCACAAGCATTCTTATACACCAATAACAGACAAACAGAGAGCCAAATCATGAGTGAACTCCCATTCACAATTGCTTCAAAGAGAATAAAATACCTAGGAATCCACCTTACAAGGGACGTGAAGGACCTCTTCAAGGAAAACTATAAACCACTGCTCAATGAAATAAAAGAGGATACAAAGAAATGGAAGAACATTCCATGCTCATGGGTAGGAAGAATCAATATCGTGAAAATGGCCATACTGCCCAAGGTAATTTATAGATTCAATGCCATCCCCATCAAGCTGCCAATGACTTTCTTCACAGAATTGGAAAAAACTACTTTAAAGTTCATATGGAACCAAAAAAGAGCCCGCATCGCCAAGTCAATCCTAAGCCAAAAGAACAAAGCTGGAGGCATCATGCTACCTGACTTCAAACTATACTACAAGGCTACAGTAACCAAAACAGCATGGTACTGGTACCAAAACAGAGATATAGATCAATGGAACAGAACAGAGCCCTCAGAAACAACGCCATATATCTACAACTATCTGATCTTTGACAAACCTGAGAAAAACAAGCAATGGGGAAAGGATTCCCTATTCAATAAATGGTGCTGGGAAAACTGGCTAGCCATATGTAGAAAGCTGAAACTGGATCCCTTCCTTACACCTTATACAAAAATCAATTCAAGATGGATTAAAGACTTAAACGTTAGACCTAAAACCATAAAAACCCTAGAAGAAAACCTAGGCTTTACCATTCAGGACATAGGCATGGGCAAGGACTTCATGTGTAAAACACCAAAAGCAATGGCAACAAAAGCCAAAATTGACAAATGGGATCTAATGAAACTAAAGAGCTTCTGCACAGCAAAAGAAACTACCATCAGAGTGAACAGGCAACCCACAAAATGGGAGAAAATTTTCACAACCTACTCATCTGACAAAGGGCTAATATCCAGAATCTACAATGAACTCAAACAAATTTACAAGAAAAAAACAAACAACCCCATCAAAAAGTGGGCAAAGGACATGAACAGACACTTCTCAAAAGAAGACATTTATGCAGCCAAAAAACACATGAAAAAATGCTCATCATCACTGGCCATCAGAGAAATGCAAATCAAAACCACAATGAGATATCATCTCACACCAGTTAGAATGGCAATCATGAAAAAGTCAGGAAACAACAGGTGCTGGAGAGTATGTGGAGAAATAGGAACATTTTACACTGTTGGTGGGACTGTAAACTAGTTCAACCATTGTGGAAGTCAGTGTGGCAATTCCTCAGGGATCTAGAACTAGAAATACCATTTGACCCAGCCATCCCATTACTGGGTATATACTCAAAGGACTATAAATCATGCTGCTATAAAGACACATGCACACGTATGTTTCTTGCAGCACTATTCACAAAAGCAAAGACTTGGAACCAACCCAAATGTCCAACAATGATAGACTGGATTAAGAAAATGTGGCACATATACACCATGGAATACTATGCAGCCATAAAAAATGATGAGTTCAGGTCCTTTGTAGGGACATGGATGAAATTGGAAATCATCATTCTCAGTAAACTGTCGCAAGAACAAAAAACCAAACACCGCATATTCTCGCTCATAGGTGGGAATTGAACAATGAGAACACATGGACACAGGAAGGGGAACATCACACTCTGGGGACTGTTGTGGGGTGGGGGGAGGGGGGAAGGATAGCATTGGGAGATATACCTAATGCTAGATGACGAGTTAGTGGGTGCAGCACACCAGCATGTCACATGTATACATATGTAACTAACCTGCACATTGTGCACATGTACCCTAAAACTTAAAAGTATAATAATAAAATAAAATAAAAAAAATTAACATTGAAGCTGAGAGCCAAATCAATAACACAATCCCATTTACAATAGCTACAAAAAGAATAAAATATCCAGGAATATAGCTAACTAGGGAAGTAATAGAGCTCTACAAGGAGAACAACAAAACGTTGATGAAAGAAATCAAAGATGATGCAAACAAATGGACAAACATCCCATGCTCATGGATTGGAAAAGTCAGTATCATTAAAATGGCCATACTGCTCAAAGTGATTTACATATTCAACACTATTCCTATCAAACTACCAATGCCATTTTCTTCACAGAATTAGATAAATAATTCTAAAATTCATATGGAATCAAAAAAGGGCCTGAATAGCCAAAGCAATCCTAAGCAAAAATCACATTACCCAACTTTAAACTATACTACAAGGCTACAGTAACCAAAATGCATGGTACTGGTATGAAAACAGACTCATAGACCCATAGAACAGAATACAGAACCAGAAATAAAGCTCCTCACCTACAACCATTTAATCTTCGACAAAGCCAACAATAAAAAGCAATGGAAAAAGGACTCTCTATTCAATAAATAATGCTGGGATAACTGGTCTGCCAGCCACATGCAGCAGATTGAAACTAGACCCCTATTTATCACCATATATAAAAATCAACTCAAGATGGATTAAAGACTTAAATGTAAGACCTCAAACTATAAAAATCCCAGAGGAAAACCTAGGAAATGCCCTTCTCAATATCAGTTGTGGCAAAGAATTGAATGGCTTAGTCCTCAAAAGCAATTGCAACAACAAAATAAAATTGACAAGTGAAACCTAATTAAAGACCTTCTGCACAGCAAGAGAAACTATCAAGGGAGTAAACAGACAACCTATGGAATGGGAAATCAACAAGCAAAAAACAAATAACCCCATTGAAAAATGGGCAAAGATTAAGAACACTTTGTAAAAGAAGACACCAAACGTGAAAAAATGCCCAACATCACTTGTAATCAAAGAAGTGCAAATCAAAACCACAATGAGATACTATCTCAGAACAATCAGAATGGCTTTTGTTAAAACGTCAGAAAATAAGAGATGTTGGCAAGGCTGCAGAGAAAAGGGAATATTGTTGGTGAAAATGTTAGTTCAGCCACTGTGAAGGGCAGTTTAGAGATTTCTCAAAGGACTAAAAACAGCAGAACTACCATTATACCCAGCAATCCCATTACTGGATATATACCCAAAGGAAACTAAATCATTCTACCAAAAAGACATACGATGCACCCACATGTTTATCACAGCACTATTCATGATAGCAATGACAGGGAGTCAACTTACATATCCATCAACACCTAGATTGGATAAAGAAAATGTGGTACATATATACCATATAATACTATGCAACCATAAAAAATAATGAAGTCATGTCCCTTGAACAACATGGATGCAGCTGGAGGCCATTATCCTAAGTGACCTAAGGCAGAAACAGAAAACCAAATACCACATGTTCTTACATATAAGTAAGAGGACGCATGGACATAAAGATGGGGTCAATAGACCCTGGGGACTACTCGAGGAAAGAGGGAGCAGGCCAAGATCTGAAAAGCTGTCTATTGGGTACTGTGCTCACTACCTGGGTGACAGATTGATTCATACTCCAACCCAGCATCACACAATATACCTTTGTTACCAACCTGCATATGTATCCCGATTCTACAATAAAATTTGAAAAAAAAAAAAAAAAAGATTTAAATACAACATTTAAAAGACAGATTTTAAAAACCTTGATGCAACTGCATATTGTTTATAAGAAATTCACATCAAATTCAACAGCATAGAATCTTCACAGTGTAAGTAGGTTGAAAGTAAAAGTATGAAAAAATATATAAAATTAATTTTAAGAAAAAGCAGTAGTGTCTATATTAGTATTTCATGAAGTAGACATCAGAGAAAAAAATTACTAGTGACACAAATGGACATTAAATAATGATAAAAAGATTATTCCACTAGGAAGACATAACAATCTCAAATATGTATGTACCAAACAAAAGCATCAAAATACATGAAGCAAAAACTAATAGGCCTGAAGAAGAAAGATACAAATTTATAGCTATCATTGAGAACATCAAAACCTTACTTAAGCAACTGACAGAACCATTAGACAGAAAATTATCAGGAACATTAATCTGACCTACTCAATCCACCAATGGAACCTAATTGACATATACCGAAAACTCTACCCAATAACATTGGAATCCACATTTTCTCCCAACATGTGTAAAATATTTACCAAGATATACCATATCCTGCAACATAAAATAAATCTCAAGAATTTTAAAGTAACTGAAAACACATGAAGGAAGTATGTTCTTTGACCATAACGAGTCAAAAGAGAAATAAAGAAGAGAAAGACAAAAGGGAAATATCCAAACACATGAAAATTAAATGACATACTTCAAAATAATCTATGGGTGAAGAACATATGTCAAAGGAAAAATTTTAAAAGTACACAGAACTGAATGAAAGTGAATATTTAACATATCAAAATATGTGGGATGCAGCTAAAGCATTGTTGAGAGAGAAATTCACAGCTGTAAAGGCTTATATTAGGAAAGAAGGTCTCAAATCAATAATTTAAATTATTATGTCAAGCAACATGAAAAAGAAGAGCAAAATAAACCTAAAGTCAGCAAAAGGAAGGAAATAATGAAAATAAGAACAAAAATTAATGAAACTGAAAATAGAAAACAATAGAGGAAAAATCAAGGAAACAAAATGCTGGTTCTTCAAATCAATGCAAACAATAAACATCTAACAAGAATGACAAAGGAAAAAAAAATAAGACGCAAATTGCCAAATATCAGGAGTGAACCACAGGATCTTGCTACACCTCTCGCAGCCATTAAAAGGATAATGGTGGTGACCATATAGAATATTACACTCAGAAATTTGCCAGTTAAAAAGAAGTGGACCAGTTCTTCAAAATCCACAAACTGCCAAAATTCAAACTACATTAAACACAACCTGTATGGTCCCATAACCATTAAATAAATTGGATCCATAATTTAAAAGCTTCCTTAAAATAAGTGTTTGAACTCAGATGGTTTCACTGGAGAACTCTACCAAACATTTCAAGATTTATTAACAACAACAATTTTATACAATTTCTTCCATTATTTGTGTTTGGTGCTTCCTTTAAAGTAAAAATTCTGCCTCCTCCACCAGAGCATAAGCTTCATGAGACCAATAACTATATCTATATTTTCAGTTGCCAGTGTAGAAGATGAGAATATGCCACCCCAAAATGTGCTGTTTTGGCATAAAGATTACTTTGAGCTGAAGGCAATCGAGAAGAATCCAGATACAGGAAAAACTCTCTGCCCTCTCCCTTTTTGCCTGAAAACAGGATGTAAATGTTCACAAATGTCCCAGTTACCCTTTCTGTCAGGGAGAGGAAAGGGTAGCCACTGAAAACAACTTGATATCCTTCTCAGCCTGGAGACAGCAGCAGAGGCACCTGCATGACAAACCTTCCTATCCTTGATCTATCATTAGTTTCCCATTTGTTTTTCCTTCCCATAATTTGCCTTCCCTAAAAATTCAAGGTCCTTTATCTTTGTCTTGTCACTTCGCTAAAACTTTATTGTTCATTGTGAAGATGTTATATAAGTTGGAGTTCTAAGCCACCTCAGTGAGAATGACTTGCTCCCTGGCTATCTCCCATGTGTATATGAAATACACGTTAATAAACTCCTGTTTGTTTTTCTCTTGTTAATGTCTTTTGTTACCCCAGGTAAGAGTTAATTACTCAGAATGGTAGAGGGAAAGTGCCTGGCACAGAGTTAGTGATGAATAAATGTGAGGTGATGAATAACCATGCATAGGAAAATCCCTCAGAGAACATCCTAGAGTACTATGTGCAAACATATGCATTTAAAACACATAGATTAAATATATATTAAATTTGTCTGATTAATACGCTTAAAATTGTTAACAGAGCTTGCCTGAAAGGAACGGAACAAGATTATGTGGATGAGTAACAGAGGGAAAAATTCCTCTTGCATAATACAACTCTCTGCTCTTTATACTTATTTTTAATTGGAAATGTATGCTTGTGCATTACTTCTGAAACTCCAATGTTTGTTTTTTAAAATAATTCGAAGAAGAATATAATGCATGCTTCAATAGGCAAACAGCCTTCAACAGTTTTTTAAGGTCCAGTGCTATTTCAATCACCTCTTCACCCCCTTCACAATAATACTTTTGTTAATTAAATGTGCAGTGTGGTGGATGAAATCATGGAGTCTGGATCCACGCTGCCTGGCTTTCAATCAGCTCCCGACGCAGCTGTGCAACCTCAGGCAGGCTACTCCATCACTCCTTCCCTCCCTTTTCGCTGCCATCAGCTCATGGCCAGGAGCTAAACATAAGCTGCAAAGCCAAGCCTAATGCTTTGTTTTGTTTTATTTTCTCCTTTCCAGTTGTTCTGTGGCCTAGGGAGAGTAAGATAGCTTTTTTATATTGTATTCAGATACACAACAACATGATCAGATACATATTAGAAAGAAAATAAAGCATGTTTGTCACACACTAACCTCTGGCTGATTATTTCGCTGCCTGTTCATAGGGAAAAAAAAATTGAAAAAAAAAGTCATCTGTAAAATAATATTTCACAAATTAGACATTAAGGATTTAAAGAAAACAACCACCTAAGGCTCTTCTCGCTAAAACGAATTGATCAGCTTCACTAAAAGCTAAAAATGATTCGTAAAAGCAGAAGTTTTATGTTCTTGCTATTGTTTTCGCTCTATTTGGCTTGATCTCACCCTCAGACGACATCCTCAGCTATCAAAGGATGATTTTGCAGGTTTCCCGTAAACACTGGTTTCCCATTAGCGGCCTGCACCAGCAGCAGCTCATCTCGGCCAAATGGACATCCTGTTCATTAGGTCATTGAGCCTCCACACAGCCTGGCCCCGAGCAGAAGCCCTTTCAATTCCCAGCAGTTGCAAATTCAGCGAGCGCACAGCACATCCAATGGAGCACTTGACTCCAGCACAAATCTCTTTGCTTGGCGGCCCTGTGGGGAGTGCTTTTCTGTGCACCAGCCTCTCAGCTAAGCACCCCCTCCCGTCATCTCATTCAACTCTCAGGACCACACTGGGCACAGAGAATCATTACCTCCATTTTATAGACCAGGAGCGGAAGCCCAGGGGTGTCCAATTCTAAAGTCACTGCTTTCACATGGCGGGTTCACATTCAAACACAGTCAGCTTGATTTCCTGCTACATGCTTTTAAACATCATTTACAAAAATCATACAGCCCAGCCAAACCTGTACAATCCATGGATGTAGCTGCCAAAGTCTTTAGTATTTGAGAGTAATTTCTTAGGTCCATGGCATTTTATCACCTGTAATTTTGAATAAATACCGTACACATTCGAATAACAACCTAACACGACGAGTGAGTAAGAGTGAATTACATAGGTCCCAGCCACCCCTGCTTCCCAGGCACCTGCCTGCATTTCAGCATAGAACATGTGGCCTAAAGGTCAGCTGCAGAAACTGTAGACGGTGACTTCCACCAGGGACTATCCCCAGAGCTGATGTGAAATTGATGTCTTGGAATCTGCATTTGTACTGGCTCCAGCACATCACTCTAACATCTGTGTCTACAATCAACTTTGTGGCTTTCTACTTACTACTAACACTCAATGGGGTTGCATTTTGTTTTCAGTTACATTCATATTATATTATTATAATATTATTATATTATATATTATATAGCATATCATAGTAGAAATTATATTATAGTAGAAATGCTATGTTACAGTGGTGTTTGGTAGTTTGAAGAATTCACAATGATTTCTCGTGTACAGAACTGGATGAGAAAGATTGCTAAGTATCTGGTAGAGTTTGACAGGAATAAAAAAAGCCCAGAAACATCTTAGCTATGACCTTATAATCTGAAAATGACCAGAACTCCTCACTTCTGAGCGTTGGGATCTTTTGTCCACTGCTGTTTTCCTACCATCACTCACAGGAATGCTTACATGCAGCAGCCACTTAAAGTGTGTATATTAAGTGGAGGAATAAGTATTTGCCATAGATATATAACAGAAAGAGAAACAACTGCTTCCACAAAGACGTGGGCAGGATGTACGAGTAGAGTCAGATGGCTTTGCATATAGCATAGAACAAATAGAGGGAGAAATTCATTCAGACAGAAATCTTCAAACCTGTTTTCCAGGCCCTAACATCAGCCTGATGCCCTAAGTATGGTGGCTCTGTGCAGCCACAAGTCTGTATTACAGCCTTCCCCATCTGCAGCATCCGCAGCCATTTGTATTAGGATAGAAATCTCATACAAATCTTCCCCCAAAACAAGAGTCTTGGTTGAGCCTCTACCAAATAAAGGTGTGCATGGGTAAGAGAACTAACTCTTGTTTTTCTCTCCCTGGTGGCAAATCTCTAGAATGAAGGACTTTGGGGTTTGATGAGAGACAGCCTGGGGAGTATTGATTCTAGATCCTCTGCAGACAATTACCCTACTGCCTGTGCTCGTGGGCAGCTAGCATTGGTCCTTCCCCGTGTAAAGTCTGCTTGCCACAAACTGCTCCTCCCCACAGGTGCCTGCATTCAATGCCTCCAGCCCTGCATGCTGGGAGCCACAGAGGTTTCATGGACACATATTTATTTATTCAAGGTCAGCCCTTCAACCCTTTAGGCCTTTACTGCCCTGTGCCATCTCATGAAGTTGTGAACTACGGCCCTCCTAAGAAGTCAGCACAATTCAGCAGCTGAACGTAACACCCAAAGCGAGAGGGGTTTTCAACCCTAAAATACTAAACTGGAACGATAATCCTGTGTTAGATTGGTTAGTCCAAGCCTCCAGCCTTAAGTAGACATAAGATAGACCTTTTCAGTGGCTACATGGGGTATATATGCTGATAGTGACAAAATGTGAGTGGATAAGAGCATTAGTCAGTGGATTTAGGGCCAGGAGGTATCAAGTAGAAATTAGTAAAATAATTAAAGAAAATAGGTTTCTGTTTTTCAATTATTGCTAGAACTGACCTGGGGTGCGCGCGCGTGCACACACAAACACACACAGACAGACACACACATGGCACAATGTGTAAGTTCACCTTAGAAACAGAATCTGAGTTGGGGTAAAGTTGAGTGAATCAGGATGACATGGTTAGAGCGATGAGTTGAACCTGAGGGTATACGTGGAGCAGGGTTTGTTGAGGGAAGCGCAGCAGTCGGTGCTTCGTGATGAATCTAGTGCAAGCATAGGGTAGGCAGAGAGTCCCGAGTGTGACAATGGATGCACAACGTGACCTCAGGATGCAAATGCACTGCCTCAAAGCACATGGCAGTCATAACCTGAAGAATTCTACAGTTGCTCTTCTTGTTCAATCTCATTTTTTTTTCCTTTCACTCAAGCCATTTGCCCGTTTACTCTAGTTGCTATTGTGACCAGAATGTACATCTACTCCCTCTTCTACATCAGTGGTTTACAAACTTTATTTAGACCGTGCTAAGGTCCTTCAGAAAAAGTGTGTGTTCATTATGGGCAGGCTCAATTTATGTATCTCACCCCCCGGGCCTGGACAACTTCTTTGTGAGCTCTGTGATTGGTAAAACAAGTGCAACGAGCCCCACAGTCTCCTGGGGAAGGCCAAGACTCACAGAGATGTTCGATCAGGCAGTGGCTCTGCAGAAGGCCATTTAGCCACTTCCATGTAACCATGAGTGTGCAAAATGTACCGCCAGAGAGAAGTGCTGCAGCTCTTCAGAGCCACGCCCAGCCTCATCTAGGAGGCGATGAACTGTGAATCAAGAGAACAATCTGGTAACAGGGCACAAACATTCAGCTTATTTTATGCACACAAGGCCTAAGAGGACCCCACTGTCTCTCTTCTACGCAGCTCTCCTCCCTTTAATCATTATAGTTTTCTTTTCCAAAGACCCGGTGCATCTTTGGCTTCCATCTTTCCCACAGCATTCAAAATTCACACCATGAAAAGACACAGAACAGATGGCAACAAATAGAGAATCAAACAAAACTTCTGAAGATACAAGATGAATGGACCCCCGGCAGGACAACAGGACTCGAGGGTTCTGTGCATCTTTGTAGTCTGGAAATGAGTGAATTCTGAACAATTTGAAACTGGAAACTGCTCACTTGGGTAGTTCTTGCTTAAAGTTTTCATACTCTACCAATGGGGAAAATGATAAATTTCTCAGAGCCAGACCAAGCATAAAGCCAGCGAAATTGTATCACAAAAATCAGGGGAAGATTTTATGCAAACAAGGTAAATAAGCAATTACAAAACTGAGGGCATCATTATCAACAAAAATGGAAAAAGCACAACGTACCTTATTTTGAATGTGGCTAATGTGCTATTCTCACGGACACATATGATAAAGTGCATTGGCCACATGTGGGAAATTGTTACAGCTGCTCCTGAGGGGAAGGTGGATTGCCACGCGGGGCATGTTTGAAATGGCAAATCACGGCAATGCATTGATGATAGGAGTAAGCAATATTTCTGATACAGGCATTGATTAGAATTTCTGAAGAGGATTTTCATAATTTCTGACTTGTAAGCTTCCATGAGTTTTCTTTGTTTATTTGTTTTATTGGGGATAGAAAACTATAACCCAAAATGAAGGCCCCAAAAAGAAAAGTTTTCCTCTGACCTTCTCCTGCTCTCCTCTCAGTCCCATTCTCCTCTGAGGCTGCCATAGAAACAAGAATCCCTCTTCCCCAAGGCAGGTCATAGAAACCAGAACCTGTTTTCCTACAAAGCCAGCCATAAACCCTAAAAAGTATTACGTACCACTCCCTCTGCCCTATCTGTGTAAAACCTGGCCCATAAAGACATTATCTGCCCTACTTTGTTTGACTGTAGGTCATCAGACCCCCATTCTAGAGAGGGGCCTGCCTCATACCCAGAAAAGAGGAATATGTTTTCAGAGAACCCAAGAAGAATCTAGACCGATATGCCTTGCTGTATTTTCCCACTCAGTCTATGACCATTAGATCACACCCTTTTTGTTTAATCATATTTCTACACAACTGTCCATATTTTGTTGAAACTAATTATAAAAACAGACAATCTCCCCCGTGTCTCTGGGTCTTCAGTCTGAAGGTTATTGTATATACATGTTAAATAAATGTGTATGTCTTTTCTCCTATTAACCTTCCTTTTGTGAACCGACTTTTCAGCAAACCTTCGGAGAGCCAAAGAGAAAGCTCTTCCTTGGCCCCGTACAGTTCATTTACCAAGAGCAAGTATTAAATGAGTGAATAATACTTATCACGTTTGGAGAACCTGTGATATGCCAAGCATGGCTTTCCAGGATTTGTTTAAGCTAATCTTTTCAGCATCCTTGCAGAGTTTTTGTCAAGAGATTGAAATGCACATCACAGTTGTTAAGGAGCATCCCACAACTAGTGAACTGCAAAAACTAGTCAGACAACCAGGTAGGTGTGACTCACACAACCAAACCATCAACTCTTTCCACACAATACTCCATTAGCCCAAGAGTTAATAACTTGGATACAGTTGACAAAAATTCTCTTCTTGACCAAACTTTAGTCAGGCTCCTGAACCTTTTCCCCAACAAGGCCCACCTGTGCACATCCCTGTGCAATCCAGTATTGACAAGAATCCTCCATCTGGGTATCTGACCCCCCTCAATACCTGATTGAGCTTCCCACCCACCATCCCCCAGGAGATGTCTTATCACCCTGGTCTGCTTCCGGCAAGAGTCCTGTTAGGTGAGTTTAGGCAGGATCTCCCTTCCCCTTGATGTTTCTTCTTAGTAATTTTTCCATCCTCTGACCACCACTGTGCTCATTGGCTACAAATTCCTACTTGCCCATGCTGTGTCCAGAGTTGAGCCCAGTTCTATTCTGAGGCTTCTTTTCCCTTACTGCAATAGTCCAAAACAAAATCTGTTTTTATTGCTTTCACCACTGCCCAGCTCTGGTTTTCTTTGACTCAGTCTCTGAGGCTATTTTGCTACCTTATTTAAAATCAAACAGTTGAAATTGTCTTTGTAAAAATTATAACAGCAAGAGAAATCAAACTCAGTTAACTCCATCTTGCTTCTAACCTCACAAGATAACTGCCCTTGTTCATTCCTGAGCATAGGCCAAACTAACTATGAGAGGAATTTAGTTTATAACTTAACTTTGAAGCAAGAATGATAACAGTCCCTTCCCAAAACTGACCCCCTCTGGGGGCTAAAACCACCTTTGTAAGACTAACAAAAGGCCAAAGTTAGGATCATGGGGCTTGAATACTGCTAAAATATAGGCATAGTAAAATGATAAGCTGCTTGCTATTCTATAATTGCTTACCACTCAAGAGTCATGTAGCTGGAGGTCACAAGATTTTTAGCTGCCCCAGTTGCTCCTTTAGATAACAACACTATCGTAAAACCTAAGACTGGTTTTGAGATATTTCTCAGACTTTTGCATTGTGGCAACCAACTGACTTCCCCTGGACCTGTAACTCATACCAAGGATCTGACTCAACCAGTCCTATAAGCTGCTGCCCAAGAAATTGACTCAGCACACAAAGACAGTGTTGCCACTCCTGTGACTTCATCCCCACCAAATCAGCAGTACCTATTCTCTAGCCCCCTGCACATCAAGTTATCCTTAAAAACCCTAGCCTCTGAGTTCTCGGGGAGAATGATTATAAAAATATCTCTTGTCCTCCCACTAAATAGCCTTGCAATAATTAAACTCTTTCTCTCTATTGCAACACTGCTGTCTCAGTGTATTGGCTTTTCTATGCAGTGGGCAAGAAACTGTCGGGTGGTTAGACAGTGAGTTCAGCATCTCATCTCTAGCATTTTCCAAGCTCTCTTTCCAGCACATAATAGTAAACGCAGGTAGCTGGGCTGCCCATCCCCAGCTCCCTCAGCTCCCCACCCTATGGCATGCCCTAAGTCTTTTTTGACTCTAGATACTTCCTTCAAAAGCCCCCATGCCAGCCTCTATCAATGCTACTGTCCTGTGATGCCTGGCTAGGGCAAGGGTAACAAAGCCCAGGACCTTCATGCAAGTTCTAGAACTTGGACCTTCTGGTCACCTCTTCTGGGCAGCCTTCCTGACTTTCTAAGGCAGAGTCAATCACTAGAGATGTTTAAAGTGACAACTGTTATTCTTAGCACAGGATCACTCATGCCTTTACTTGCAGTTCCTTATACTCCATAACTGCTGGTACTCCTCATGTTTTATTATCATGATTCATTAACACTTGTGTCTCCTTGAAAGTAGAGTCCTAAGCTTAAGATCCTTTGGCATAACCTAGAACAACACTAAGCTATTCAGTAAACACTGGTTCAGAAAATGAGTGGTTAGAAAAGAAATACTATTACTTTTATTGAACTCAGCGTTTTGGTGCTAATAAGCACAATAGCCCCTACAGCACTCAACTTGCACTAGTGCTTTGTGGGAGCATGGATTTAGAAAGAGGTGGAACTCTTAAAATAAAGGCATAAAAAGGGATGAGTGGTTTAAGTTAGCATGGGAAATGCTGAAGGCTAGCTCTTTGAGAAATTCACATTACACATTAGCATAGTAAAAGCTGTGTGGTCTCTTAAAGTTAAAAAAAGGAACTGGTTTAATTTTCATTAGCATTCAAATGTGAGCTATAGAATGCATTTTTGGCTTGTTTTCTTTTTTCTTTCTTTTTTTTTTTTTTCCCAGCATACTGTTTACATAGGCCAGAATCCCAGCTTGATGCCCTATGCCTTTTTAAAGCAAAGTAGCTGATCTGACTCTCTAAGCCTTTTCTGGTGCATAATTTGCCCCAGGCCTGCTGCCCAGGCCTCTCTGAGGAGGCTCAGCAGGCTGATCAGAGGAAGGAACAATGTCTCTTTTCCTTCACTGTAACCAGCACTTACAGGTGAACTAGAATGTTTAAAGCAACAACTAAATTATTCTTAGCACAAAAGTCAGAATGCATGGTACAGGGAAAAGAATGCAGGCATCTGCTCTCCAGGGCAATCTCAAGGGATGTCTGGAGTACTGTGGGCCCATTTGCCATGCTTCCTACCATTTACCATTTGCTTTGTTTTATCGTCTCCACTGGGAATGCCAGTAATGTCCCCGTGAGAGCCTCATGTCTAGCTCTTGTCTAATCAGACTGCTTTTAGTTAAAGACATTATTAGTGGGCAATGGAATCAGGGTGGCTGCAGTGTTTCTGAATTTTTCCAAATTCTTACTGCAAGTCAAACAGATTAACAGGATAACCTGGAAAACCTATGGATGATATATTTAGAAACAAGCAAACAAAGAAGTATCAGGAAACCCCCTGCTCCCGCAAATACTGGCAGTGTGGCCATAGCACTTACTTCAGTGAGCCCTGCAAGGGGTTAGCACCAAGGTGTCAGGGCTGTGGATGATGCAAGGGACACCTGAGCCCCACAGGCTGTCCACAAACACATACCCCCTAAACCAGGGGCAATAAGACAGCATGTGGTGACAAGGCTGGGGGAGTCCTGCAGGCTCCACATTGCAGGTGGAGGTAGGACCTTCCTCGAGCAGGGCAGAAGCCCTGGGGTAAGGGAGACAGCCAGTGCCCTGGGTGGGAGGGGTGCACAGGAAGCACATGCCAGGGAGACCTCACAACAGCAAAACCCACCATCCCCAGAAGAAGGTCCCCTGGAAGGCCGAGAGACACAGGATTAGGGGCCAATCTTGGTCCTGATTGGTTTTAAACAATATGTATTTCCTAGCTCAGAGCAATGGAAGGTTCTAGAAACTGTGACGACCTAACAGCAATGCCCACGTGTCCATGTGCCGATGCCCAAGGTGTCAGATGGTATTTTCTAAATGCCATTCCCCTCTGAGAGGGGCAGAGTCCCTTTTAGAGGATCAACCTATTCTAGGGCTTGGTAAAGAAATGTACAGAAATGCTGGGACAGCATGTGATGCCCAAGGACCACTAAGGAGAGGTCAAAAGTCATGAAAGCCAACTTGCAGGGGCTTCCGTTAGCCAAAGATAGGACAATCTGAGAATCATATAGAGTAATGATGGTATCTGATTAAAATGCATTGAAAACATAAGGACCTACAAGTTTATAATGAGAGTCAACAAGATGTGAGAGTGAGAGAGAGAGAGAGAGAGAGAGAGAGAGAGAGACGAGAGAGAGAGGCAGTCACTGGTCCACACTGGAGATAACTAGGGCACTACCCACTCAGCAAATATAAAGGGAGAGATTTCAGCATTTATCCTCCCTTTCCTGTACAATAGGCTTTCTGGGAGAACCAAATAGTTCTAACTGATGAGGGAAAGCTGCTTTGTACCAAAGGATTCTGGCTATTAAAAGAGGAAAAAATGGCCTGTGATGAGTTACAACATATGAAATGCAGAAAATGTGGGGAATAGAACAAGTTAAATGATACCATGAGAAAGCAAGCAGACAAATCTTTTGAACAAATCAATGCTTGAGAATCAAGGACATGTCTCAAAAGACATGTGGGTATCACCAAATGCACTGGACAGTCTGATACTAATTTAAACAAAGCAACCACACAATGGTGTTTGGAGATGGGCTGGGTAAGACATGATGCCAGAGAAATGCTGCTAATTGTGTTGGTAGTAAAATAACATTGCCATTCGTTTTTTTTTAAGTCCGTATTTTTTAGCAATGAATTCTCAAGTATGTAGGAGCAAAATGATAAGAGGCCTGGGTTTGCATTAAAATATTTCACCATCAAAAATATCAAAAGGTGCAAAAACATCTTGATAGCTATCAAATCAGATGATAGGTAAACAGAGTTTTATTATACTGTTTTCTTTGATGTTGTAGGTATTTAAACATTTTATCTTCTTTTTTTATTTTCAGAGACAGTCTCACTCTGCTGCCCAGGATGGAGTACAGTATCATGATCACAGATCACTGTAACTTCTAATTCTTGGGCTCAACTGATGCTCCTGCCTCAGCCTCCTGAGTCGATGGTACTACAGGTGCAAGCCACCATGCCACACTAATGTTTAATTTTTTTTTTTTTTTTTTTTGGCAGCGATAGTATCTTGCTCTGTTGCCCAGGCTTCTCCTGAACTCTTTTCCAGTGATCCTCCTGCTTTGGCCTCTCAAAGCACTGGGATTACAGACATGAGGCACCATGCCTGGTCTAAATGTTTCATAACAAAATTTTCTTACAAGTGTTACGGTAAGGGAAAAGTACTCCAAATATACATATTTATAATTAGGTTCAGGTGAAAAGAAAACTCTTAAAATATTTTGGAGCGAGGAATGCTGTTCAGAATCTCTCTCTCTTTCTCAATAAAACTAAATCAACCCATATCCAGATGGCTTAGAATCATTAACCAAGGAGGAGGTATAATGGGTATGTAAGTTTGAGTTACTTTCTCAGTGCTGCAGCCCTGTTAGGATGCAATAGTTCTTTGCTGTACTGCTAACGGGACTCTAATTGCATACATTTCTCTGCAACTATAAAGTAGATCACATCCAGAACATTTTGAAATAAATTAGGTAGGTAAAATACAACAGGAAGGAAGACCTGACAGATCAACTTTAGAGCTAGAAAATGATTCTAGACTTTTAGAATGGAGTGTTAAGATGCACTGTCACAGGAGATGAATCTAACCATTTGATGTGATGTAGACCTCCTAATCCCAGAGTGAAGTTTGCAGGAAGGAGGAATGTTTGTTTAAGTGCATTCACAGATGAATGAGTGGAATTCAGGCCACCCAAATGACGCAGGGTACAAATTGCTGCTGGCGGCCTCATTTGTGTGGTTCACTCAGGGTAGCTGTTCTCAGACCCACTAATTAATCCTGGATCACAGTTGGCCCGAGAGGAATGAGCTCCCTCCTTCCAGGTGAACAGACCTGGACGATGACGCTGTCTATGGAGTGGGGGCCCTTCTCAAAAGTTGAGAATACCAAGAATAACCCTGGATACCTGGAAGGGCAGGAAGGCATCTGCCCTGGGTAACCGGGTCTGCAGTCATATTTAACTTGACTAAAAGGGATTCAGTGGCCACTTCTGGCTCACTGTGGACTAAGGTTTCAAGTGCATGTTGGCCGTTATGTATTAACTACCTGGACACTGCAGGAGGCGATGACCAGGTCTTTTCCTGCAGCTAGAAGAGAGAGGAGACCAGGTAATGATGTTCTGAGTGCCGAACAGCCAGTGGAAGTGGGCAGCAGAGTGTCGCAGAGGAGTTTAATTTGCAAAAGTGCAGTATGCAAATTTGAGGATAAACAATCCCATTCACAAACGTCAAGTGAAGGGCTCAGAGCCAAGGGAGAAAGAAAGGGTGGTGGCGGGAGTTGGGGGTGGGGTCAGCGTAGAGCCCAGTCCTGACAATCCCCAGAGGAACTCTAGAGCCAAGAAAGCCACTAAGTGACAAGCACACTAAGAACTAAGGAGCCTTCCAAGATTTCAAAAGGGCTACTCCAAGGACCTGTGCAAAGCTTCACTTATCATAACACTTCCTTCCATGCACCTGTCCACACTGTCCTAGCCCCGTCATATCACATTTTTGCTCCACGTATACACTCTTCTCCTTTGAGCACTGCTGTGGGTTGAATGTCCTGTCAAAACTCATGTTGAAATTTAACTCCCATTGTAATGGTATTAAGAGGCATGGCTTTTAAGAGGTTATCAGGCAAATGGATTCATGCCATGATCATGGAACAGGTCAGTTATCACAAGAGCGAGCTCCTGATTAAAGTAAGTTTGGCCCCGTTTTTCTGTCTTTCGTGCTTATTCGGCATGTGACACCTTCCACCTCGGGAGGACTCTCACCAGATGCCAGCACCATGCTCTTGGACTTTCCAGCCTCCAAAAACCAAAAGCCAAATAGACAGCTTTTCTTTATAAATTACCCAGTCTGCATATTCTATTACAGTCGTAGAAAATTAGGTAAGACAGACACCTTGGAAGCTAAAATCTCCTTTATTCATAGTTCCTCACTGCACATAGAAAGGCAGTGCCTGGCTCAAGCAGGCACCACACATATGTATCTTGGTTGGCCTAAGAATTAGGTAACATCTCTAAGAATATATACACATACTAGACAGAAACAGACAAAAGCTATGGTGTCAGGTAGCAAGAAAAGGAATATATTTTTCTTTCTATTATGTTCCTAATTGTTGGTATAGCATCTCTCTCTCTCTATATATATATATACATATACATATATATACATGTGTATACATCTGTATATGTATATATATATATATATGTTAGACATGCACACACACACAATTTGGGGAGAAAAGTGATAGCATGGCATATGTCTTGGGAACTTCCAAGTGACTCAATGTAGTGACTCAATGAGGGCATCTATGTACGACAACGTTCCTTTATTTCTAGCTTTTACATTGGTAGGCCAGGGGAAATAAAAACATAATTTTCATTTACTACTAAGAGACAAGGTGAAATAAAGTGAAAGGATTCCATGATTAAAAATTTGATGCAGATATTCAAAGCTATAATTCATTTCTTAACTAGGGGCCTGGATTCTACAAGCCTGATGTTTTATTAGTCCTACTAGGTGTACAGACTATATTTTAGCAGAAACATTTGATGCCCAGGCTTTCACCCCACCCCCAGCCCCTGCTGAGCAGTGAACCTGAGCATCATGGCTGTGAGACACTGGTCCTCTCCTCTGGTCCCCAGCATCCTCAGCCAGCACCAGACAGTGCCCCGCTCCCTGCTTTTCTGTCACCTGATGAATCGTCTGAGTCAGCTAAGAGCGAGTGCTAAAAGCCCAATCTGGAAGGGACAGACTTGAAAGTAGTAATTATATATTTTCAATTTGAAAATTGCTTGAGATGAGAGATTCAAAATCTATTTGGGGACGCATAAATAATACACTGGTAATTGGCACATTTTTACATCAGCCTTTCCATTTTAAACACTCAGGACAACTAAGGAAAAGTGCTACGAAAATAAAAATGAGATCATATATTTCTTGCCCACATCTTATTTGTTACATTCTTTACATGATTCACATGGTCCATGGAACACACCTCCACTGTCATGTTCTCAAAATAATTGAGAGCACTGATACCTCCACTGGGAAACTGATGGAATGAACTTATTAACTGAGGCATTTGGTCTGTTCACACTTGATATAATTACTTATATGTTTCTGTCTGTCTTTCATCCTGCTTTTTCTTCTCTTTGTTCCATCTGTTTTTGTTCTGTCTTCTTCTCTTGTTTTCTTTTGGATCAGCTGAGCATTTTAGAGTTTCTACTTTATCTCCCTTATTGACTCTTAAGCTTTACCTCACAGTGTTGTTTTTAATGGTGGCTCTAGGGTTCATAATATATATACATATGTATGCACACACATGTATATATACATATATGTATATATTTATCAGTATCTATTACAAAAGAACATCTTGTGTGCACATTACATGGTCTATGTGATTTACAACAGTATATTTTCACTTTCCCTCTCTTGTCCTCTGGGCTATTGCTGTCACATATGTCATTTCTACCCATGTTATAAACTCAACTATTTTTGCTTTAGATGGCCAAACATCTTTTAAAGAAATGAAGGAATGGAAAAAATTTACCCACATGTCTGCATTTGTCTGAGCTCTCCACTCCTTCAGTAGGCTCCCGTTTCCATCCAAGGTATAATTTTCCTTCAATCTGAAGAAGTTTGACTGTTTCTTGTAATGCAATTCTGCTAGTGATGAATTCTCTCACTTGTTAATCATAAAATAGCTTTATCTGACCTTTATTTTTAAAAGGTATTTTCCCGGATACAGGATTTTTGTTGGTAAGATTTCTTTCCTCTCTCTCTCCCTCTTCCATCAGTACTTAGGATGTTTTTCCATTGTTTTTGGTCTGCAGTATCTGTGATAGCAGAAGCATCTTTTCACTAACATTCCCTTTCCTCTGTGTAATGTCTTTCTTCCCCTCTGGCTGCTTTTGGATTTTTTTCTTTGTCTTTCAGTAATTTGAGTATGATTTTCCCAGTTTTCAAGAACTGTGAGAAATAAATGTCCTTTGTCCAAGCCTCCCTGCCCGTGGTATTCTGTTATGGCAGCCTGAGCCTGCCGAGATGGAGTGGCCGGGAGGGCTGCTATCTAAAGAGGCTGGGCTATGCTGTTGCTGGTCATCGACTGCAGCTCCTCTTGTGTGTGACCTCCATGGGAAATGTCGGCAGCACAGTTTTGATCACATCCCCATCACCACGGCCTCCCCTCAGATGGTTCCCATAGCTTTCGGCACTCACCAGGCCCAAATGATCTATCCCTAACCTACCTTTCCAGACCCACCTACCAACATGCTTCTCGTCCCTCCCCTCCTTTCACTCACTGGCCTTCAATCAGTTCCTCCAATGGGCGGTGCTTCCCCAGCCTCACACCTTTGCAAGGTATTCCTCCTCCCTCCCCAGGAAGTGCTCTTCCACTCCCAAGTACAATTCACTTGCTCAACTCATGATATTCCTCCAGGTTCCAACACACCCAGCACTTATCCAGGGAAGGCTACTCTGCCTTTACTAATCAGATAAATTCTCCCATTGTACATTTCATGACATCTGTCTGTAGCACTGACCAATATCTACAAGTATGTTTTCTGTGAATATGAGACTAGTGGCTCTTCCCTGCACTTGTCTTGCTCCACAAAGACAAGTGCCCATGTCTATTTTGCTCACCATTGCACTCCCAGTCCTTGGCACAGTACTTGGCCCACATGCCTATTGTGTGCTCAGCTATCTATTCTAATAGACTCATTAACAAAGAGCAAGAAGGACCTGACTGCCAAACACATTAGGTCATGGCTGCACGGCTCTCTCCTCAGGCCTGGGCTTAATTCCTCTGCAAGAACTTGGCTAGAATGGTTTTCTCAGTCCTTTCATTCTGCTATGACAGAATAATATGGACTGGGCAACTTACAAACAAGAGAAATTTATTTCTCATCGCTCTGAAGGCTGAAAAGTCCAAGATCAAGATACCAGCAGATTTGGTGTCTGGTGAGGGCCCACTTCCTGGTTCACAGACCACATCTTCTTGCTGTGTCCCCACACAGTGGAAGGGATAAGATGTCTTTCTGAAGTTTCTTTTTGAGGGAAATAATCCCATTCACGAAGGCTCCCCACTGGGACCTAACACCTCCCAAAGGTCTCACCTCCTACCACATCACCTTAGGCGATACTGTGTTGATGGGCTGACTCTGGATTGATAGTTCATTATGTTGACAGGCTTTATGGTGTGAACTGTTTTTGGGTGGGGGGGTGTCACAAACATTCAGATGATACAAGAGTCCTAAGAAAAAACAGAAGGAGAAACTTCTTACCTAAACAACTGAACGTTGTGCCCTTCACAGGGGAACTTGCTTAATCACGGTGTGTGTTCAGACATGTGTGGGGCGACTGCCTGCTGGGGAGTGGTGGAGGGAACTTAGGTATTGAATGAGAGTTTCAACATGATAAAAATGAGAGCTTCAATCTGATTGAATGAGAGCTTCAACCTTCAAATGCTCACACTGCATGAGCACATTCTCAACTCCAGCTGCTCCCCCATGACATCAAGTGGTTTTGGACGTCAAGCCATGTATTGGGAGATGTCTGTTTTCCCTTTTTTTTTTTTTAACTGAGCTTCTTTAGAAAGGTCTCAGAGATCACTCACAACAGCTTTATGACCAAGTGCTGTTTTTCCCATAAAGAAAAGGGGGGTCCCCTGAGTCACCTTCCTATGGCTACACAGCTGGTGTTAGAGTGAGATTTGGGCCGGGTCCCTCCATCACTTCTGCTCGCCTAGCGGGCATCTGACTGCGAGGGAGCCTCTTCTGCAGTCCCAGGTGCCAGGGCCTCTGTTCCTGCACACTGTGCAGGGTAACAGTACCAGTGATCGCCTTGATCGCACCTCCACCCCCACTGCCATGGGGTGCAGCCACTCCTTCCCTACGGACCCTGGCAGCCGATGCAGCGCAATCAGAGAGAGTCACTTTCTTCCCAGTTGGAAGCTTTTCTCCCGGTGTGCACCTCACCAGGCTTGAGGACAGAGGGGAGGCCTGCAGAGCTGGGAGGCCTAGCTGGAGTGAGGACGTCAGAGGAGGAGCAGCTGTTTCCTCTGCTGTCTTTCCTCTGGGACACTCCAGGTGGGCGCCCTTGAGAGGGGTCTCATTTTTGAGCTCCAACTAGTAGTATGTGGAGGGATTTATGTTATTTTTAAAATCTGATTAGTTTTAGCCTCTGTTAACTAAGAACAATAGCCTCACTCTGAGCCACCCACCACATGCAGGCAGTGCTGAAGCAGACAGTGAGCACAGCTAAGCTGAGCCCAGCCAGGACATCTTGGTTTTAATTTTGGTTTTTGCACCTTGGGTGCTCTTTCTCTACATGGGATGACAATGTCCACCCTGCCTTTCTCACGGGAGCTACAGCAGATAAGTCCAGGGAGAGAAAGCAATTTTCAAATGGCCAAGTGCTCTAAAGGACAAAAGACAAATGTACTTCTTACTTTAGCAGATGTGGAAAGAGAGGAAAAGAATCAGGGGGCCCATGACAGAGGAGGCCCAGGGGACCTCGGGCATGGGCTATCTGCAGTCATCCCTTCAACCATTCACCCAGGCAACAGGCACAAAGCACAGAGACTAAGCTTTCGGTGTGCAGTAGCCGGGGACACAGGCATGAGAAGACAGCCCCTGCTCTATGTGAGAGGGCCTGGAGAGAGGGGCTGATAGCTAAAGAAGTATTTACTCAGAAGAGCTGAGCAAAATTAGTGCAGGTCACACTGAGCAGGAGAGTTAAACCCAGGGAGAATAAAGCTCTGTTTCTCTTCGGTTTTCAATAAAGAGTCTTGTTGCAACATGAAGTCCTCGGAGGTGACAAGGGAGTGGGTTTCAGGCCAGAAGAGACATCCTATCATCTTTAAAATACGTGCTAAGGAACTCAGTGCTTTGTCTTTGCATTGAGACATGCACCCTGCAGTATAATGGATTTCTTTGCTGCACTGGGTAAAATTGTGATTTTATTTGCATAATCTATTTGTAATAATAAGTGGAGTGTCTTCATTTCCTAGGAAACAGCAGGAGCTGTTTGCTTTGCCACCCCAATCCCAGTTCCTTGCGGGAAGCTGGAACATCATAGGTGTGGCTGGTGCCTGCTGGTGTAGGGGGTGGGCTGCGAGTCATGGGAGCTGAAAGGCATCATTCCACACACGGCCTTCATGCATGGGCCAAGCCAGGGGCGCAGGCAGTGGCCTCCCTGCAAGACCTTTATTACCCTAGAGGCTCCCCTGAAGAGTCTCAAGCTTGGAAGAAGAAGACAGAAACACCTTTCACTCTTCCTACAAAATAACAAACCACTCTAAAACCCAAAGAAGAAGATGTTGTCCACATTAGGGCATTTCTTAAATTGATTTTTTAAAAGAGCAAATCAATACTAAAATGGAATTAATGGTGATACTCTATTTGCAATCAGCTGAGATACCATAAGAAAATTTGTTCAAAGAAAAGAAGAATACACTTCTTTTTGTACTTTTCCCCTCTGTTATTTCTGAATATTATCTGAATATTAGTTGAGAAAGTTCACTATCTCATATGGAGATGGATATGGATGCATTTTCCATCCAACTTCCTTCTAAAATAAAAGGTGTGTCTGTCCCTGTTACTACACTCTAATGTGAATCTCATTCTGCAAGCTTCGCATTGCCTAAAGACGTAATCAGAGCCACTGAGAAAGGCTCAGAAGGCTCACTGTGCTGGTTCGCTGCATCCCACCCCATCCCACTGTCTGGTGTCTTGCTCTCCCCTGCTTTGTAGCTTTGCATGTCTTCTTACATCTCTCACTTCTTGGACTTATGCCATGCCCACCCCTACCTAGAAAACAGCCACTCCTCCAATACTGAGGTTGCCTTTTCTTCCTCTAGGGCTAGCAACCACCTCCTCCTTTGCGACAGGTATGACAGGTGCCCCAGACAGGTACCATCTCACTGTCAATAGCATCCTCTGCTGGCCTGATCCTCCTCTCACTGACTGGTGAGCTCCCTAAGGACCAGCAGTTTATATTGGTTTTCACAGGCATGACATGTGCATGGCAGACTTAAATTATTGTGTGAGGAAAGAACTGTAGGAAGAGAGGGGAGACAGAATGCTAGAGCACACATGTTAAAGAGAAAGCAAGCAGAAATGATGCACTTGGGAGATTGAAGAGGAAAGGCAGAAGGAGCTCAGGATGCTAACACTGGAGAAGAACATCTTTGGAGAATGTAAGAGCAATCTTCAAATATTTGAAGGGTTTTAAGGTGGATAAAGCATGACAAGAACTAGAACCTGGATTGACCAGTGAAAGAATGAGGACATTTTCACACAGAATTTTCCAGCATTTCAATTGTCAAAGATGCCCTGACACAGAGGCTTTGTCATGGAGGTCATTGTGTGCTTGGTGGGGATCAGCGCCTGGGCGGAGGTGGAATGCTGGGTTAGGTGACCTCGCCAGCACTGCCCAATGCTGGAAGTCTAATTGTCGGTAAACATACCACCAGTAACAAGGTACTCTGGCATGAAGCCCTACTCCATCTGCCTCATATCAGGCAAAAAGGAAAGAAAATTATCTGGGAGAGGAAACTAAATAGCCCTGAATGGTTGATCTCAAGAACCATCAGTTTTTGGTATGTCAAATTCTAAATTCTATATTTTTTTCAAATTTCACTAGTAAAAATATTCAGAAGCACTTTTGCCATCCTAAATGTCTTGGACAACATTTATATGAATGGTTTGAAAAAAGTTCTTATCCAAGATTGATTACTGATCTGCTTTTGGAACTGGCTTTCTAAACACTTCATGAAGCAACATCGCTTGATACGAGAGACATCACTTTCCACTGAGAGGAGCCCACCTGTATTAATATCACTTCCTTATTTTGTAAAGAACTAACGAATGTGTACAGATTATGATGAGAAGATCCCCTTTCAAAACAGTAGTCAGTGCAATACTTGATACTTAATGTCTAAAATGATTTCACCAATGTGATATTACAGCCACAAAAGGTTCGACGTAAATCTCATCATCATAGAGCTATCAGATATTGCAGAATGCAGGACATTTTACCCGTCTAACAGATAACTGCCCTGGAATCTTCAGGAAAGTAAATGTCATGACAAATACATCAAATTGAATAGGAGGGTGCCAATCTAGATCAAAAGAGCCTGGAGAGACACAACAAGTAAAAATGTCAAGGGTGAAGCTTTGATTCCTGGATCAAACCTGGATCAAAGCTATGAAAGATCTTTCAGCTGCAACTGAGAACCCAGTAGTACTATTTGTCTTGTGTGCTAATACTAACACTAATGTGCTAATACCAATTACAGTAACATTAGGGGTAGTAGTATTTTTGGACTGTAGATTTGATACTAAATGACAACTTTGATTTACCGTATTGTGAGTATGCGGGGGAATGTTTTCATTCTTAGGTGGTACATGTGAAATATTCAGGACTGACATGTAATGTCTGCAACTTATTTTCAAAGGATTGGCAAAAGAGAAGCTGTGTTTGTGTGTGTGTGTGTGTTTGGAGAGACAGTAAATGTGGTAAAGGATAACAATTAATCTAGGTGAAGAGTAAATAGGTGTCTATTATACTATTCTTCAGCTTTTCTTTACATTTGAGCATTTTCCAAGTAAAAGTGGGAAAACAATTTTGGAATGTTTATGTGTGAAACATTCTAATTTATTCTATGTGTAATTACAATAAAATTTGCTTGCGAACATGGACATGGGTCCCTCTGACATTTCCTTCTTCCATCCCCCCGTAACTGAATTGGTCCGCTCCTAAGGTGCAGCTGAGCGACACTGGCACCCCTCACAGGCTCTCACAGCCCCTGCAGGGGAGAGATGCCAAGAAGACCTGCACGTTCCCTGCCACACAGAACTGTTTACTTCATGGAATGGTTAAGACAAGCAAGCCCACTCGCACATGGTAGACAGTGATGCTTACATTAGGAGAGATAAGTTCACAAAAGTTTTGGGGACACTCAAGAGGTTTGGAAAATTGAAATCACTCAGGCTGGAGAATTAGAGAGAGTGAGAGATAAAAAATGGAGTGTGGATATGGCCACCATGCTGAGAAGCACTGACTTATGTATTTATGAGACAGGGTCTCACTGGAGTGCAGTGGCACAATCGTAGGCTCACTGTAACCTCAAATTCCTGGGTTCAACCAATCTTCTGGTCTCGGCCTATTACCTATTTGATCCTAGTAACAGCCCAAGAGATTGCAGCTGTTTTTCTAAAATGAAATGCTCCATGTGATCACATGGAGGTTATGAGATTTGCCTACAATCTTAGTAGGTGACCCCACTCTGGAGCCAGGGCAACAGAGCAAGACCCTATCTATACAAAAAAATAGGAAAATTAGCTGGGCATAGTGACATGTGCCTGCAGTCCTAGCTACTTGGGAGGCTGAGGCTAAGTTGCCCAGGCTGAACACAAGTCCTGCCCTCAAGAAATCCTCCCTCCTTGGTTTTCCAAAGTGTTGGAACTACAGGCATGAGCCACGGTGCCCAGCCTAGATTTAATTTAGAGGGCAGTAGGAGTCTCTGAGGATACTGAGTAGAGATGAGACATGGTGAGAGGTGTATTTCAGCAGAGTTCATCTGGGACCAGGCTTGGTAGGCAGGTGGGTCGGGGGAGCTGAGAGGTAATGTAGGGAGCAGCCACATGGGACACTGAGACTGGCGAGGGCAAGAAGAGGTAGAGTGAAAGTGATGGCCACCAGCCCAGGCTCCAGAGCTGGGTCACCTACTAAGATTGTAGGTGAATCTCGTAACCTCCACGTGATCACGTGGAGCTCTTCATTTTAGAAAAACAGCTGCAGTCCCTTGGGTTGCTACTAAGATCAAATAAGTAAGAGGATTTCAATGTTTTGAATTCTGAAAACAATGATGTTGCCTTACCCTTATGTGTGCAAGCTAATTTTCTGCTGGTCCCTTATCCCAACTGTGAATGCAGAACCCTCATACCTCCTGCCAATGTTTCTTCAGCTCATCAGCTATATCTAGGGGCATCAGAAGATGCTTCACACATGCTAAGGAGCAGGCCCAGTCCAGTCTCTGGCCAGTCATCCTGTGATGCCCATTTTCTTTCCCTATTCCAATTCTAGCAAACCCTAGGTACTCCCTTTTCCATTTGGCGTGTTTCTCCATTGGATACCATTGATATCCATTACTGCCAGGTACTGCACCCGATCTGGCCCCTACCTACCAAGTCAAAAAAGTGCCACTACCATTCCATCTAGCCCAAGAGGACCAAAGCTGCACAGTGGCCAGTGGCACAGGGAGGAGATATTCACTTTATCCTTTTGTACAGACCCATATCTAAGAAGGCCAAAAGTATGGCTGCTTTACCATGTCAATACCTTACCATGATTTCAGTGAAACAGTTTTAGCTTTCCCCTTACCACCTCCTTCTCAGGTACCCAAGGAGTGAACAGAGTACCAAATGCTACACTCAGCGTGATCCCTAACTCTGTGGACCAAAGCTTTGCTAATGAATCAAGTTCACCGTCCTTGGGTTGGGCTCTCTCCCAGGAAATTCCTCAATATGTCATAATATACAATTCTTCCTATATCCTTAATTTTTTCCTAAGCATCCCCAGATATTTTGGGTCAGATGGGACAACTTCAGTACTAGTAAGCTGTAAACAGTCTTAGAGAATCATTATCAGTTTTATTGCATAAATTTTCCCTTCACTTTTATAAATAAAATTATAGTGTATGTGTAAGTTTATTTCTATGCATATATTTTTAAGTTCCTTAAAGACAGGGAGGATATCTTTTATCTTTGTTTCCTTTGAAGAGCCTGTCATTTGGTAGCACACAATAATGGCAGCTGCATTAGGTTTCACATCCTTTAGTTTATAGAAGCTGTGATGTATTAACTACAGTATCACCTTCCTGGTCTTTAAGATTCTGCACATGCTTTAAACTAATTTTTCTAATACGTGTTCCTGTAGCAACTAGATATCAGTATGAAGAGAAAAACATGAACCTTGAACTCCTACCTCATACCACAAGTAAAAATTAATTTGAGGTGAATTACAGACCAAAATGTGAATGCTAATATATTCAAAATGCTAAAGTATTCAAATTTTAAGAAAAAAGCAAATACAAATGTATATGACTTTTAAATAAGCAAATAACTTGTAAATAGGACATCAAAAACACTAAACATAAAAGAAAAAACATTGGCAAGCAAATTTAACTTCTTTAAGAGCTTTTCTTCATCAAAAAGCATCATTAAAAACGTATGCAGACATTGTAAAAGATGGAGGTTTCCTAAGTTCAGGGTTCCTCTGCTGTGGCACAAACTGGTTGGCTGTTTCACACTGCCCCCATGGAACTTGGGGGGCAAGGAGAACAGAGGCAAACATGAAGCTCACAATGCCTGCTGTGACATCAATGCCTACAGTGTAACAATGTCCTTTGTCTCTGACCCAGGCATCTCTTGTCTTCTTCCAGAAACCATGACACTATGGCAGGCCAACTTACTAGCTTTCAAGTAAGGTAACATCTCAGACCATCATAGGTTTTGACAGGGGAAACTCTGAAGGACCACAGGAGTTGGAGGTTCCACGTATCTCTAAGTAGTAACATACGATGGGTCCAAAACAGAAGAAAGAGAACTCAAGATTCCCGAGCCACAGAGCTGTTGATTGGAGGCTGACTCAGAGAAACCCTGGATTCAGTGACATACAGAGACAACAGGTGGGTGCACCAGCCCCTTTCCTTGACAGGCTCCCAGCATTTTGTCTGTAGGTTTGCAACTTCCCAGGCAACAATAGAAAAAAAAAAATCTTCCATCTGAGGAAATTAACAAGCCAAAGTAAAAAGACCTGGAAATACTAACAAGCAGTACTTCTCTGAAATTCCCAGTTTTCATCCTAATATGAGGCCCATAGAGAACTTCCAACCAGCCAGGAGTGCTTCATATCTACTTATTCATGAGAGGCCAGTAGGGAAATGCTCTATCATGAATGATGTACTCCAAAACAAACAGAAGCAATGTGAGACCAGAAGAAAACTTCCAGAAACTATGGTTAAGATCCTCCAAAAGAAAAAAAAAAAGTTACTGGTTCATTGAAATAACAGGAGGATGCTGTAAAAAAGAAACATCCTAAGTATTAGAAAGATCCTTCAGAAATTAAAAAAAAATCAGTAGTTGGAAGGTAAATTTGAAGGGATTTCCCAAAAACTAGCATAAAACCAAACAGAGAAGTCTTATAAAAGAGAAAAGTAATAAAAGAATTATCAAAGAAATAATACCAAACAATCTCAATAATCAAATGACTTTACATATAGTTAAGACTTGCCTAGTCCATGGCATATGAAAAGAAAATCAGAAATACTACCATTTGAAATTCCAGAATAAAAGGGGGAAGACCTTTCTGGTTGTGGCTGAGGATAAAGGGGGTTGGGGCAAGAAGCAGCTCACAATCAGACTGACCTAAGGAAAGATGGCCCAGAACTCACCCACAAGCAGTGGATCTATGTTTGCACAACTCTCAGGGGAAATTATTTTCTACCCATTCACAAAGTTACCTTCCATGCAACATTCCTCAGAAGATTCCTGGAGAATATTCTCCACCAAAGTAAGGAAGCAGAATGACCAAGACTGGGAAGATCTGGTGGGGAACCAGGGAGTCCACCCAGGAAAGAGCAGGAGGGTCTTGCAGTATGACAGTGAGGGGTTCAGGTGGGCCACTGTGGCAGGCAGCCCTGTGGGAATGGGAGGGAGGGTAATCTGAGTCTGTGGCCATGGAGGTTGGCTAAAGCCTTCCAACCCATGGAGAGGGCTGTGTGCTTCCATCACAGCTGCCAACAAAACACTACAGTGCTTGGATGTCAGACATTATTTTCTTTTAAAGGGACTTAATCGCCTTCTGGACAAACATAATCTATGCGACCTCCTCCCCATAAGGTAAGCAGGTCACACTAGGACATTCTGCAAAGTTCAGTAATTACATGACTGTAACATTGTAAGCAGGGAATGTGTATCTGACCAAATCTTGGTTCATGATTGTTTTGGAAGGTGAGCGGGGGAACAAAAGGGGAAAATGGGTAGAGTGTAAGACAGGGAAAGTCTAGCGTTTCCAGGAGGCATCAATGTAGCTGAGAACGAATAATCAAATGTTCATATAAGGATATTACTAGGAACATGATGGAAAATAAGAGAAGAAATCCCTTAAAGAATGGAAAATGAACCCAGGTTCAGGCAGGATGGAGGGAGCTGCACTTTTTTTTTTTTAAGATGGAGTCTCACTCTATTGCCCAGGCTGAAGTGCAGTGGCGCAATCTCGGATCACTGCAATCTCCACCTCCCAGGTTCAAGCGATTCTCATGCCTCAGTCTCCCCAGTAGCTGGGATTACAGGTGCGCACCAGCACACTTGGCCAAATTTTGTAATTTTAGTAGAGATGGGGTTTTGCCATGTTGGTCAGATTGGTCTTGAACTCCTGAGCTCAAGTGATTCACCTGCCTCGTACTTCCAAAGTGCTGGGATTATAGGCGTGAACCACCATGCCCGGCCTGTATTTTTCTTTTTGAGTCTTTTAGTATTATCTTATTCTTTTAACCATAAAAATTAAATTGCTTAGATAAATATAAGTTTTATAGCAGAACATGGAGGAGGAGGGCGTGGAGGAAGAGGGAGGAGAAAATAAAAAATAAAGTCCTTTGTAGGTGCCATAAGCAAAGTGAGCGGTTTGGAGAGAACACTGTACATGACTTCCTGACTACAATGGCCTGTGGCTGATGAAGTACAGCACTTTGGTGGAAACAGGTGGGCAGTGTGTGTGGGTGAGGAATATGATGGCTTTAAAGACAACATCTTTCAAACTAGAGTGAAATGAGAGACCATTCTCTAAATAAATATTCAGGTGGTAATTTGCCATACGAAAAATTTCAGCTGTAAGATGTGTTCACCTAATAAGGAGGTATTCCCCACATGACATGGTTTATCATGGAAATAGTGAAGGTTTTATTTTTCCTTTTTTAATATTTGACAATAATGCCATTTATTTGTTATTAAATTTTTAACTTAGCTACATAGCAGTTTATTCTAACCCTTGGCACATTATTTAAAAAGAAACTCATCCCAGGTCCATGGTGAAGATAAAATAATTTGTCTCTCTCAGATAGAAATCTTATGAAAACAGGTATGATTATTGTAATTCCTTTTAATTACTGCTATAATTGCACAAAATCTTTAACATAAAGCAAATGTAAACAGTATTTATAAGTATAATTTGAGAGTAAATGAAAAATCACTTTGAAATAAACATGGAATAAGGGAAAATCATCTTTAACAGTCACTTCTTCATGGACTCTTAGGTACAGGATCAGTATGGGTTTTAATTGAGGGGCTCGGCACCAAATGACAGACTTGACACATCCACCCCCACCATGGATGCTGTCCGTCCACTGTTGCACAATGTCCTTCAGTGTCTAATTTACAGATCCAGGTATATTTTATCTTCCTCCTATTTCTCTGTCCTGGTGTAATTTACCCTAAATCAACCAGACCATTTTCCATGTATTAAATAGCTTTCAACTCAGGTCTTATTCCTCGCAGCTGTATTTCCCCTTCCACCTGCATCCCTGAAGTTCCTCCCACCTGAAAACTTCACCTGACCCAAGAAAGCAAAGGAAAAAACCCGGAGAGCCAGCTCATAGTCTGGTTCACTGTTTAACAGCCAGAAGCCAGAGCCTGCGTACTAGAAGTGGATGCCCAGGAAGTACTTGTGAGCTGACTAAGAATGTAAGAACGCCACCCACTTCATTCAGGAAAGTGAGGCAGGATTCCATGGAGTATGAATGACTGCACATGGAACAAGCAGGTTATCATTTATATTCAGCAAGGGACCTCCATGAACAGGACATTTGGGGAGCTGCTATCAAACATCAGAACTTCTGACACTGTGCACACAGTCTTATATTGTGCCTTGTCTGTTGTGATGTCTCACTACAGTAATGATTAAGATGATGAGCACTTATGCGTTGATATTGCAATATGTCTGCGTAAGAACTATCGCTAAGGCAGGTTATATTATTACCCTCAGTGTATAGGTAAGGAGGTTAGACTGATAACTTACCCAGTGTCACATAGGTAGTAATGGCCAAACTAGAGTTGGAACCTGTCTGCCTACTCTCCAAGCTCAGGATTGACTTGAGCACAAGGGTAAGTATCTCACATGCTTTGTAAAGTTCAGGTTGATAACAAAATATGTGAAAGGCAGGGGTATAGACAACAGGGGGCATATGAAATACGGGAAGGGCCTAAAGAAATTCAAGTCTATTATTTTTAATCCACTGCTGTCAAATGACAAATGATTACTGGCTTTTCTTCAGCTTATGATTCCTGTATTTGAATCCTGAAAAACTTACATTTCATATATTACCAACTATTATGGGGAAAACTATCACATGGGAATAAAACTCCAGTGCCCTAAGGATTTGTTTAACGCTAGATAAATCTTATGAGTTTGCAAACTATAATTTTTAAAAAGAATTCAGTCTTTTTCTTTTCCCAAATATAAGTTCCCAATCTTCCATTCCAGACATGCAGCAATTGAATTCGAGTCATCTGTGTTTCATTTTTTATAGTGCAATACTCTCTACCTGCAAGTGCAAATAATTTTTCCAATAACATATTCTTCTCTTCCACTTCAGAAATATGATTCTTTCTCTGTTGGACTTGGGGCTGGGGGAGGGAGTCTTCATCTCCTGCAACTCTGCTTTTAGAAAATAATGTCATTCTACACATAAGTCACAGGCAGGCAGGAAAATGATGGGAAGAAATGACTTGTCAGGTGTGGATTTCTTCAAAGCATGAACTGCTTAGAAATCAGTGGTGGCAAATAAGCCTGTAAAAGACAGGAAAACACTCCACACCATCGAATTCTATCTGTAAGTTCCAAATGTTCATGGCCCTATTGCTGAACAAAACTCTGACTGCTGATCACCTTCAGAGTAAAAGCTGGAAAACAAATTCATCTTCAACCAAAATCAAAAATTTCTCTTGTCAAGAAAACAGTGAGCTGAGGAAAATTTTTTAAAATATAAATCCATTTCATTTTGGTAAGATGGAAGAGACATACTTGTCTCTACTTTTCTTGCTAAATGCAACTAAAATCCCTGGATATTACATGTAAAACAATCATAATAAGACTGAGAATTAGACAAAAGGCAAACCAGTTAGGGCATCAGGACCCAAGGGATGACATGGTAGCGAGTATCTTGGGCTTTCTTTGCTTTTCGTTTCATTCCAGATTTGGAACTGAAGAAGCTAAAAACTCAGACACACCAATGCATGGGAATTTTAAAAATTCTCAACAGAAGCCAGCTCTCTCTAGTTAAAGGACAAGTAAAGGGGCATCCTAACAAGACAGAATACTTCTATTTCTTTCTTTTTTTTTTTTTTTTTTTTTTTGAGACAGAGTGTCGCTCTGTCACTCAGGCTGGAGTGCAGTGGCTTGAACTCGGCTCACTGCAAGCTCCACCTCCCGGGTTCATGCCATTCTCCTGCCTCAGCCTCCCAAGTAACTGGGACTACTGGCGCCCACCACCACACCCAGCTAATTTTTTGTATTTTTAGTAGAGACAGGGTTTCACCGTGTTAGCCAGGATGGTCTCGATCTCTTGACCTCATGATCCGCCTGCCTCAGCCTCCCGAAGTGCTGGGATCACAGGCATGAGCCACTGTGCCTGGCCACGACAGAATACTTTTAAACAATAACCACTCTTTTCTAGCCAAACAGAATAGATAAAATGGTGGACTTGGCTTCGCTCACAAAGGCTGAGTAAGGAGCCCTGAATTCTACCCTTACTGGGCTACAATAAGGCATCCATCCCTCAACTAAGGTGGTTTCAGAGAGTGCTGACGAGGGAGACAGGCGTTTGATTTCCTCTAAACAGTAATGAGCTTCCTCTCCTAATGATATAGTTGGAGACCACGTGGAAGCAGGTACTTGTACCCGTCCAGCCAGCACACTATCTGCAGGGACCTAGAGGGAAGCTAGAACTCCCTCCCTATCCAGCAATGATTAGGAGACAGCCTCCAAGGGTAAATAAACCCAATAAATAAACCCAAGGACGGAAACTGGACTTCTGTAGCAACCTGGAAGTGATGAACTCCAACTCCCTTTCCACCAGAGTGCTGTTGCAGAACGCCAAAACAGACAGCTTAAATAAGATAGACTGTTGCATAAAATAATATCTGAAATGTTCAGTTTTCAACTGAAAAACACTCAGCCCATTCTACCAAGAACCAGAAAGTTCTCAAACTGAAGGAAAAAAGATAATCAGTTGACATCTATACCAAGAAGGCAAAGATGTTAAAATTATGTGGCAAAGATTTTAAAAAATAATAAAAGATAAAAGCAGCCATCACAAAAATGTTTCAACAAGCAATTACTAATATGCTTGAGACAAATGAAAAAATAAAAAGGCTCAGCAAAGAAACAAACTCTCAGTAGAAGACATAAAGAAGACCCCAGTGAAAATCTTAGCACTAAAAAATTTGATGACAAAAATAATTTTTAAAAGCCTTCACTGGTGCATTCAGCAGCAGAATTGAGGAAAGAGGAAAGAATCAGTGGAACTTAATATAAAACAATAGAAACTGCACAATCTGAAAAACCAGCAAGAAAACAGACTGAAAAAATAAACAGAGCCTCAGAGACCAGTCAGACAAAAGATCTAGTATTTGTGTCATGGAAGTCCAGGAAGAATGGAAAGACAGTAAGGATGAAAAAGTACTCAAAAATTGACAGAAAGCATGTCAATTACAGGAGAATTCTACCAAATATTAAAAATATAATACAAATTATATACAATCTCTTCCAGAAAATAGATAAGGAAGGAACGTTGCTAAATTTAATTAATTTTATGAAGCCCCATCATCCTGATATCAAAATAATAGAGACAAGGACAAAAAAAAGTATAAACCAATATTCCTCATGAATATATGTGCATAAACCTTAAAGATACATATTAACAAACAGAATTCAGGAACATATAAAAATAATTATATACAATGACCACACGGGGTTTATTCCAAGGATTCCTGGCTGATGCAATATTCAAAAATCAATCAATATAATCTTCCACATTAACAGGCTCAAGAAGAAAAATAACATGATTGGATAAGTCACAATGCAGAGCAAGTATCAAACAAAATGCAACACCCATTCTTAGTAAAACCTCTCAGCAAACTGAACAGAGGAGAACTTCCTCAACTTGATAAACATCTACAACATAGAGTAAACATTGCAGGTAATGGTGAGTTACTGAATATTTCCCCCCTTGAGCTCAGTAGCAATTCAGGGATGCCCACTCTCAACTCTCATTCATCACAGTACTAGAAGATCTAGCCAGTGTAAGAAGGCAAAAGAAAGAAATAAAAGGCACTGAAAAAGATTCTCTGCTTGACCAAAATTTAGTCAGCCTGAAGATACAGGGCTACTAAAAGACAGATTTGATCATAAGATAATATAAATTTCCCCTCTTGCTACACCATGCCACATATCAACAGGGCTCCACTATAATAAATAACATTAGTTTACAGCTGAAAGACCTCAAGGTGCAGATTCTATACAAGGAGGGATTCTTAAGGAAGCCAAAAGACAGGAAGGGGAGGCAAAAATAAAGAATTTGGAGTTCCTGTTACATATACTGCAACAAATACTAAGCACAGCCCAACTCCTAGTAAGGTTAACATAAAGCCTCACACAAATGGCCTATTTACCTCACTTCCTGTTACTGATGTATCATGTCTTCCTTTCATCTAAAATTTACAAGTGATGTCAAAAGGCAAGAAAAAACACAATCTGAAGAGAGAAAGCAAACATCGGAGTAGAATGATTCAGATATGACACAGATTTTGGAATTATCAGAGAATTTAAAATAGCTACAATTAATATAAGGGACTCTAAATAAGTACACAACACACTAGAACAGATGGGTAACATAAGTAAACTTCAGAACACCAAAGAATAAGAGAAAATACTGAAAGAAGCCAGGAAACAGAAAAAATATATACGTTGAGAAGATATATGTTGAAAATTACAAAATGCTCATGAAAGAAATCAAAGAAGATCTAAATAAAAAGATATTCCATGTTCATGGATTAGAAGATTAAACATCGTAAAGATGTCTTTCCAAACTAATGTGTAAGTTTAACACGAATTGTATAAAAATTATTTAAAAATATTTCATATATAGAGCTACAATTATTCTAAAACTTATAGGTAAAAGCAAAGTACCTAAAACAATGCTGAAAAAGAAGAGTGCAGGAAGAATCACTCTACCAGATATTACAGCCTATTGTATAGCTACAGTAACCAACATTGTGTGATATTGTCAGAGGGATACACACATAGATCAATGGAACAGAATAGAGAACCTAGAAACTGCCTACACAAAAAGAGCTAAGTGGTTTTTTATAAAGATGCAAAGACAACTCAATGAAAAAAAGATAATCTCAATAACCATCTGAAATAATGAGATATTCATAAGCAAAAATGTGAACCTTGACTTACACCTGAGATCTTATACAAAAACTAACTCAGGCCAGGCGCCGTGGCTCACGCCTGTAATCCCAGCACTTTGGGAGGCCGAGGCGGGCGGATCACAAGGTCAGGAGATCGAGACCATCCTGGTCTAACTCTGTGAAACCCCGTCTCTACTAAAAATACAAAAAATTAGCCGGGAGTGGTGGCGGGTGCCTGTGGTCCCAGCTACTCAGGAGGCTGAGGCAGGAGAACGGCGTGAACCCGGGAGGCGGAGCTTGCAGTGAGCCGAGATCGCGCCACTGCACTCCAGCCTGGGCGACAGAGCGAGACTCCATCTCAAAAAAAAAAAAAAAAATTAACTCGAAAAGGATCATAGATTTAAATGTAAAACTATACAAGAAAAATTGAATTGTAGGATGCTCCACTGGTGTCAAATAATTGCTGAAAAGCACTTAAGGAAATCATATCTGAAATATGCAAAGAACAAAATTATTTTTCATGTTGTAAAAAATCCAATTAGAAAAGGGACAAAAGATATGAAAAGACATTTAATACTGATGAGAAATCAAAGAAGATCTAAAATCACTGAAAGACAGATGGTTTTTATGACTTCAACAACTCAGCATAATACAGATATGAATTCTCTACAAATTGACAGACAGGTTTAATAAAAATTCTATCAAAATTCCAGCAAGATTTCTGTAGAAACAGAGAAGATTATGCTAAAGTGCATATGGAGATGCAAAAGAACAGGAATAGCAAAACCAATTTTTTAAAATTTTTAAAAAGTAAAGTTGGAAGAATGAATTTACCTAATTCAAGAATTTTTAATAACTATGGTAAACAAAACCTTTTGGTACTGGTGGAGGAAAACAATAGATAAATAAAACAGAATAGAGAACCCAGAAAGACCTCCATCCCCAAATATATGGCCAACTCATTTTTGACCAAAGTGTAAAAGGGATTTCATGGAGGAAACATAGTCTTTTCAGCAAATTGTGCTGGAAAAATTGGACATTTATTTTTAAAAAGATTAACTAACCTTGACCTATATCAAAAAGTAATTCAAAATGTATCACAGAATTAATGAAACTATAAAACCTTTAGGAAAACTAAGGAAGAAAATATTTGCAATTTAGACCTATAAAAAAAGGTCTACTTCTCTAAAAGCATGACCCATAAAAAGATCAGTTGTCAGGTTAGACTTCATCAAAATTAAAAAATTTGCTGTATGAAAAACTTTGCTAAGAGGATGTCAACACAAGCTACAGACTGGAGTAAAATATTTGCAAACCACATATCCAACAAAGGACTAGGTACCTAGAATAGATAAAGTGTTCTCAGAACTCAACAGAAGGCCAAAAGGGGCTTCAACCAAGGTGTTGTCCAGACAGTGCTCCTTCTGGAGGCGCTAGGGGAAAATCAGTTTCCTTGCCTTTTCTGGTTTCAGAGGCCTCCTGCAGTCCTTGAGTCAGGGTCTCCTTCTTCCATTTGGGTTGAGTTAATCTAACACAGAATCACTCTGGCCTCTGCTTTCCTTTTCACATTTATTTTTCTGACTCTCCCTTTACTCTCTTTCCCTGATAAAGATCCTTGTGATACGTTGGGTCAACCAAGAAATTCAGGGTAATGTTTCCATCTCAAGATTCTTAACCAAATCACACCTTCAAAGTCTTTTTTTCCACATAACACAAGACATTCACAGGTTCTGATGATCAGATAATGAACATCTTTAGGTAGGCTCTTATTCTGCCCAGCATACTACGGAATACTACTCGCAATAAAAAGTAACCATCTATTGATATTCACAATAACCTGGATCAATCTCCAGAGAAAGATGTTGATTAAAAAAAAAAAAACAGTCCCAAAAGGTAGCAGTCTGTGTGATTCCCTTTGTGTCATATTCTTTAATTAACAAAATTATAAAAATGGAGGACAGATTAGTCGTTGCCAGGAGTTAAGTAGGGAGTGAGAGCATGAGGGAAATGTGTGTGGTCATAAAAGGGCAACATGACAGATCCTGCAGTGAACAGGATCTATCTATCTTTACCAATGTCAACATCCTAGTTGTGATACTGTAGTATAGTTTTGCAAGATGTCATTATTGAGAGACAGTGGGTAAAGGCTACAGAGGAATCCCTGTATTATTTTTTGCTTCTGTATATAAAGCTACAGCTATCCCAAAATAAAATGTTTAATTTTAAAAAACCCATCTCAGCTATCTTGGGAAAAATCAGTAAATTTGGAAATGAGATGTTGTGCAGGATTTCTTCATCATTACCTGAGCAGCCAGTAAAAATCCCTGCTGAACTCCTCCCTCTGAAAACTCACAGTCAATTCAGCAGCTTGACCAAATTCTCTCTTCTCTGAAGTGCCTGTTCCTTTCCCAACCCCCTGCTACTAAAGGTTGCACTTACAGAGTCAGAAGAGCGGGCTGTAAGTAGTCAGGCTGGAAAACTCAGGTCCCTCATCTGCACTCTGCCAGTAACGAGTTGTGTGAGGTACTCACTAATGGCAAAGTGCACAGGTAATTCACAAAGTGCCTTCTGATGAGTGAGTAGGAGTTACATGGAAAATGGCAAGGGTTAGTAGTGAAATCATTTTGTATTTTCATTGGGATCAACGTAGTTGATAGAAGTTGTTGTGAGTGCTCTAGAGAAGAACAAACGTGTTTTAATAGCATTTCCAAAATTATTTGACAATGGAACCCGGCCAGCCCACCTTCACATTTTTTTCATGGAAACATCTTGTTAACTATTGCCTACGGAATACATTTTGAGAAACGCTGAACTAAATAAAATAAAGATATGTTAATACTGTTTTATAGTATACATGCATTTTTTAATTCTAAAGTAATACTTGGTTGTAAAATATTCAAACATTACACAAGCACAATAAGGTTCAAAATGAAAACACCCATTTGCCACTCCCACTCCCCAGAGGAAACTGACTTTAATGGTTTGGTGTAAACAGGTTCACATTTTTTCCTCTGTATTTAAAAATATATCACTTTTATAATCAGAATAAAAAATAAATGTGATAAAAAGGAAAGAAAGAAGGTCAACCCTTCCTATTCCCAAAAGAAACATCTAAATGATGGTTGTATCACCTCTGGACACCTTCAGGAAGGAGGAGTAAGGGGTAGTTAATTGAGTTTCTAACGTTATCTCAGGTTACTCTTGTAAGAAAGATATTACACTTATTTTACACACAGTAAATCTGAAAATCAGAGATTAACCTACTTGCCCAAGATCACACAGTAGTAATAAATGTCTGCTTAGTATTATATGTTAAATTCTAAACCAAGTGCTTAAAACTTTATCCTTTTGAGTATTTATGGCTAGCTTCTCAGGTAGGTGCTGTCCGGATGGTGCTTATCCTTGTTTCAAATGAAACTGAAGCCTAGAGGGAAGCCAGACTATTTTTCCCCAGTAAATTATCTTTAGCCCTTGTCAAAAATCAAGGTTTTGGCAGGATTGTGCTCCTTCCGGAGGTTCTACGAGAGAATCTGAGATGTGATACAACCATAAATGTAAGAGTTTATTTCTGGATGTTCAATTCTATTCCATTTATGCATATGCCTATCGTTATACTAGTATCACATTGTCTTGACTGCAGTAGTTTTGCAGTAGATTCAGAAAATGCAAATTGTCAATCCTCCAACTTTGTTCTTCTGCAAGATTGTTTTTTGCTATTCTGGATTGCTTGCAATTTCCATACACATTTTTGGAATAGCTTGTCAATTTCTGCAAAAAAAAGGAGGCTGAGATTTTGACAGGGATTCTACTGAATCTAGATCAATTTGGAGCTATTACCATCTTCACAATGTTAAGTCTTCCAATCCATGAACATGAGCTGTCTTTCCATTTATTTAGATTGTTAATTTCTTTTAAGAATATTTTAGTTCCTAGTATACAAGTCTTATACTTATTTTGTTAAATTTATTCCTGAATATTTTAACATTTTTGATATTACTATAAATGAAATTATTCTCTTAATTTTCAGTGTTCACTGCGAATGTATAAAATTCAATATGTTCTGTTTATATTGATTTTGTATCCTACAACTTGTTGAACTCATTCATTATTTTAATGTCTTTTGGAGGGGGCAGACGCTCTTAATTTTTTATATGCAAGAGCATGTCATCTGCAAATACAGTTTTACTTCCTTCTTTCCAAAAATACGACTTTTATCATTTTAATTATTAATAGATGCCTGCACTAGGTAGAACCTCCAATAAAATTGTGAGTAGAAATGGTGAGAGCAACATTCTTACCTTGTTCCTGATCTTAAGATGGACACTTTTAGACTTTTATTATTAAGTATGATATTAGTTGCGGATTTTTCATAGGTTACATTTATTGGGTTAAGAAAGCTACCTTCTTTTCTTAGTATGTTGGATGTTTACATCATGGAAGAATGCGTAATTTTGTCAAATGATTTTTTCTGCCCATAGAGATGATTCTGTTATTTTTGTGCCTATTCTATGAATACAGAGTATTACATAGAATGATTTTTTTATGTTGAACCATCCTTGCATTTTTTAGATACTACTTGGTCACTGGTGTATAATCATATTATATGTTGCTGGATTCAGATTGCTAGTATTTTGTTGAGAATCTTTGCAACAGTATTTGTATATTTGTATGAGGTGTTGATTTGTAGTTTTCATTTCCTGTGATGTCTTTGGCTTGGAGATCAGGATAATATTGGCCTCATAGAATGAGCTTGGAAGCATTCCTTTCTCTTCAATTTTTAGGAAAAGCTTGTCAAAGAATAGTGTTAAGCCTTGTTAAAAGGTTTGGTAAAATTCTCCAGCAAAGCCATTTAGGTCTACACTTTACTCGATGGTAAGGCTTCTGGTTACTAAAATAAACCTCTTTTTTTATGTTATGAGGCTTTTTAGATTTTACTTTTTCTTGATTCAGTTTTGGTAGTTTGTGTCTTTCTAGGAATTTATTGCATCTAATTAAGTTTAATAAATTCACTGCAACTAATTTAGGTAATAATCTAAATATTATAGATTATAATCTAATAATCAAAGTATTCTTTTGTAATTCTTCCCCCACCCCATGAAGTCAGTAGTAGTGTCTCCTCTTTCATTCCCTAATTAAGTAATGTGCGTCTACTCTTTTTCTCTTGATCAGTGTAGCTAAGAGTTTGTCAATTTTGTTGATCTTTTCAAAAAAACAACTTTTGGTTTTGTTAAATTTTTATTGCTTTCTATTCTTTTTTCATTTGTTTCTCATGTAATTTTTATTATTTCTTTTTTCTGCTTGCTTTGGATTATTGTCCTCTTCTTTTTCTAGTTGCTTAGGGGAAAGGTAAAGTTATTTATTTGAAATCTCACTTTTTAAAAATAGTCAACTGCAGCTATCTATTTATGAAGCACTGCTGTTGCAGCATCTCATAAGTTCTAGAATACTGTGTTTCTGCATTTTTAAATTTCAAAGTGTTTTCTAATTTCCTTATGGTTTCTTATTTGACCCACTTTTTATTTTGGTGTATATTGGTTAATTTTCATATATTTGTGAATTCTCCAAATTTCTTTCTGTTGTTGATTTCCCATTTCATTCCATTTTGAATGGGAAATACACTTGGTATGATTTCAATTATTTCAAATTTCTTAAAACTTATTTAATGGCATAATACACAATTGTGTCCCCCACTCACCCAGAGAATAAAGGAGAATTACAATACACTTGAAAAGAATATGTATTCCACTGTCATTGGGTTGTACAGATGTCTGTTAGGTCTAGTTGTCTTAGAGTGTTGTTCAAATATTCTATGTCCTTGTTAATCTTCTGTCTACTTGTTCTTACTATTACTGAAAGTGGGGTATTGAACAAGCCAACCACTATTTTAGCATTATGTATTTCTACCTCCAATTCTGTCAATTTTTGCTTCATATATTTTAAGGCTCTCTTGTTTAGGTGCTTATATGTTTATATTTATTATGTGTTCTTGATGAATTGACTCATTTATCATTATATACATTAATATTATATACACATATAAGATAAATGTGTATCTTTTTTGCCTCCTATAGTGTTAAAGTCTACTTTGTCCAAGATTAATATAGCAACCCCAGCTCTCTTTTAGTACTCTTGTCATGGTATATCTTACTTCTGTCCTTTCATTTACAACTTACTTGTGTCTTTGAACTGAAACTGTCTCTCATAAGCAACATATATATGGGTCATATTTTTTAAAAGCCGTTCTGCCAATCTCTGCCTTTTGACTGCAATATTTAAACTATTTACATTTAATGTAATTATGAATAAGGTAGAATTTATATCTGCATTTTGCTATTTATTATATATTATGTCTTTTTTGTTCTATTCCTTTACTTTTGCCTTCTTTTGTGTTAAATGAATATTTTATAGTGCATCACTTTAATCCCCTTGTCCTTTCTTTTACTACATTATTTTTTAGTTATTTTCTTAGTTGCTACCCTAGGAATTACAAATAACATCTTAATTTACAATAAGCTAGCTCGCATAACCAACTTAATTTTAACAATATTCAAAAATTTTGCACTTATATAGTTCCATCCCTCTTCACTTTTGTGCTATTATCATACCAACTCAACCATTTTATATTATGATGTCCATCAACAGAGAATATAATTGTTGCTTTATGCAGCTGCTTTTTAATTTTGATAGGAGAAAAAATAAAACAAATAAAAATATTGAGGGAGGAATTGTATTTACCTTTTTAGCTATCTTTACTAGTTTTTGTTGTTGTTGTTGTTGTTTTTGAGACAGAGTCTCACCGTGTCACGCAGGCTGGAGTGCAGTGGCACAATCTCAGCTCACTGCAAGCTCCGCATCCCAGGTTCAAGCCATTCTCCTGCCTCAGCCTCCTGAGTAGTTGGGACTACAGGCACCGGCCATCAAACCTGGCTAACTTTTTGTATTTATTTTAGTAGAGACAGGGTTTCAACGTGTTAGCCAGGCTGGTCTCAATCTCCTAACCTGATGATCCATCCACCTTGGCCTCCCAAAGTGCTGGGATTACAGGTTTGAGCCACCGTGCCTGGCAGGTTATTTCTTAACGTAGATTTGAGTTACTGTTTGGTGTTTTTTCATTTAAGTCCTATAGTCCCTCTTTAGTATTTCTTGCAGGCAAGTCTGCTAGTGATACGTTTTCTGTTTTTTCTTTTTTATTTGGGATGTCTAACTTCTTCATTTTTGAAGGATCACTTTGTTGGATATAGAATTCTTATGTGACAGTCTTTTTTTTCTAACACTTTGAGTCTATTTTTCCACACTTTCTAACATCTATGTGTTTTCAGGAGAAATTAACTGTTAAGCTTACTGAGGATCCCTTGTACATGATGAGCTGCTTCTCTTTGTTGCTTTCAAGATTTTTTCTCCTTGGCTTTTGTCAGATTGATTAAACTGTATCCAGCATGAATCTCTGAGTTTTTCCTATTGAGAGTCCATTGAGATTACTTGATATGAAAATAAATGGTTTTCATCAAGTTTGAAGATTTTGGTCATTATTTTTTCAAATATTAATTCTCTTTCTCACCTCTCCTTCTGGCACAATAGATAGATAGATAGATAGATAGATAGATAGATAGATAGATAGATAGATAGATAGATAGAGATAGATATATGTATATATGCCTAGTAGAGTAAATAGAGAGTAATAGGTCTCTGAGACTGTTGACTTTTCTTCATTTTTAAAATTTATGTTGCTGAGACTGGATAATCTCAATCAACCTAACTTTATGTTAACTGATGCTCTCTTCTGTCACTTCACACACTTCACATCTGCTGTTGAGTACCTTTAGTGAATTTTTCACTTCAAATATGGTATGTTTCAACTCTAGAATTTTATTTTGATTCATTTTTATATGCTCTATTTTTTTTTTACAATCTCCATTTGGTGAGATGTCTTTCTTACTTCTTTTTAGTTCTTTATACATGGTTTTCTTAGTTTGTAGAATGTTCTTAAGGTAGCTGATTTAAAGTCCTTGTCTAAGAAGTCCAATGACTGAACTTCCTCATGGACAGTTTCTATTGACGGTTTTTTCCCTGTATATGGTTCATTCCTTATTTTTCCCTGTATATGGTTCATTCCTTATTTTTCCTTGGTTTGTCTCACAATGTTGGTTGGAAACAGAACATTTCAAGTAACATAATGTGGCAAATCTTGTGATATCAAATTCCTTTTTCTCCCAGAGTTTGTTGTTCCTGTTTCTTGTTGCTGTATTTGTTTGTTTGTTTGTTAATAGCTTTTCTGAACTAATTCTGTAAAGGCTGTATTCTTTGTTATCTGTGGCTATTGACATCTTAGCTAAGTTAGTGGTTGGGCAGAAATTTTCTTAAATGCCTAGAAGTAATAAATCTCCCAGCCTTTGCCAAGTTGCTCTGTGTGTCCTTTTTGGGAATACACCTTCAATTCTCACGTAGATATGTTACAATTCTTTATTAACATTCACTTAGCATTCCAAGGTCAGTCATAAGTGAGAGCACAGGGCCTTCTTAGGTATTTTCTGGGTATGCATATGACACTGGGCATGCCCAAAGCCCTGCACATATGCCATATATGTGAACTTCTGGATTTCCAGGAATATGTTCCATCTTTTCAAAGGCCTCTTATGCACATCTCACTCCTTAGCTTTTCCTTTGAATTTTTTGGTGAGCTTTCTCTCCCCCAACTTGTATTGCCATCTCAGGCAGGTGTTGTGACAAATAGTTTTCAACAAGTACTCCGAAGAAAAGACTATTTCTACTGGGAGAGCTCTGATTTAGGTCAAATAAAGACATGCCCTTTGAATGGTGGTTTCCTGAGAACTACCAGACAGTTTGAATAATGACAATACTCTAAGAATGTTGCTTTAGGGGAACTACAAACCCATGCTGCCTCTTCCAGGGGCTACCAGGCTGCTGATTTTCAGCATGATCTGTGGGCTGCTGGTTTTCAAGGATATCTCAGAGCTGGGGAGGGGGTCATGAAAGTGAAGCAAGTTAAGATGCCACACAGTCAGTGTTCTTCCCAAGACTGAGATATTTTACTTGAATAAATGCTACTTAGATTATTGCAAGCCTTTAGTTAATTGCATATTTTTGAAAGGATGATTTGCCAATTGTCAGCATTGTTATTGCTTTTTTGGAGGAGTATCTTAATTATGGGGGTCCTGACTCTACTATTCTTCTTACCAACTGTTAGGGTTCTTAATATTTCATAAGGCTTGTTAATGGCAATCTGGGTTGTGTTAAAATGTCTTCCAAAAAGTAACAAAATATTGCCTTATCTTTTATTTGAGAAATAAATTTCCCGTTTTCTAGTTATTTCTCTACACTACGAAGGTGTATTTATCTTCATCACACCAAACCTCACGGTCAACAAATTTATGAATTGATTGAGAGAGGGACACATAAACATCCAAATCAGTTTTTTAAAAGAACCCAATGCTGGTTAGCAATCCAAGTTGTTACTTTAGAAAGGGTCATTTCAAAGTGAATCATATAACATTTTACATTATTGTTATGGTCGCTCACCCCAAAACATCCTTCCAGCTTTAGCAGAATGTTAGTCACTTTTCAAGTCTATAGAAAGGATACACTCGCAGCTTTCCACGGCATCATCTCAAATGTTGTTGTGAAATATCATCCTGTCACCTGGGCTTTTCCATTTATTGAGAATGTATGACTTGATTTGCTTTTCTCTGCTAGCATGAAAGATTCTTTGGTAAAATTTTCATTTGATAAATCAAATAAATGTCAACCTGTGAGAATAACTGACAAACACTGCTGAGACAAATCTACTATTTAAGGCAGGGTTGCACTACACTCTCTTGTTGCTTCTTCTTATAAGAAACCCAGCCAGATATGGTAGCTCACACCTGTTATCCCAGTGCTTAGAGAGGCTAAGGCAGGAATATTGCTTGAGTCCAAGAGTTCTAGACCAGCCTACACAACACAGCGAGACCCCCATCCCTACAAAAAATTTAAAAATTATCCAGGCGTGGTGGCACATGCCTGTAGTCCCAGCTACTTGGGAGGCTGAAGTGGGAGGATCACTTGAGCCCAGAAGATCAAGGCTGTGGTGAGCTATGATTATGCTACTGCACTTCAGTGCAGTGAGACAGAGTGAGACACTGACTGTAAAATAAATAAATAAATACATAAATAAATCCAAATAATCTTATCAGCTGCAGCAGCTCATGCTTGTAATCTTAGCATTTTGGGAGGCTGAGGCAGGCAGCTCACTTGAGCCCAGGAGTTTGAGACCAGCCTTGGCAACATGGCAAAACCTTATCTCTACAAATACTACAAAAATTAGCCAGATGTGGTAGCTCACGCCTGTAGTCCCCCCAGCTACTGGGAAGGCTGAGGTAGGAGCGTCACTTGAGGAGCCATGGTTACACCACTGCACTCCAGTCTGGGCAACAGACAAAACCCTGTCTCAAAAAAAAAAAACCAAGCAAACAAACAAACAAATCCTCAGTAACCCCTGTCAACATGAAGGGATAAAGTGAAGTGATAAAGCACACTTGTGTGTAGGGAAGACTGACTTGCCCAAAACACTGCCATTTAAATTTGACCAAGGGGAAAAGTCATGCACGGTAAACTCATTTGAAGTGTCCATGGTTTGGCTCTGTGTCCCCACCCAAATCTCATCTTGAATTGTATTCCCACAATTCCCACATGTTGTGGGAGGGACCTGGTAGGAGATAATTGAATCATGAGGGTGGTTTTCCCCATACTGTTTTCATGGTAGTGAATAAGTCTCACGAGATCTCATGGTTTGATCAGGGGTTTCCACTTTTGCGTCTTCCTCATCATTTCTCTCTTTGCCAACTGCCATCCATGTAAGATGGGACTCGATCCTCCTTGCCTTCTGCCATGATTGTGAGGCTTACCCAGCCACGTGGAACTGTAAGTCCAATTAAACCTCTTCAGTTTGTAAATCCCCAGTCTTGGATATGTCTTTATCAGCAGCGTGAAAACGGACTAATACATTGTTCTACTCTTAAACAGAGTAGTTATCAGACCAAAATATAATGAATGAATAAGTTATCAATGAAAAATGGAAAAATTATACAGATTTTATATAATGAGTTAAACTAGAGTTCCATTATGAAATTATAAATTGTGAAATACTGAATGTAAATTCAAATTAAAAAGAGGACATCTGAAATACTTTTAAAATCAAGGTGAATGTGTAAAAACTTTTCCACTCAATTCTTTTCTCAAAAAATATCAAAGAAAAGAAAAAGGATTATAAACTGAAATAAAACTAGAAATATTTAAAACCCATTAAAATACATGAAGACAGAAAGCAATGGCAAAGACAGATGAGAGATGGGTGAGCACACAGCAGAAACGGCCAACAAGTCCAGGAAAGGCAGTGCATCATCAAAAACACGTCCCCAAAAGAGAAAAACAGACTAATTCCTCTGTAGTCCTATTGCTAGGTTTTCAGTCGGGTCTTCATTCACTGTATCCTGAATGGTGCACACATATTGTTCAGGATGAGCAGGATCAGAGAGACATATTTTTTATTAAATACTTTATGGTAAATAAGAAGTTTGTTAACTGCCACTACCCTCCCTCTTTGCCATAGACCTTATCCCTAGAGTGACACCAAGCCATTTGTCCTACATGAGTAGCTGGACACCTCAGAGGTGCAGGACAAGGAAAATTGATTTTTCTTTGCTTATGAATAGGAAGAGGGCAGCTTTCCTTTGCATCTCCTGAAGGAGTCTCCTAGAAGATGCAATAGACCTGAGTCCTAAATCCAATCTTTTGATGTGTGAATAAAATCTCGCAGGAACCAGAGAGCCCTAGAAATATGTCTAATGTTTCCAGTTCCTTCCTCCTTGAAATATGAATACCTAGAAAAACAGACACTCCAATCTTCCTTGCACCTTGGAGCTTAACCTAGGATCTAGTCTGGGCTGTAACAATTTGGTCCTTTTTGTGGAAATAAGAGATATCTTACTGTCTTTTCAGATCAAAGCAAATAACTAGACAAAGCGGTCTAATTCTTATGGTGTGTGAGGGCTGCTTCTCAGTGAACTAGGGCTTTTTACAGGAATAATAATCTATTCTCCCACAATCACAAAGGCTAATGTCAAAAGCTAAGCTTCTATCCACCACTATTCCACCCAAAACACTACCTCTAAGGCAGGGCATCTGAACCCACTTTTCTGTATAGGGAACCACAGAACAACAATAACAAAAAAAGCAACCACACAAAGGCTGACAATTTTGGACTCTACCGCGAGAAAATATGAAGGACGACAGCTAACCTTACAGTAAAGCTCTCTCTCACACACAAACATTTTAACCGTTTTCAGTCCCTCACTCTTAAATATAAATGAGATGTCAAAAATCAGAGAATCAGAACCATGAAACAGACAACAAAATCAATAGATGAATAAACAACATACAGCGCAGAAGAAAATATTAAAATAACTACAATTAATATTCTCAAAAAGATGAAAGTCAATGCATACATAAAACAAGAATAAGATACTATTATGAAGGAACAATCAGAGAACAAGAAAATAAGTCTTAGAATGTATATAATAAGAAATATTATTAAAGTTCAATAGAAATTTGTAAATTAAAGTTGGGGAAATTCCCCAGAAGGTAAAATAAAATTTAAAAAAACCTAAAGGACTAATAAACAGAATATTAGCTGATGGTCCAATCCCAGTTCATGTCAGTTCTAAAAAGGAGGGGAAAATGGGAATAAAATGATAAACTATCAATTAAATACTGAGATTAAAAACACTCAAACTCAAATTTCTTTTGATATTCTCTAACTCCACAACAACAATGAACACAGAAGACTTCTGTGCCCAAACGTGTAGGGATTTCTCCCCATCAACAAGCAAGCAAGCAACCCACAATGGACACCAGCTGGGTGTCCTCTAATTCAATTATGACACTGTCCACCTGGAGATAGCGTCAGCCCTCACGGGTTGAGGGCTCAGTCTCCAAGACTGCCCCGCACTTGCCACCAGTCACAAGTCCAGGCCCTCAGCCAGCTTCAAGTTAGGAGTCCCACAACCCCCTATTTGTGTTTGGTTAATGTGCTAGAACATCTCACAGAACTCAGTGAAACTTACCTTTACTGGTTTATTATAAAGGATATTGCAAAATATCCAGATAAAGTGATGCACAGGGCAAGGCCTGTGGGAGGAAGTGGAGCTTCCGAGCCCTCCCTGGCACCTGCCTCCGGGGCCCTGCTCATCCTCACCTGTCCGGAAGCTCTCTGAACCCAATCCTTTTGGGTTTTTATGGAAACTTCACTATGTGGGTATGATTGATTAAACCATTGGCCATTGGTGATCAGCTTAATCTTCAGTCTCTTTCTGCTCCCCAGTGGTTGGGGGTGGGGCTAAAAGTCTCAACCCCTTGATCCTGCCTTGATCTTTCTGGTCACTGGCCCCATCCTAAACCTACCTAGGGACTGCCAGCCATCAGTCAGCTCATTAGCATACAAAACACATTTCTTGGGAGATTCTAAGGATTTGGGGAGTTGTATGCCAGGAAACAGGGTCACAGACCAAATATATGTTTTATAGTATCACAAATAATGTTTAAAAATTCAGATATAGAATTTCTGGGAAAAAATTTCAGAAAAAGTAAGTACCTGTGAGAGTTAATTTTAGGTGTCAACTTGATTGGATTACTGATGCCCAGATAGCTGGGAAAGCATTCCTTCTGAGTGTGTTTGTGAGGGTGTTTCTGAAAGAAATTGGCATTTGAATCAGTGAATGGAGAAAGGATGATCCCCATCACCTGATGTGGGCAGGCACCATCCATTCTGCTGAGGGCCCAGATAGAACAAAAAGGCAGAGGAAAAGCAAATTCTCTCTCTCTCTCTCCTGAAGCTCCTTTTCTTACAGCTGAACATTAGAATGCCAGGTTCTCTGGCCTGTGGACTCCAGGACTTGCACCATCCCCTCTCTGCACCCCCCAAACCAGCCGCAGTTTCTCAAGCCTGCGGCCTTGGACTGAGAGTAACATCATCAGCTTCCCTGGGTCTAAGGCCTTCAGGCTTGGACTGAGCCATGCTCCGGGCCTCCCCAGTCCTCCAGCTTGCAGGCAGCTCATCATGGGACTTTTCAGCCTCCATAATCCTGTGAACCAGTTCTCATACACCTCTCTCTCTGTCTGTCTGTCCAGTTCTCATATACCTCTCTGTCTGTCTGTCTGTCTGTCTATCTATCTATCTATCACCTATCCACCCATCCCCTGTTGGGTCTTCCTCTCTGGAGAACCCTGAGTTATACAGTACCCAAGACAGAAAAAAGCTCCTAAAATGCTCAAGAAAATGAATGAGAAAAAAACATTTCTATCCACATTGTAATAAAATTTTGGAACACCAGGAATTAAGAAAAGTTCCCAAAGCCTCCAGAGAGAAGAAAAACAGGACAATGGATAATTATTCAGAATGATATAGGACTCACAACAGGCAAAACCAAAAGACAATGGAATTATGCCTTCAGAATCCTGAGGGATAATAATTTTCCACCCTACAATGGAACATAACAAAAGATGACGAAAGCCTGGGATTGGCACAAAGGACGTCCAACACTTCAGGGTGAAGAAAGGTGTCCAGATGAAGGCATCCAGGGGGGCACTCCAAGTGCACAGGAAGCAGGACAGGCTTAAAAGAGGGAAGGATAATCCGCATGCAGAACTCATGTGTAAAGAACTCTGTGGAGACATATTTTACAAACTTTTGGAGGCTGAAGGAAGATTTAGTGATGCATTCCAAGAACATTGGGAAAAAAGTGCCCATTTTTTAGTCCAAGGAAAAACAGAGTTTGATGAGAAAGGATGTTATATTACACTTGGGCTATATATTATAGTACAGCCCAAGAGTGAACCATATTTACGTGGTCAGAAGAAAAAGCCTTTATTTGTGTTTATCCAGTTTAGATGTAGTTACCAGGAGGGGTGTGAAAAGGGGCATGACTAACCCACAGTCCCCAGCAATCCTTATAAGAAGACAAATTGTTTGTGTCTAAAGTTGGATCAGAAGAGCAGGATATGCAGATTATTCTGAACTACAGGCATAAATATCAGAATAAATAGCTGAAAAGGCTGAAAGTGGTTGCCACTGGGAAATAGGATTAAGAAAATTATAATATTCTTGTTGTTGTTATGCTTTAAAATATTTACAAATAATATAGGGTAGGAATAACAAGTTAAATGAGCACAAAGGAAAATTCAGAAAATGTAAAGATATTTTTGAAAGTGCTGTTGCACCACCTTCTTTGATGGGTGCATGGGTGTCAAATCCTAACAAAGACTTTGTCACAGCCCCTGGAGAGGCAGATCAACAAGTAGAAGGGAAAACCTTTACTTACCTTAAACAAAAATAAAAGTAACCTTTGCCCACCCACCACCACCAAAGGAAAGGGGAGAAAGACAAGAAGTCACCTGAGCATTTGCCACAGAATATCTATCGCTTTATGAAACGAAAAACCACATGTGCCTTGGATGTAGCCACAAAGTCCTACAACTAGAGACAAGTCCTGTGAACTCTGTGTTTGAAAACAGAGATAAGTTAGGGAGTCAGTGTTATGAAACAGTTGGTCACACGACTTCTCTCAGTATTAATGCATGTTATACATTAGGCTTCATTGTCCAGAGAGTATGTATGCAGGGTGTGTGGAAGACCTAATATGAAATGGACACTGATCTAATTCTTAAAAGAAAAATCACATCATGTGATTTTTTTCACAGGTGTATTTTCACATTTGGAAAGAGAATCTTGCCAGCATTTATTTGGAGACTTTTTCATCAACTGCTTCTCTTGGTCACAATTCTATCACGAGTTTCCTCAAGCTCTGTTCTTATAGAGAAAGGCTCCTTTGTTTGTCCAGGAGCCTTCATTTGGCACCCACCACGTGCTAGGCCATGTGTATTTCATTGGAGACAGTGGTAGGGACGAATCTGTAGAGTCCATGGACTAGGAGAGAGATGCAAAGAGAGCTCTCAATAGATGCTATGGAGGAGTACTCAAAGACTAACCGTGGGAGTGTGGGGCCAGGGCTCAGAAAAGGCTTCCTGGGGTATTGATAACTGCATCTTGAGGACGGCAAGCAGGGTGGCTGCCCAGGCAAAGGCCCAGAGCATTAAGATAACAGGGAACCTTTTATAGGCAGGTACGAGTCAGGCAGCTCCTCAGGATGCTGGGCTGGAGCGGCGAGAGCTGGGGCTTGGTTCAGGTAAGGAAGCATCTCATCCATCCTGGTGGGCGTCAGGCTCTTCTCTTGGAGAAGAGGCAAGTGGGAGTTGTTACAGTATTTAATAAAAGGAGTGACCTGGAGGCGGGGGCGACAGGAGAGAGCCCCCTAGGTTAGGGCTGTAGCAGTCATCGGAGAAATGTGAGGTGGGGAGGGTGGGCTCCCTGGGAGCATTCAGGTGCTGGAATTGTGAGATGTTGTGACTTACCCCTTGAGTTGGATGAGGAGGAATCTAGGATTAATTCATACTTTCTAGGATGGGGAGTAAATTTAGAATACTATATCCAAGATAACATAATTGGGAAATGCTATTTTTTATTCTTAAAAAAAAGTTTGCCCATTTCCACATAATCAGAATTCAAGGCAGCTGCCCTATGATCACATTACGGGAGATCATCCACTGGAGAAATGGTCTCTGTCATCCACAGCTGATCCCATGCCTGAAACACGATCACCCCAGCCCTCACACTTTTAAACAGAAGCTGGTAAGACACAGAAGATACATGGATTAAGCACAGCCACCTTCCACCCTCTAAAGTTAAAACCTACACTTTATCTGAATCTGCTTTCAATTATGTTCAGACATAATTTAAGGGTATTAGAACATGCAGTCAAAAAAATCTCTTGAAAATTACTCTTTCAAAGCTTATATATGTCAATTTTACATTCCATGTTGGCCATTATAGAACTCAGTTCCAAATTTTCACTCTTTGAAGACCAATCTAAATGATTCCCTGGTGCAGAAATCATTCTGACAAGTATAGCTCTTCAGAGCCTTAAAAAGAATAAAATGTTTTATCACTGCATTCATATTTAATTCATGTTCATAGCACCCCTTTCACAAGGCATGCTGGAGCTCAAAGGATGGAGCCTACCACTACTCTTCCTTCAGGACATTAAGGAGCTGTGGACTCCCTGCCACCCCTCGTGGTGCTGTCAGCTCTTCACAGCTCCCATTAGAGGGAAGGGAGGAACTGAGCTTTCTGAGCATCCGCTTTGGGTACAACCTTGTGCTTTCTCTCCCTTATCTCTCTCTTTTTTGTTGTTTTGTTTTGCTTTGTTTTTTGTTTGTTTTGTTTTGGAGACAAAGTCTGGCTCTGTTGCTCAGGCTGGAGTGCAGTGGCATGATCTCAGCTCACTGCATCCTCCTCCTTCCAGGTTTGAGTGATTCTCCTGCTTCAGCTTCCTGAGTAGCTGGGATTATAGGCGCACACCACCATGACTGGCTAATTTTTGTATTTTTAGTAGAGATGGGGTTTCACCATATTGGCCAGGCTGGTCTCAAACTCCTGACCTCGTGACCCACCTGCCTCGGGCTCCCAAAGTGCTAGGATTACAGGCTTGAGCCACTGCGCCTGGCCTCCCTTATCTCCTTTAACTCTCACAAGAACCCTCAAGTCAGTGCTAAAAATTTGACATTATTTGCCCTAGCTCATACAACCAGCATGCTTTGAGACATGGTCTGTCTGATCCATCCAAATGATCAGCCTTAAATATCTACACTAAGTACTGGATAGTGGAGCTACTTTGAAAGATCTGCTAAACAAATGAGGACTGGGCACAGAATTCCCCTCGCTGCTTATGAGAACAGACTGCTTTCAAGCACATAAGAACAGCCACTTAGGAAATTAGCCCTCATATGTTCATTCAAAGAAGCTCTACCTGGCCACACTGGCTCTTATTCTCAAAGCTATTAATGAGTTCTGCTTGATTAAGATCAGTTCCTAGTTCCTTTAATTAAGCAGGAACACACACACATATGCCATATATCAATCCCATCTATCAAAACTAGTGAAATTTACCATGATAGAAAAGAGGCATCACTGCCTACATAAGCATTTCTCTTTACTATAGCTAAAAACACATGTTTGCTCATCAGTATAATTAGATGTTAGAATAAAAGTTTTCAGAAGAGACTACTGATGTCCCTTTGTGTGGTGTCTAAAAGTCCCATATTATCATTCAAGGTCATAACTGTTCTCATTGCACTTTGTAAAGCTGACTCTAACGTGGGCAACACCTTAATGCACTCCTGGAAATTTGTATCTTATTTTTTTAGTCAATGGAGGACCAGCCCTGTAAGATTTGGAAGTGCAACACAGAAGCTCCAGGAAGGATCCCTAGCTTCAGGGGAATTTTGATTCTCTCAGAGAGAATATTGTTCTTTCATAATATCATCTGCTTTGGAAAGAGTATTCAATTCCACAATGCCAACAATGATCGCATAGTACCTCTGTGGAGGGCAAGACCAACATGAGCAGCAGAAGCCCTGGAGGGCTTCCTGGAGGAGGTGACTTTAGCGACACCTTCAAAACCATGACAACGTGCACCTGGGTCTTTCTGAGGAGGACAGTGAACACTAGGAGAGGAGGGAAGTGAAAGGAGAAGCCGGGCATGGGTGGGACTAGGCCAGAGCCCAGTGTGGTGACCACAGGGCCTCAGCAGTGCTAGGTAGACAGTGGGGTGTCACACTGCAGAGCCCCCAGAAGCCAAACAGAGGAGGCTAACTTTGAACAGAGCGGAGAGTCACCATGGTGGTCATCTTGAACAGGAGGGTGTTTCTAAAAAAGGGAGGTTTGGGGGATTGCCCTGACAGAAAATTGGAGATGGGGGAGGTTCTTTTAATATGGTGAGGACAAGGAGTGGCTGGAACTGAAGCATGTCTAGGACAAGGGCTGTTTTGTCTCTTGCACAAATCCTGTGTTTAGTACCTGCAGTCTGCTCGTTAATAAAGTGTATGCTTAAGTTAATGACATTCATTTTTAACCCTGGTCTCAGGCCAATCATGTTCACAGCCAAGGCCATTTCCTAACATTCGTAACTCCCTAAAGAATAAAATGAAGGAAGTGTAAGATCATTCTTTCTGATGCCTATGGACAAGCTCAGTGATGTGAAATTCGCTTTCCCTTTGGTGGTGGGAGATAAACAGCAAAGCATTTAATTACAGAGAGACCTTAAGAATCAGGAGCCATGGTGCTACATGATAATCTCTTTGATTCATAAGTAAAATATTCTTGATTTTTCTGCAATTATAAAATTCAAAAAGTCCAAAGAACTTCAAATGTTTAATCCTCTGTGAGAACTGTTTTACCCACTAAAGTGTGTGGGTCTTGTTGAACTGTGAAATCTGAAAAGTGCATACCGTAAGATGAACCTAGACATTTACACCAACAAAAATGATTTATCATGTTGAAGTTAACAGCCCAATTGCATTTGCAGTTTGTAACAATTTGCTCTTCATCTTTGCACATGACAAATTCAATTAACTTGTCACAAATTGCCTAATCAAGAAAAACTTCATTGTCATAAAAACTAATAAAAAGCTCTCCCAGAGAAATTCATATTTGGATTTTAGAAAGCAAATTAAATACTTGGAAGCAGAGCAACTAGCCTTTTGTCAGTATAAAAACATGTCAGTAGGAGCCTGTTTCAAAGGTAGAAATGCATAAAACAGAAAAAAAGGAAAGGGAAATTCATAGCTCAGGATTGAGCCATAAGTAATCCACAGGCTGCCTCACCAGCGCCTTGGGCAATGGCTACAGGAAGTCACTCTGTGACTCTGAAATGGGGGTGTAACACCACACAGGAGTGGGAGTCTCCATTAATAATACATAACTGATTAGAAAAGGCATGTGGAAGTGGAGAACCCGAACATTCATAGGTATTAATTCAGGACACATGTTTAAAAAATGAATCTATTATTTAAAAACATCTTAACTTCTCAATAGGCTGGTAGAAAAAAAGTAGTATTTTCTAATAGAAAGCCAGCTGTATGTTAAGATGGAAGGATGATCATATTCACTTTTCTCTATAGTTTAGGGAAAAAAATCTCAATAATAGAATAAAACTATAAATCTAAAGCAGAAAAAAACTTAAAAAATCACAAATATGTGGAAATAAACAACATACTCTTAAACAACCAACAGGTCCTAGAAAAACAATATCGTAAGAGAAATTAGAAAATATCTTGCGGTAAATGAAAATTAAAAGACCACATAAAAAAAATTATAGAACAGAATAAAAGCAATGCTGAGAAGGAAATTTAGAGATGTAAATGCTTACATTAAAAAGAAGAAAGATGACACATCAATAATCTAAGTTTACACTCTAAGGAACTGGAAAAAGAAAAATGAACTAACCCCAAAGCTAGCAAAGGAAGAAAATAATAAAGATTAGAGCACAGATAAATGGAATAAGAAATAGGAAAAAAAATCAACAAAATAAGAGTTGATTCTTTGAAAAAAATCAACAAAATTGATAAATTTTTACCTATACTGACTAATAAATGAAGAAAATGCATGTAACTAAACTCAGCACCAAAAGATGAAAGAGACATTACAACCAATTTTAATGAAATAAAAAGGATTACAAGAAAATACTAAAAAAAATGCACACCAATAAATAGAAAACCCAGATGAAATAGAAAACTTCTGGAAACGTACAACCTTTCAAAGTTGAATCAGGAAGAAAAAGAAAATAAGCCACAAAAAAAAAAAAAAAAAAAAAAAAAAAAACTGTAACTACTGGGAAGATTGAATCAGTAATCATAAACCTCCAAACAAGAAAAAGCCCAGGAACAGATGGCTTCACAGGAGAATTCTCTTCAATAAATTGTGCTCTGAAAACTGGATAATCACAGGCAGAATAATAAAACTAGACCCCTATCTTTCACCTTATACAACAAACAACTCAAATGGATTAAACATTTAAATGTAAGACCTGAAACTATGAAACTACTAGAAGAAAATATAGGGGAAATGCTACATGACATTGGTCTGGGGAAGGATTTTTTTGGATAAAATTTCAGAAGCACAGGCAATAAAAGCAAAAATAGACAAATTGGATTACATCAAACTAAAAAGATTCTGTACAACAAAGGAAACAATTAGCAGAGTTAAGACACAGCCTACAGAATGGAAGAAAATATTTGCAAATTATACATCTGACAAGGGGTTAATATCCAGAATTTATAAGAAACTTGAACTACTCAATATCAAAAATATAAATAATCCAACTTAAAATTGGTCAAAAGACCTGAATATACATTTCTCAAAAGAAGACATGAAAATGGCCAAATATATATTTTTAAAATGCTCAACATCTCTAATCATCAGGGAAATGAAAAATCAAAACCACAGTAAGACATCACCTTACCCCAATTATCAAAAAGACGAAAAATAACAAACACTGGTGAGGATGTGGAGAAAGGAGAACCGCTGATGAGGTAGAAATGTAAATTAGTACAGGTATAACAGAAAACAGTATGGCTGTTCCTCAAAAAAATAAAAATAGAACTGCATTTTACCGTGTAAGTATGTATAACAATTACATGTCCATCAAAAATAAAACTTTAAAAAAAATTAAAGAAGAATTAATACCAATTATCCTCAGATGCTTCAAAATATTGAAGACGAGGGAACACTTCCAAACTCATTATATGAGGTTGGGTTTATCCTGACACCAACACCAAACAAAGACACTCTAAGAAGACAAAACTACAAACCAATATCTTTTTGACTACTGATACAAGAATCCTGAATGAAATGCTATCAAACAGAATTGAGCAACACATTAAAAGGACCATAGAGCATGAAAAAGTATGGTTTGTTCCTGAAAAACAAGGATAGTTTGACATAAAAAAATCAATCAGTGCAATAAACCAAATTAACAGAATGAAGAAAAAAAAGCACATGATCATCTCAATTGATGCAGAAAAAGTATATGACAAACTTCAACGCCCTTTTGTGAAAAGAAGCACTCAAAGACTCAGAACAGAAGATAACGAATGCACCACAATAAAAGCCATGTATAAAAACCCGCTGGCAACATCACATTCAATAGTGAATGACTGAAAGCTTTTCCTCTAAAATCACGGACAGGACAAGAATGCCCACTTTACCACTTCTATTGAATGTAGTATTGGAATTTCTAGCCAGAGTAATTAGGAAAGAAAAGAAAATTAAAAGGCATACAAATTGGAAAGGAAGATGTAAAATTATCTCTTTTCACAGACGTGATTTTATATGTAGAAAAGCCTAAAGATTTCACACCAAAAAAAATAATAACAAAGAAAAAAACCTGTTAGGACTAACAAATGAAGTAAGTAAAGTTACAGGACAGTATACAAAGTCAACACCCCAAATCAGTTATATTTTCACGTAACAAAGAACAATCTGTAAAGAAAATTAAGAAACAATTCCATTTACAATAGTACCAAAAAGAATAAGACACTCAAATAAACTGAACCAATGGACAACAGACGTGTATGCTGAAAGAAATTAAGGAAGATACCAAAAAATGGAAAGATTCTGTGTTTACAGGTCGAAAGATCTAATATTGTTAAGATGTCAATACTACCCAAAGTGATCTATAGATTTAATGTAATCTCTATTAAAATTCCAATGATATTTTTGCAGACATTGAAAAGAAAATCCTAGAATTAATATAGAAATTCAAAAGACTCCAAATATCCAAAATAGTCTTGAAGAAGAACAAAGTTGGGGGTCTCATAGTTTCTGATTTCAAAACTTACTACAAAGTTACAGTAATCAAAAAAGTATGGTAATTATATAAAGACAGATATCTAGACCAGTGGAACAAAGAGCCCAGAAATAAAGCCACACAAATATTGTCAAATGATTTTTGACAAAGGTTCCAAGACCATTAAATGGAGAATGGACAGTCTTTCCACAAGGGTGTTGAAAAAACTGGATATCCAGAAGCAAAAGAATGAAGTTGGGACTTTATCTTACACCACATACAAAAATTGATTCAAATTTTAACAAAGACCTACATATACCAGCTAAAACTTAACTGTTAGATGAAAACCAAGGGGAAAAGCTTCATGTCATTAAATTTGGCAATTATTTCTTGAATATGACACAAGAACACAAGCAACAAAAGAAAAAAATAGATAAACTGGACTACATCAAAATCAACTTTTATGCATCAAAAGTCCCTATCAACAAAGTGAAAAGACAACATATAGCATGTGAGACAATATTTACATATTATTACATATCTGATAATGGGTTAATGTCCAGAATATATAAAGAACTACAACAGAGCAACTATTTAAACAACAACAACAACAACCTGATTTAAACTGGACAAACGACTTGAATAGGTATTTCTCCAAAGAAGATATAGAAATGGCCAATAAACACATGTAAGGTTGTGCAGTATCAGTAGTTATTAGGAAAATGCAAATCAAAACTACAATGAGACACCACTTCACACCCATTAGCATGGCTGTTATGAAAAAAAAAAAAACAAAACAGAAACTAACAAGTGTTGGCGAGGATGTGGAGAAATTGGCATTTCTTTGCACTGCTGGTAACAATGTAAAATGGCATAGCCACTATGGAAAACAGTATGGGAGTTCCTCAGAAAAATATAAATTATCATATGACCGCAATTTTACTTGCAGGTGTACACCCAAAAGAATTGAAAGCAGGGACTCAGGCAGATATTTGTGTACACATAGTAGCATTATTCACAATAACCAGAAGGTAGAAGCAACACAGGTGTCCATCTAAGATTGAATGGTTAAATAAAATATGGCATATACACATAATGAATATTATTCATCTTTAAAAAGGAAGGAAATGCTAAGACATGAATGAACCTTGAAGACATTAATGCTAAATGTAATTAAACAGTAGCAAAAGGACAGATGCTGTATGATTCCACTATATAAAGTACCTTGAGTAATCAGATTCATAGAGACAGAAAGTAGAATGTGGTTGCCAGGGACCAGGGAATGCAAGGACTGGGGAGTCACTGTTTAAAGGAGGTAAAATTTCAGTTTTAGAAGATGAAAATTTCTTTGGCTGAACAGTGGTGATAATAGCACAACAATCTGAATGTTCTTAATGACACTGAACTATACCCTCAAAATGATACATTTTATATTATATGCATACCATACATGTTCTATGTTATGTATATTTTTACCCTCCCCAAATTTCCCAAACCTCCAATATTGACTTAAATTATTTTTAGTTTTATCTAAATATGTGAGAACTTAAAAGTAGATATAAATTCCATATCTTCTAATTCTCACATCACTGTAAATTACATTTTATAAATAAAATTCAAAACTGAAAATCAATTAAAAATATCCAATTGACCTCATTGAAATAATGAGACACACAGTATCGTTCTGCTGGCAGGTAACTGCAGCCTGCAATAGGAATAGTAGGAGAACCCCAGAAATTGTCACTTGTCTAGAGCCAGAGGGCTCTGCGAATAAGTCATTTCAGTTCTGGACTCGGCTTTCTATCTCTGCCTTCTTCCCATGGTTGTGGAGAAGTTCTAACAAAACAACTGTGTCAAATTGTTCTGCTTTACAAATGCTCAGTGTTGCACTTATTTCATCAATGCCCCATCCAAATATATAAAATATCAGCAACGTGTCAATGCAAGTGACAACATACTCTGTAAAACATTCACACACTAGAAGGGAAGCCATGCTGGCTGCAGCTCAACCTCAGGATTATGGGCTTCAAGGCGTGGGCAGATGACTCGCTCAATGGATCTCCCCAAAACTAAGCCTTCTGGACAATTATTTTAAATAATTCCGGTACCTGAGATAAGTCTTAAAGCACTGACTCATGGGTTGATCATGCATGAAGGGAGACGTGTGTGGTGAATCTGTGGCATCCAGCACCCTCCACAAGGTAGAGCGACACACAACACACAGCACCACAGCAGCCACAAGCTCTCCTCCACCAGATATGGACGCCAAGCACTATTCGCAATAACAAACCACATTTTATCTTTTTTGTAGAGACAGGGTCTCACTATGTTGCCCAGGCTGATTTTGAATTCCTGGCCTCAAGCCATGCTCCCTCCTGGGCCTCCCAAAATGCTGGGATTACAGGCGTGAGCCACCATCCCTGGCCTCAAACCACATGTTAAAGGATGAAAGGTTTCCCTTTATATGTCATGAGATGTGTCCATTTTATCGCCTTCCATACCCAGGTCACATTTCCTGCTTCTCACTTTGTAATCTCTTATCTACTGAGGAGACGCTTTATCACCAGCACCCACGTGGCTGGCTCACAGGACAGAGCAGCTGTCCAGGCTCATCTCCACCCTCCACACCTACCAGTGGGGGGTCTCTATTCTTACTGCCGACTGTGTGCTGTCCAAATCTGCCAAGGCCAAAGGCTATTTTTGTTGTAAACACGTGTATTGTTATTTAAAATATAGATGAAGTATGAGTTTTGTTTTTTAAAGAATGATTATTGCTTTGAATGCTAAGTTGATGACTTGGGGAAAAAGGGAATAATGCGGTCACCAAAACAAACACTGCTTAAGCACGTGTTGGCCATGCAGGTATAAAGGTGTGGGGGCTGGCATTCTGTTCGTTGGTATCTTTAAGTACTCCCTCCACCGTGAAGTGCAGAAATTAGAATTCACAGAAGAAGCTGTGCTTTCTGCCTAAAAGCAGACATGATTTCCAAGGAGACCCCAGAGATTTTCCACTTTCCCCAAGTGGAACCCTGTCCACATTAAACGGCTCCCACCCCCCACCCCTCAGTACCTGGCAACCACCATTCTACTTTCTGTCTCTATGAATTTGACCACTCTAAGTATTTCATAAAAGTAGAATCATACAGAATTTGTCTTTCTGACTGGCTTATTTTACTTAGCATAATGTCCTCAAGGTTCATGCATATTATAGCACATGTAAGAATTTCCTTTTTTGGGCTGAATCATATTCCATTCTATATATCTATCATATTTTATCTATTCATCCCATCAGTGAGCCCTTGGGTTGCATCCAAGTTTTAATTACTGTGAACAATGCTGCTAGGAAAACTGGTATACACAGATGTGTTCAGGACCCTGTTTTTAACTCTTTTGTATATACACTTAGAAGTGGAATTGCTGAAACCACTTGATTTTTAGGATCATCTTTTTCTTTTAATGCCCTGCCAAATGCAATCAATACCCAGCAATGTATACTATTAAAAATCTATTTTCCAATCTCTCCGCTGGCCATGAGGTCTGTAGGTGCCTGACCTGCCTTCCAAGTTATTGCCCCTGAGGCCGAATGCTACCTCACTACATGCCAGGGTCACCATGTCCTCCACCTACTCAGGGCTCCATCACCATCGCTGTCACCTGAAGCCAATGCTGCATATTTCAGGTTTTGGGTCATTATGCCATCCATCCCTAGCACCTGTCTCGAATCCATCATGGCGGGCTAAACTAATCTATGGCAAAAGGCGGTGCTGCAAGTTCAGAGGCCTCAAACAACAGCATTATTGCCCAGTGGCTCAGTGCTATTCCATCCTCACCATGGATTTGCTCCACTTTGGGGAGATGACTCACCACAGCAGAGGGCAGGGGAGCTCGGAAAGGCCTCGCCCCAGCATTCAATGCTCAGGCCTGGAAGTGACACCCATCGCTTCCATGGAAAACCCATGGCCTCCCCCAGCCAGTTGGCCATGGCGCACCACAGTGCAGCCACAGCCACAGCCAGGAAGTGCCCTCCTGAAGATGGTCAGAAGTCAGAGGCCTGGAAGCACTCTGAGAACAGTACTGATGCTACTGTCGGTGGGAAAGATTGAGGACCGAATGCAAGTCAAATGTTACGGTGGATTCACCAAGTCAGACAAGACCTAATCGCGAGTCCCTCCCCTGCCTACATGCTGGGTAGCTTTGACTAAGTTACTGAGCCTCTCCGTGCCCCAGTTTCTTATCTGTAAATTAAGGTGATAATATGATTTATCTTTAGGATATTTGTGGGGATCCAATAAGACAATATATAAAGTGTTTAGTAAAGAAAGTGTAAAATAAAGAAGCCCTGTTCTCTCAACTTGCTACTCACTGGTTTTATGTCATGCCGCTGGTTGCTGTAAGCACGTGAGATTGTGTCTCTCCAATCTCCCCGTGGATTTAGGCTAAGGGAAGACACATTTAATTGCGCTGTGATCTGCAATCACTGTGTCTAATCATCATCTCTGCTGAGTTGCATGCATAAGGCAGTTCTTCCTTTTTACTGGAACATGCCATTTGGAAGCTCCTAATAGATCATATTATCTGCCCTCATTCTATTAAGAGGCATTTGGCTGCAAAGTTGAAGATGGTGTTTCATTTGGTGTTTGCAATAGTCCCAAGCAGACTTGAGGACGAGTGCCACAGTGCACACAACCCAGCCTTGCGGCAGACAGCGGCCAGTTGCTATGTGGCGCATGGCTGCTGTCTCTGTTTCCCTCTGAGAGATACTCTTCCTTTCAGGGACACAGCGCTCCCGCAAAGAATACTAATATCTAACACCTAATGCTAATATCGAACAAAGTTAATAGCTAATGTCTAACAATGCTAATATCTTATTTTTTCCTTTATCTTTGGTCAACACATAAAATTGTACATGTTTATGGAATACAGAGTGATACTTCAATATACGTATATAATATGTAATTATCAAATCCTGGTAAGTAGCATAACCATCACCTCAAATACTTATCAGTTGTGTTGTGAACAGTCAAAATTCTCTTTTAGCTTCTTGAAAATATGCAATAAATTACTGCTAACAATACTTGCCCTGCAGCACTCATTCCTATTTGGCTATAACTTTGTGCGCATTAACAAACCTCTCCCCACCCTCTCCTCCTCCCTTCCCTTCTCAGCCTCTAATAACCTCTATTCTCCTCTCTGCTTCCGAAAGCTCAAGTTTTTTCTTTAGCTCCCACATATAAGTGAGACCATGCAATATTTATCTTTCTGTGACAACACTATTTCTTTACCTATCTTTGAATTACCTTCCACTGTACAACAGTGGCTATAAAAAACAGCGATACATTTCATTTGAAATATTTCTTTTTTTTACTAATAAAAAGTCTTTCGGCATATCATCACACTACATCTCTTTGGTTTGAGAAATATAATTAAATTAAAATGTTTTGGAAATGCAACTGGCTGCTGTCATTAAAAGCCAAAGTCTGGTGAACATCTAGGGAGAAATAATCCCACACAGCAGTAAGCAAGCAGGAAGAATAGTACCAGAGTGCGCTGAGGTTTTGAAGAAATCAGTAGCCATAATTAGAGTGAATGTAATTATAACACATCAAACAGGTAGTCTCAGCAGCACTGCTGAAAAAGAAAAAGGTTGGGCAAGCTTTCAAAGTCTATTTTTCAAAGGAACCAGAACAGCTCCTCCAGGGTTTTATAAGCAGAGATAACCTTTATGGGGCCTTGCCTGAGGCAACAAGCTGGTGCCTGGGGTGAGCTGGCTCAAGCACCCACAGCTGTTGCCCCCAGGGTCTACTGGGCCTTCCCCCTACTCCCCTGCTTCCCTGGTAGAGCTGTTATCTAAAGCCAAGAGGCGCTGAGTCAGGCTCTGAAAGACTGAGGCATTACCAGGAAGCCGTGATGATTAATCAATGATAACAGGACTTCAGCAATGACCCATTGTCAAGACTCTGTCATGGGCATCATCGTCTCTCCCTCCATTTCCCCGGATCACACTGTAAATTAGGGCAAGGACATCTGCCTTACCTGCATGGAAAAAAGGCTCTGCTCCAGATGCTAGGAGGAGAGGTGGTTTGGTCATGCAGCCTGGACAGAGAGCCCAGCAGCAGAGCCACTGGCCTTCATTTCCCACCTGTGAAGTGAGTGTAATCAGACCTCACAGGGCTGCCCTGAAGATCCTAGAAGATTAGGTACAGCAGAACTAGATACAATGTGGTAAACGGAATTTCTTACCACTGTTGTTCCAATGATCCCCTTCCACAAGTTATATTTATTGGCTAACACTATGGCTTTACAATATCCAGAAGTGTCTATTTCGGTAGAAATCATGGACATTGCAATTTGTCCCCAGGCTCTAAGAAGATATCCACACAGACCATTCTTCTGTGATCTTAACATGAGTTAAACTGCTGAGGGTTGACCTCCTCACCGCTGCCCTCCAAACACCCCTCTACCAATCTGGAATTTAATTCAGCCCACTAAAGCGTAGGCTTCCAAGGCAGGGCTGAGTCAGCAGGGAAGGCTCCGGCCGCCTGGGTGTCCAGAAAATGTCTAGTGAGTGGTGAATGGCCCTTCCCAGAACAGGCCCAAAAGCCAGCTTCCTTAACCCCTTGAGTGACCTCAGGGACTGCTGTGCCTCCACAGTGGCCTCGGCTTCCCCTTTTGCTTGCCTCCCTGGTTCGAGTCCTGCTGTACACAGCAGCAATGCCTCCATTATCATCCTCGTGTGTGTATTTCACCCCACTCAGCACCAAGCGTTTGAGAGCAGGGGCTGGAATGGGAGTCATTTTTATCACTCCCACTGTGCTAATCACTCGGGACACCACTGGGACTGTGTGTCATACGCACCCATCATTTTCCGATGGGCTAGAACAAAGAATACGGGCTGAGATGTCTATGCCAGTCCATTTGTGCTGCTATGGCTGATTAACTTATAAACAACAGAAATGTATTGCTCACAGTTCTAGAGACTGGGAAGTCTAAGATCAAGGCTCCAGCAGATGAGGTGTCTGGCGAAGGCCTGTTCCTCATAGACAGTGCCTGCTGTGTCCTCTCATGCTGGAAGGAGTGAGTGAGTTCCCACAGGCCTCTTTTATAAGCACACTAATCCCATTCATAATGGCTCCAACCTCAGGACCTAATCACCTCCCAAAGGCCCCACTTCCTAGCACTATCATCTTGGGGGTTACGTTTCTATATACTAATTTTGCAGGGACACAGACATTCAGACCATAACAATGTCCAAGAGTCAAAAAGATATCTGATACCTACAAGAATGAGAACTCATCTATTTCTTTTCACTAACATATTGACACACCTATTTTACCCATCAGCATATTCCAACCTTCAATTAAAGTTTCACTGACAAAGAGAAAGAGTGATTTCACAGATGTCCTATTAGGCAAAATCAGCATGTGAGGGTAATACGCTTCTTAGAAAAAGATGGAAAGGGAGAGGGAAAAAGGGGATCCCCTGAGCTCCACACCATCACTGCCAGCCAGGCCCATCTTTGCCCTTCATCTTACTAGAGGTGGGCCAGATTGGCTTTGGGGACCACCCTAACCTTCCTGAAACAATTTCCCGGCTTGCTTTCCATGCTAAACACAGCCTCTTTTCCAAATACCAAAATGAGCTACACGGGGAAGTGAGTGAAGCTCTCTGGGTGAAGGGGGTCTCCGCTGCTTTACTAAGCTTCAAGTGCAATCGTCACCTAATTCTCTACTTTGTGGAGCATGAGGCAGTAGCTAAAGTCGTACCAAGGCATCTACTGACACCATTGGTGTAAGGCTTTCAACTGGTGGCCATGGAGCCAGCCCAGCCTTGCGAGCAGTGCAGTGACCTTCTCCAGGGCACAGGCTGTCTGCACCTCCATTCTGTAGGAGAGGAGTTTCCCTGAAATCATGTTGCATTGCTTTTCTCTCTCAATTGCTTTTATTTTTTACCAAGTGCAAAGCAGAGTCATAGGGATAATTCCTCCACACATGGAATAATCTGTGGCAGACTGGTTAACAACAGTGCAGATGCTGGGTTTGAACCCACTTCTAGCTGTGGGAACCTGAACAAGTTATTTCATGTTTCTTTGCTTCACTTTCTTCAACTGTCAAAGAAGATAATAATAGCTTCTATCACAGGGTTGGTCTGATAATCCCATGGCACACTGCATATACAACAGTACAGTGTTGAGCACATAAATGTTAGTATCTATATTATTTGGCCAACAGATCTTTAAAACATTTTTTCATTCTTAATTTTTGTGGGTACACAGTAGGTGTATATATTTATGGGGTACATGAGATGTTTTGATACAGGCATGCAATGTATAATAATCACATCATGGAGAACGGGGTATCCATCCCCTCAAGGCTTCATCTTCTGTGTTACAAACAATCCAATTACACTCTTTTAGTTATTTTAAAATGTACAATTATTTTGACTAAAGTTACCCTCTTGTGCTATCAAATATTAGGTCTTATTCATTCTTTCTATTTTTTGTATCCATTAGCCATTCCCACTTCCCCGCTCCATCTCCACTACCCTTCCCAGCCTCTGGTAACCATCCTTCTACTATCTTCATGAGTTCCACTGTTTTGATGTTTAGATCCCACAGATAAGTAAGAACATGTGGTGTTTGTCTTTCTGTGCCTGGCTTATTTCACTTAACATAATGATCTCCAGTTCCATCCATGTTGTTGCAAAAAAACAGAATCTCACTCTTTTTTATTAGCCAAACAGATCTTATAGACTCAACCTTTTAAGGTTATGTATAATATTGTGGTGGAAACACACTGCCTGAGTTCATACACTGGCTCAACTATTTTCTAGCGTTATGACCTTGGGCAAATTACATATCCTTTCTAAGTATGTAAAGAGCTTGGAACAGTAGGTGGCACAGCATTTAGAGGGGTGCACAGCATCACTGTGGTGGTGGCTGGCTGAACAGCCCCAGGCACAGCCTCTACACAGTCACTGTTAGTCACATTAGCTGCACAACCCAGAGTCACTATGTAGTTATGCATATAGCTATTGACTGAATAACTTAGGTGCCATCTGCTCAAAGGGAAATTAGACATGATGGAACCAGGGTGGTATCGCCGAAGGGAAGTTGAGCCCCTCTTTAAGGCTCTCATCTCTGAAGCTGTTAGGTACGAATGTGAGCACTCTCCAAGGGCAAAGGCATCTGGAGCCTGTGAACATCTACCTTACAGCAACCGTGAACATCTCAGTTCAGCTTCAAAGACTGACCCCAGACACAAACTCCATTCTGTTGGTGAGAAAATTAACCAGCTTCCAGAATAACCAGACATTTGATTCCTTACCTGGTTCCCATCATGGGGCTGACGTGTGCAGTGCACCAGACCCATAAGCTACTCTGTAAGAATGCCACCCTCTCATTGTCTAAAAGAATTTTGCTAGCTAGAGATAATAAACGAAGTGAAAATGGAATCCAAAAATTGAATGGCATTCCTTCCCCAAGGCAGCAGACTCTCTGAATGCCAGGCTGTGGATGACCTCAGATTACTTACTTTGTTATTTTAAGGTCAACTAAGTTTGGCATACGCTTGAGCAAAAATTGATTTTTAAAATGAGCAAAGTCTCCCAAGAGTACTGAGATATTAACAACTGGGGAGATTAGCTGACATTTTTATGACAATGGAGCTATAATCTCAGGCTGCCTTTGACCCAGGTGAATATCTATATTATGTGAGACACGGTCAAAAAACTTAAGAGATTTTAATACATTTCCTGTAAGTCAACCTTGTGATAACAAGAAGATGGCCTTCAAGAATTGGCCTCAGCCAAAGGAGTATTGGTTGGCAATGACAGCCAGCAGCCTGCTTACTAGGAGCCCAGTCCAGGAGCGCCTATAGACAAGCAGAAGGCCCACACGCAATTAGACCTTGATAATTGCTTATTACTTTTTATCACTCCATAATTACTAATTACTTTATCAGGGGCCAAAGATAAAATATCATGACCTTCCCTACAATCACTGGCAAAAGCAATAGCCAGAATTCCACAAGCAATGAGAACAGTCAACAAGAGTATGCATCCCTAAGGAAAGAAGTAACATCACACATAGACCAGGAGTTATAAAAACACAAATGTCACCAGAGGCCAGCCAGATAACACAAATAATTGAAGCACCTAGATGTGTGAAAAGCACCTATGCATGCAAGACAATAAACAACAGCAACATACAATAAGCAAGAAAGGATTGTGATGAGATGAGTAGCAATGCAACTGCTCAGAGCAAGCAGCTATTTCTCAGCTCACACTGATACTGGTCACATAAAAGCAGATCTGGCATGTAAAAGCAGATCTGGCATCAGGCTTTCTAAGATCTGGGGACACATGGAGTTTTAATATGAAATTTCCTGACATTTCCTGTTAGCAGTGAATTCAGTTGTTTAAACATTATTGTCACCGACGAACTCAAAGGAATCTTCCATGATCCCCACCTCCTGGTGTTCACACATTCGGTTAATCCCCACCTCTTGAGTATGACAAGGACCTGTGGCTTGCTTCCAACCAATAAAGTACAGCAAGGTGACAAACGTCACTCCCATGATCCCATTACATTGCACAGGACTCTGCCTTGCTAGCAGATGTGCTCTAGGGGCTCTCCTTGCTGCCTTAATGAAGTCAGCAGCTGTGCTGGGAATGCCCATGTGCCAAGGAAATGGAGATGGCTTCTTGGAACTGTGGCACCTCTGGGAGCTGAGAGCAGTGGCTGGGAGCTGTGATAAGCCTCCAGATGATTTTCCATACGAACCCAATGACCTCAGTCCTGAAATCACAAGAATATGAATTCTATGAATGACCTGAGTGAAGCACATTCATCCCCATTTGAGACTCTAGATGACAACACAGCCCAAGGACACAATAACTTCAGCCTCATTAGACCTTAACCAAAGAACTCACTGAAGACATGCCCAGACTCCTGACCTGCAGAAATCATGAGGCAGTAAGTGTATGCGGCTTTACACCACTGTGCTCCCCTGTTACACAGCAGTAGATAACTATCATCATGCAAACCAAACTAACCACGTCTACAGGACATATTTCACCATAAACATGTAGGACTGAAAAAGTTATATCTTTTCCTTAACCATTGTAAGGTTCATGGCTGAAACTCGTATAACAGAAGACAGATTATCAAGAAAAACATACAAATGTATTTAGTATAAGATTTATGTTACACTGGAGCCTTCATAAACGAAGACCCAAACAAACAGGGAAAATGGCATATGTTTATGCTTGGGTCTGATGAAGAGTGGACAGTTGCATAGAGGTGTAATTGGATGAAAGGAGGTGTGATCTGACAATGAGGAAACAGGGAGAACTTAGCAAGGTCTGTGTGTTCAGATTCTTCTTGGTGTCTCCACATTTCATACCTTTCCTCCGGGTACAGGGAGGTACAGGGAGAATACCGCTGGGATGAGGTTCTTATGATAGTGGAAGATTAGACAATTATTTTATGGCCTGCTTCAGGGAAGAATGGTAGGAGAATGTCTGTGAGTGACCTTTCTGCTTCTGTTGTTCCCTCAAAGGCCACGGTGCCATATTTTGGGGCAGTGTGTACTGATCCCCTCAGTCAACTAGGTTGAAACTAGGTTGCAACATTTGGTGTATTCCATCAAACCTGACATCAGTATTTGCCAAAATTATAAAACTCTCTGGGCCAAGACTCCAAAGCATCTAAAGAAAACAGAAGAACCCAGAAAGTCCTAATAATACATGAAGGGTAAATATAGCATGAAGGGTATGGTTTTTAAATTTCATATCCTCATTAGTGAATCAGCAGAATGACTGAGACATAACCCTAGATTTTCCTATGACTTTTGGTAAAATTTTATGTTACCAATTTTATTCAGACTGCACCAGTGTGGTCTACATGGTAAGACAAACAGCTTCAGAGTGGAACTCTTAAGGCACTGGGTGATTCACAAATTGAACCGAGTCAGATGCACAGTAGTTGTATATTAAGTACATGCACAAATGACACTAATGGACATTGCTGCCATGGCACGTCTCAGTCATCTGCCCTGGTGCTGTTCTTTTTGCAATATCAGAATTAGTAACATAAAACAGAGGGCCTGGATACCAAATTCATGAGTGACATGTTGTTCGGAGGGAAAGCAAGTAGGTTGAAATGCCATGTTAGTCAATGCCATCATCCTTATCTCGTGTACCATATAATACGTACACATAAGCCATGCTGCCAGTAGTCCCTTCCCTCTCTGTTCCAGGCCTTGGAGAACCATGGTCACTTTTGAGAAGTACCACAAATTAGAGTCATCTGGAGAATTCCACCAAGCATGGCAGCATGTTTGACACTCAATAAGTTATTATTAAAGAATTACATTATGGACTGACTTAATGGATAGACTATAAACTAAAGCATTGAAGAATGGTCTGGAAAGATGAAGCCTTGAAACTGGTTAAGAGAAGAGGTCGTGAGAGGGACAATGTGCCATTGTATCATTCTGGTTCCGTACATTGGTTAAGTACGGGAGCCAGACTGCTTGGGTTCAAATCTAGGTCTTACACCTGCATGTTATGTTACTTACCCCCTTTACACTTAAGTTTCCTTATTTGTAAAACAAAGATCAGAATATCAGCCCCTTTCTCTAGAGGGCATTCTTGAAGAGCCAATGTATAAGCACATTCACTGGGCTTAGAAAGATATACAGGACACAGCAGCACTTATCAGCATTATTGGTTATTATTGTTGTCATTATTATTTAAATTATTTTTCATTAGATAAAGAGCTAGTAAGAAGTAGGCTTAGTCTGAATCATTCCAGAGGTCAGAAATAGTATTAGCAGATGAAGAAAAACTTTCTAATAATCTGAGCAGCCCTGAAATGGGAATGGGTTGTTCTGAAGAACACCTCACCCCTGGAAATCTGCCAATCATTTTCTATGACGTTTTTGAGAGAGTTCATATGAAAACATATTTTATTTGTTTCAATTCAAGTGCTCCTCATGGGAGTCCCTTTGACCCAACCCTACCCCAAAATGGTATAGGAGGACCAATGCGTGTGTCTTGGGAGAAGGCTGGGATAATATGACTCATTTAGGCTACACAGAGAGGACTCACTTCTCTGTGGTCTGCTAGTATCTGCACCTAAAAAACTTTGAGTATTGTTCGGCTCCAGAGGAGAAGACTTCAAACTGAAATTTAGTGCTCAGATTCACAGAGTAGGGGGTGGGAAAGACATTTACATATGTAAGACAAGAATAAAGTTTCAAAGAAAATACTTCAATGAAATGAGATTTCTTTTTAAAAAGGGAGTTCAAGGTAAGAAACAAAGGCTTTGGGCTGCAAAGCCAAACTGTCTGGGTTGAAATTGTTTCCTTCCCTTATTAGCTTTGTGACCTTGAGCTATTGTTTAACATCCTTCTGCCTGAATTTGCTTAACCAAAATTCAGGACAGTAATAGAACCTACCTCAGATGGCTGTTGTGAGGATTAAATGGTGTCTTTCTGTGTGTACTGATATAACACGATACCTGAGACTTGGTAGTTTATGAATAATATAAATGTATTTCTCATGGTTCTGGAGGTGGGGAAGTCCAAGATCAAGGTGCTGGTGGATTCAGTGTCTGGTGAGGACAGCTCTCTGCTTCCAAGATGGTATCTCTTGATGCACCCTTACAGGGAGGAAGGCATGAATGCTGTCTGTCCTCACATGGCAGAAGAGGTAGAAGGGCAAAAAGGCCAAATGCTGTGTGAAACCTCTTTTATGAAAACCTTAATCCCATTCACAAGAAAGGAGTCCTCATGACCCAATCACCTCCTTAAGGCCCCCCTCTTAATACTATTGCATTGGAGATTAAGTCTCAACATGAATTTTAGAGAAATACAAACACTGCAACCATAGTAAATGGTGGCTATGTTTCTTCTTTTCCTCCTCACTTTTCTTCTCCTTCTTTTTCTTAGTATAAAAGTAGTTGTCATAGTAGAAGTGGTAGTACTAGTATTATTTTGCTAGAATCTTTCCTTATTCCTGGCAATTTGCCTTGGATGACATAGGTAGATAGTGGATGTTTCTAGTGTTTTTGCCATTAAGGAATGCAAGATAAAATGATATAGAACAAACACAAGACATATATGAGAAAAAAATATATAAAAGTCAAATCATAAAGGCTATTATTGTAACTGTTACGGAAAAAATGAAGAAGGAACAATGACAAAAACTCTCTCTTTGACCAAACTTTAATCAGCCTCCTCTGAGTCCAGCTAGGTTCCGTCTTTGGGCATGTTCCCCAGGGGCCCAAGTGTAGCATGAATCCTGCTAAGTCAGTTTAGCCAGAACTCACCACCCTTGATATCTGATGACATTCTCTATCCTCCTCCATCCCCTGGGCGACATCTGGCCACCATGGCCTGCCTTCAGCAGGTTGGTTGAGGTTGGTTTAGCCAGAATCTCTTTAACCCTGATGTTTCCCCTTAGTAATTTTCCCTCCACTGGATCCCACCCTCTGTTCCTTGCATATAAATTCTCACTTTTCCTTGTTAAATCTGGAGTTGAGCCCAAGTTCTGCACTGAGGGCTTCATTTTCCTACCGTAACAGTGTCTTGAGTAAAATCTGACTTTACCCCTTCATTGTCTAGCTCTGGTTTTCGTTTGACAGGAGTCACCATTAAATCCTGTTTACAAGATGTATATGTAACTGCCTTGATTTGAAAATTGAAAATTTTGAAAGTTTTACTCTGTTCATAAATGCATGAAAGAATTTTGGGACATTACAATGAAAATAAATGTTGATTTAGAATATATATTGAGATAATATGAAGTTCAAAGGTATGTTGGGAGGACTGGTTCCAGCAGGCCTGTAATTAGCCTGAGCTGTCAGACTGAAATAAGAAATGTACCTGCATAGTCTTAGCACCTAGTAAAGGCATGAAACATAATCATTGGCAATACTGATGGCAAACACAGATCCAAGGAGTTTTGGGGGATTCGTACCAACTTTTCAGCATTGTTTATTGATGAGAAACGCAGAAGTATCTGCTGTTTGGGTTGGATGTGTGGCAGGAAAATGCCCACGTGATCAGGAGAGTACTAAAACATCCTGACCACATTCCGCCCTCAGCTCCCTGGGTCCACCGTGTTCTGTGCACTGGTCAGTGGTTCGTGATCTCAGAGCAGAGGTGTTTCCATAAGGCCAAATGGAGCTCGCAGCTGGACCCGGAGGGAGCCTTTAACTGCCGTGGATATTCTTTATTTAATACTGCTGCTGAATTGAACCCTTTTCCTGCAATAAACCATGGCTTTGTAAGCATGGTTGTTTGGGGTCCTCTGAGGCTTCTTAGCAATAGAATCCTGCCTAACTGCCACCATTAGTGAAAAAGAATAGCCTACTTACAAAAAAAAAAATTACAGAAGTAGCTCACTTCCCTTTATTTCATTTTTATTTACAACTATTTCTTGGCTGTGATAATATGAAAGATAAATTTTAACAGCAAGAAAGTTATCAACATTTATCTAAAAATTAATATTTCCAGAATTCAAGGACCAATAGCATCTATTGAGAGACTTAACTCAGGTAATAATGATAATAAATATCTTTGCAATGAAACCTGCAAATGCTAATTACATCTGCGAGTTCCATGTGATGGTATATTTCCATCAGCAAATAGAATAATCCTTCTGTGCTAGAATGGAAGGGGTTTAATGAAAAAAAAAAAGAATGATAACTCCTTTGGGTAAGCATTCTCTTATGCCTTTAATAAGTCTGCACCTTTCATTATCTAGTCAGTTAACTTTGTCTTCTGCTTTCAATTTTAAATCACTGTCTTCATTCATGAGCTAAAACTATGCAGAAAACACAGCAGGATGTTTAATTAATGCTCACTCAGCTACTTTCATGACTATTTTTCAAGTCAACATTTTAAAATTATTCTCTTTTTGTGGAGAATACAGCAAAGCGCACTTCAGAATTCAAACAATCACTGCTTCTTGGTATGGTTATACTGGGACTGTTATGCATGTGTTATGGATTAAAGCAAATAAAGAATAAAGTCAGTGAACTGGAATCTCCAACCATGGGAGAAAGAATGCACAGCTATAAGATTGATGAAGTTAGGTAAGATCAGGTAGCCCTGAATTTGAATTAAAGTATCATGGTGAGCTCATGATGTATTATAGCTTAAACATATATATTTTCTACAACATTCCACTGAAAAATCCTAGAAACAATGTCTACTGTAATGGCAATCAGTACCCCCAGGGGATCTGGAAAGCAGTCTCTAAATACTATTTGGTAGAAAAGGAAACCAGGGACCTTTGAATAATTAGTCATTCTATGTTTGAGCCAAGAAATGTACGAGACAAGCCTAGAGCATCTTTTATAACAGACTGCAAATAATCTATTAAAAACTATTGAAAGTATATCCAAAGGTCTTGGAAATAAATTTTAATTTCTGCCCACTGGCAAAAGATAAGAAAGAATAAGGTTTAGTAAGAATAAGCACAATGGATTGAAATCTATCAAATATGTTTATCTCTTGCCTTTAGAAAGGTATTTTTTAAATATGTTGGTCATTTTTGCAAAATAATGAGCTGGTTCCCTAGCATCACTCAAACTAGTAAGTAAAGGGGAAAGACTCAAGTATTTGTCCACCTTTTCCTCTACGAATTACACCTTAGGGCATCCAGGCAATCAGGCAGTCTTAGGTTTATCCCCATAGAAGTATCACATCCCCACCTGCGATTAAACATACTTCAGTCATCTAGGAGACTATGTTCTAGGTCAGATTTTAAATTTTTGGTAAAACTTATTTCACTTAAAAGTGAATACCTGAAGAGGCCCACTGCTCAAAGCAGGAAGCTGGGGTCCTTGGGTGGAAGGTATAAAGAACTGACCAATGAAGAAGCTAGGGCCACTCTGCTGTAAATGTATAATGACTGTGCAGAGGCCTTTAAGCTCCACAGTGTATATCCTCTATAGGCATGAAAGCCCTGATGGACAATGACCAGAGCATCACCCCCAGCCCTCCACCTGGGTCACTACACCACTGCAGTTTCTGCATTCACCATCCGGTAACTCTTCTTTGGTATTCTATGTCATGACATGATTTGGATCTACTTGTCACATACATGGCTATCAAGTCAGTCTATGAGCAGACCAGAAAGGGGGTCACTAGAGAACTAAAAAGAAAAAATTAACGCAAAAACAGAAACTAAAACAACAGGAAGAAAAGGGAACTTGGAGGAAACAGAAAGAATGTACAGGGAAATAATACACAATAAATTATTATTATTGATCTTAAAGAGATAATCATTATTGCAGTCAAGAGACAAGTTCAGAAAAAAAATAACTGTTGGAAAAAAAATAAGATAGTCCAAATAGAATGAAAGGAAGATAAAGTTGAAAAAATATAGGCCCAATGATTAGGAAAACAGAGCTGAAAAGCAGTGGAGAAAATATATGCAAAATAAATGATTCCCTCCAGAAGTCATCTGAATTGTAGGAATTCTATAAAGGAAAATCAGAAGAAATATATTACAGAAAATTATCAAAGAAACATTTCTAGACTTTATTCTTAGAATTGAAGAACAAAGTTTCCATGTTGTAAGGGATTGCTAGCTGTAAATATAATACAACGGGGAAAAAGGTCTGTAAACAAACCACAGTGCTGTAAACTAGCAAGTTAATCGCTCATAAGGGGTTAGCTGACTGATTGATAGGGTGTCCACACAATGGACATAAAAGCATCACAAAATTGTGTTTTAAAAAGTAATCAATGTGGCTGGGCATGGTGGCTCACACCTGTAATTCCAGCACTTTGGGAGGCCGAGGAGGGCATATCACTTGAGCTCAGGAGTTCAAGACCAGCCTGGCCAACATGGTGAAACCCCATCTCCACTAAAAATACAAAAATTAGCGGCTGTGGTGGGGGGCACCAGTAGTCCCAGCTACTCGGGAGGCTGAGGCAGGAGAATCGCTTGAACCCAGGAGGCAGAGGTTGAAGTAAGCTGAGATTGTACCACAGCACTCCAAGCCTGGGCAACACAGTGAGACCCCATACCAAAAAAAAAAAAAAATCAATGAAATAAGTAAATGCTGAAGATACGGGGTTAAGGGGAAAATAAAAAAGAAATTAAAGAGGACATCAAGAATCTGCGCATACATATATTGAGAGCTAGGATGTTGTTACTCCTGCTTTACAACAAGAAAAAGCTGGACAAATTGAAAATCACTGACCTTTCTAAATCCATCAGAGAACTGAAGTCACCGGAAAACACTGTTACCCTAAAATGTGGAGAGATGGGTTCATCCTGAGAGACACTGCAAAGATCTGCTTGCTTGGAGCAGAATCCACAAGGGCCATAAAATGATGGGAATTGAAATGATGACTTGCTGGAGGCTGAGTGTGGACTAGCTTGAGAGTCAGAAAACACTGTGGGACCCTGCCTTAAGGGAGATCCTACACTTTACTGAACTTTTCTTCAAGCGTTCCACCAGATTCTCATGGTAAGGATCCAAAATAGATCCCCTCCTGGTCCTGGCAGAGGAATGGGGAGTGTAACTGTTGTAAAACATTCATAGAACCTTCTCCATGAAAAGGCCTACTCTCCTGGGGAAATCACTTTGCAAGAGCTGAACTGTGAAAATCCATCCCACCCTGGGGAATGGAGGTTGGGGGTAAAACTATCACTGGAGTAGGGACAGAAACACTTAGGAAGCTCACAGCCCTGAGATGCAGACCTGCTACAAGACAGATTGAAGCAGAAAAGTACAGAATGCTCCCTCCACCCCATATACAGCCCCTATACCAAGGCAGCTCCACTATAGCAGCGGGTTACAGCTGAAACAGCTACAAGGCGTAGACCCTCTCTGAAGAACAGCACACAGGAGAGACCCAAATCCAAAGGGGAAGACAAAAATGAGGACACCAGAAGGCTGTGAAGCTCTGCTACTTACAGATACAACACACAAGAAACAAAGCCCGCTGCCAGCAGTCTAGCGAGAAACCTCACCCTACAGGCCTATTGACCTTGGATCCTATTACCCAACACATCATGTCTGGATTTCAGTAAAAAAGTACAAGGCACATCAATAGGCAAGTAAAAACACAGTCTGAAAGGACAAACCATCATCAGAACAGAATCAGACATGACAGAAATGTTGGGAATAGTAGACAGGGAATTTGAAGTAACTATGATTATGCTAAGGACTCTCAGGGAAAAAGCAGAGGACATGCAAGAGCAAAGGAAGCAAAATGAAAATTCTAAAACTGAATCAAAAGCAGATACTAAAAAAACACACGCACAAGAAAAATGAAGAATGCTTCTGAAAAGTTCATGAGTAGACTCAAAACAGATGAGGAAAGAATCACTGAACATTAACATAAGTAAATAGAAACTGCACAAACTGAAACAGAAAGAGGGAAAAGAAAAAAATTAAACTGGAATAGAACACCCAGGAACTATGAGGCAATGTCATATATTAATATAACACATGCATCATTTGAACACCAGTAGGAGAATAAAGAGAGAATGAAGCAGAAGGAATATTTGAAGTAATAAAAGTAAGAACTTTCCAAAAGTAGTGACAGACACCAAATCACAGATACAGAAAGCTCATCAAACACTGAGCAGGAAAAATACCAAAAATAACCCACTTGGACATTTCATACTCAAACTGCAAAAAACAAAGGCAAATGGAATATCCTGATAGAAGCCACGGATGGGTTGGGGTGGGGAACACCACACCTATAGAAGTGTGAGTTTAGGAATTACAGTGGATGTCTCATCAGAAATTATGCAAGCAAGAAGAGAGTGAAGGAAAATATTTAAATTGTTCAAAGAAAAAAAAACTCACCAACTTAAAATTCTACATCCAGTGAAACTGTGCTTCCAAAAATGAAAGAGAAATAAAGACTTCCTCAGACAAAAAAAAAATTGAGGGAATTTGTTGTCAGCATACCTGCTCTACAAAAAATATGTTAAAAAAAAAAAGTTCTACAAGCAGAATTACATAGGTCAGAAACTCAGAGCTACATAAAAAGAGAAAGAACATCAGAGAAGCAATAAGTGGAGGTAAAATAAAAAAATCTTTTATGTTTACTATTTTAAATTGCTCTAAAATATAACTTTGAAGCAATAACAGTAACAATGTATTAGTATATATATAAGTTAAATTAACAACAGTAATGTATGAGACATAGGAAGGAGAAATAAGGAATACACTGTTACAAGGTACCTGGTTTATACATGGTGCAGAATAGTGTTATTTGAAAGTAATTTGACATTATTTTAAGCCATGTATTGGAACACTAGGACTATTAACAAATTAAAAATAAGCATAAATGATATGCTTAAAAAAAGATAAATGAAATCATATAAAAAGCTCAGTTAAACCAAAGGAAACAAGAGAGAAAAAGAGACAAAAATCAAATGCAAGGAATAGAAAACAGTTAAAAGATTTTTGATATATAGCTAAATATATCAATAATCATTTTAAACATGAACAGCCTAAACACACCAATTAATAGACAGAGATAGACAAAGTGGATATAAACACAAACAAAGAAACAAAAACCCCAGACCCAGCTAAATGCTGTTTTTAAGAAAACCATTTTATTTTATTTATTTATTTACTGGAGACACAGTCTCGCTCTGTCGCCCAGGCTAGAGTGCAGTGGCGCGATCTCCACTCACTACAACCTCCCTCTCCCGAGTTCAAGTGATTTTCCTGCCTCAGCCTCCCGAGTAGCTGGGACCACAGACACGTGCCACCACATCCGGCTAATTGTTGTACTTTTAGTAGAGACAGGTTTTGCCATGTTGGCCAGGCTGGTCTCAAACTCCTGAGTCCGGGTGATTCGCCCACCTCAGCCTCCCAAAATGCTGGGATTATAGGCTGTGAGCCACTGCGCCCGGCTGAGAAAACCATTTTAAATATGACAACTCTGAGTATTTAAAAGTAAAAGGATGGCAAAACTATGGCGACAGGAAAACAATCATTGGTTGCCAGGGATTTGTCAGAAGGAAGGGATGCCTAGGTAGAACACAGGGGATCGGAGGTAATGAAACTATTCTGTATGATACTGTAACAGTAGATACATAGCGTTACACATTCAGCAAAGCCTACAGAATGTACAACACAGAGTGAACCCTAAGGTAAACTATAAACTTAAGTTAACAAAATGCATTAATAGTGACTTATCAGTTGTACCAAATCAACTAACCACACTAATAGTAAGGGAAACAGCATGTAGTGGGAGAAGGACTCTATGGGAACTCTCTGTAAACTCTGCTCAATTTTTCTGTAAACCTAAAACTGCTCCAAAAAATAAAATCTATTAATTAAAAAGATTATATATCCAAAGAAAGACTGTGGGGTAAGTATATGCTCTGCAACCTTAATTTACAACAATCTAAATGTGTAACATCGGAGGAATATTTAAATAAACTCTGGTACATACATACAATAGAATGTTGTGCACAAATGCTCATAATAATATAGGTGAAAAAGAGAAACGAAGCTAAGAGATCTCTTAGCTGCTTTCTCTCCCTTTTTGCCTATTTTATTATGAGCATTTTCCTATGCCAATAAGGTACATAGTGCTAACTTTAATCAAAGGAAAGTTGGAATAGCCATATTAATTACAGAAAATCAGGTTTCAGAACAAAAAAAATTATTAGAAATGAGGAGGATCATTCCATCATGATAAAGGGGTCAATTCTCCAAGGAGACAGAATTATCTTAAATGTGTAGAAACCTAAATACCAGGGTATCAAAATAAATGAAGGAAAAACTGATAGTAATGAAAGGAGAAACAGAGACATCCACTATTCTAGGTAGATTCGACTGCATCATTAACTGACAGACAAAGCAGGCAGAAAACCAGTAAGGATATAAATGACCTGGACAGCACTATCCACCAATTTGATCTAACTGACAGTTATTGAATACTCCATCCGACAACAGCAGAACAAGCCCTCTTCCCAAGTCTCATGCAACATTGAGCAGCATAGACCATGCACTAGACCATAATGTATATCTTAATAGACCATGCACTGAACCATAATGTACATCTTAACACACTTACAAGAACAGAAATCATACAAAGTCTATTCTCAGTCCATGATGGAATTAAAATAAAAATCAATGACTAATAGGTAGCTGGCAAATTAAAACTTCAAAATTAAACAACATACTCTGCAATAACCCATAAATCACAGAAAAAGTCTCAGGAGGAATTTAAAATAATTTGAACTAATTAAAAACAAAATAAAGATCAAAATTTGTCAGTCAAAATTAAAGCAGTGCTGAGAGGAAAACTGGTAGCATTAAACAAATGTATTAGAAAAGAATCAAAATTCCTAAGCTCCTACTTTAGAGAACTAGAGAATGAAAAGAAAATTAGGCCTAAAACAAACAGATGAAAGGAGGTGATAAAAACTAAGAGTATAAAACAATGGAACTGAAAAGAAAATAGAGAAAATCAACATAACCAAAAGCTAGTTCTCTGAAAAGATCAATAAAATTAATGAACTTCTTGCAAGTTTAACCAAGAAAAAAAAATGAAGAAGACACAAATTATCAATACCAGAAATGAAAGAGGGGTTATTACTAATCACCCATGAACATTAAAAGAAGGGAATACTAGATAAAATTCTATGCAAATTTGATAAATTGTTAATAAAACTATATCAACAAATTTAATAATTAGTTGAAATGAACCAATTCTTTTAAAGACACAAACTACTAAAACTCACTCAATGGGAAATAGTCAACCTGAACAGCATATATTTATTGAAGACATTGCATTAGTGATTAAATGCCATCCATAGAGAAAAAAACAACAAAGCCCAGATTATTTCACTGGCAAATTCTATCAAACATCTATTAGGAAGAAATAATACCAATATTCTATAAACTGTTGCAGAAAATTGAATTAGAGAGAACTTTTCCAGTTAATTTTATGAGGCCAGCATTACCCTAATAACAAAAATAATAAATAAAAACACTACAAAAAAAGAAAACTAGAGATCCACGTTTTTCATAAAGCTACATGCCAAAATCATTAAAAATATTAAATCTAGGAATACATAAATGTCATCACAAGCAAGGAGGCTTCATTTCCCAAATGTATAGCTGGTTCAATATTTATAAATCAATGTAAATCACCATATGAGTAAGTCAAATAAGAAAAACCATACGATTCTACCCACTGATGCAGACAAGCCGCTTGACAACACTGAACACTCATTCATGAAGATCACCTTAAGGAACCAGAAATACAGGGAAACATTCTCAATATAGTAAAAGTAATATATAAAAATCCTACACCTAACATCATATTTAATGGTAAGAGACTGAAATCTTTTCCCCTAAGACTAGGAATATTTAATGGTAAGAGATTGAAAGCTTTTCTCCTAAGACTAAGAATATGGCGAGGATGATTTTTTTCTCTACCTCTCTCCAATATCTTACTGGAAAGCCTAGCTAGTGCTAGTTCTCATTTCCAAAAGGAATGTGTAAAATTGAAGAGACTGTATGGAATTGTTTTGTGAAGCTATCTAGGCCAGGATATTTCCTTGGCAGACTACTACAATTATAAATTAAATTCCTTTAATGACTATAGGGCTAGATTGTTTATTGAACCCTGATAGAGTTTTAGTAGTTGGCAGTTTTTGAAGAATTAGTCCATTTCTTCAAACTACTGAATTCATGAGCATAAAATTATTCAGAGTGTTCCTTTTTTATCTTTTCAATAGCTGCAGACCTATAGTGATATCCCTCATTTCATTCCAATAATGATGATTTGCATCATCTCTCCTTTTATTTTTGTCAGTCCTGCTAAATCTTATAAATTGTATTGACTTTTTGAAGATCCAGCTTTTTGTTTCATTTATTTTCTCTATTTTTCTATTTTCACTTGCATTAGTTTCTGCTCTTTAGTACTGTCTTCCTTCTGCCTGCTTTGGATTCTTCTTGCTTTTCTTTTTCTATTTTCTGTAAGTTAAAAACTTAGATACCTTTGAAATCTTTCCTCATTTCTTTCTTTCCTTCATTCCTTCTTTTTTTCCTTTCTTTCCTGCAGGACTGCTCAGAATATTTTTAAAATAATTTTATTGTATATACTTAATGTATACAATGTGATGTTATGGGATACATATAGATAATAAAATGGTTACTATAGTAAAGCAAATTAACAAATCTATCATCTTACATAGTTGCCCTTTGTTTTTTGTAGCAAGAGCAGCTAAAATCTACTTATTTCCCAGGAATGCCAAATACAGTACAATTTTATTATCTCCTGTTATGCATTAGACGTCTAGAAACTTGTTCATCCTACATATTGCTACTTTGTATCCTCTGATATACACATCCCTATTTCCTTCTCAGGACCCACCGCTGGTAACTATTGTTTTATTTTCTGTTTCTGTATAGTTGACGGACTTTATACATTGCATATATAAGTGAGATCATGCAAACTTTTCCTTTCTGTATCTGGCTTATTTCACTTAGCATAATATCCTCCAGGTTCATTCATGTTGTGGCAAATGGCAGGATCTCTTCTTTTTTAAAGTCTGAATAATATTGCATTGTATATACACACCACAGTTTATTTATCCATTTGTCCATCCATATACACTTAGGTTGTTTCCATATCTTGGCTATTGTGGATACGCTATAATGAGCATGGGAAAGCAGATATATATATGAAGTGGTGATTTCATTTTGTCCCAGAAGAGAGGTCATATAGTAGTTCTATTTTTAATTTTGTTAAAAATCAGCATACTGCTTTCCATAATGACTGCACCAATCTACACTTCACCAACAGTGTTCAAGTTTCCCTTTTCTCCATACCCCCACCAATATTTGTTGTCTTTTGTTGTCTTTTGGCTTTTTGATAACCGCCATCCTAAAACGTTATGTTAATGATTTCTAGTCCGATTACATGATGGTTGCAGAACAAATTCTTTATGATTTCAATTATCTTAAATTTTCTGAGATTTGTTTTGTGACCCAAGATACAGTATATCTCAATGAACATTCTATAAGCCCTTGAAAAAATGTGTATTTTGCTGTTGTTGGGTGGAGTATTCCATACATGTAACCTAGATCTTGTTGGTTGATTGGCTGATCAAATCTGCTTGACAATTCAGGAAGTGTATACTACTATACCTTTTCCAAGTATAATTATAGATTTATACATTTCTTCTTTCAGTTTCATCAGTTTTTGCTTCATGTATTTTGAGGCTCTGTTGCTTGATGTGTACACATTTAGGATCATCATGTCTTCCTGGTGAATCGATCCTTTTATCATTATGTAACGTTCCTCTTCATCTCTAATAGTTTTCTTACTCTGAATTTCACATCATTGAATATTACCATAGCTTCTCCTGCTTTTAAATTTTTAATTAATATTTACATGGTATATCTTTTTCCATTCTTTTACTTTCAATCTATGTTATTTAAATTTTAGTGGGCTTCTTGTAAACAGCATATAGTTGAGTCATCGAAATTTTTTAATGTTTTAATCCACTCTGCCAATCTCTACTTTTTGATTGGTGTATTTTGATTATTTAGACTTAAAGTGATTATTGACATGTTAGGGCTTATGTCTGCCATTTAATATCAAATTATTCTATCTGTTTCCTCTGGTTCTCTCAATTCTTTTAAAAGGTTTGAAAAATGTATAGTTCCACATAGACAACAGTGGAAAGAAATTCTATGATTTGTTACCATGGCTTTCTCTGTCTTGTGTGATCCCAGTGTATTTCAGTGTATTGCACAGTCTGTCTTCGATTCAGCTGAGGAAGCAAACAGCACCTGGGGCTTTTGTTCCTACCTAGGCAGATCAGCTCATTTAAAGTATCATGATGCAAAAGAAAAAGTTACAGGCAAAACACCCACTGAGGCCAGGCGACCTAAGCCATGCCTCGTTGGTGTCTGTGGAACAAATGCACAGCACGTCACTAGACATACCATATATCAGTGTTTCCTTGGGAGTGAGTGAGTGAATGAGAGAACAGTTTCAATAAAACCCATACACAAAACTACAACAAACCAACCAATAAACAAACACAAATTTTTAAAGTCCACATCCTACTAAGACTGGATAGGGAGCATCTACATTCATACTCAAACTCACGCGCCACTTTGGCCATGACTGACTCATGCCACGCCTCTGGAAGGCAACAGCACTTGGTCGATTTAACTTCATCTGTCCTGGCTCGTACCACTGATTCAGCCAATTGCCATGAGCAGAAATGAGAAAACGTGATATAGAAATAAAATTAGTGAAATTGTTTTGAGGCAGAATAGCTAAAGATCCTAAAAACAGAAGCTAATATTTTTAAGTGACTTCACATTTCATTAAATTTTCTCTTCTTGAAACACTAAAAGGCAAGGGCCATTTCATTTTCTATAACCTCGATAAACAAGTAAGGTACAATGAAACTACCTCAACTTGGTAATTTCCAAATATTGAGCAGCACAGCTCCATAAGGTTCTGGCTGAGCCAGCCTTTTGTTCATTAATACAAGTGCTTATTTATCTTCCCACTAATTATTAAAGAAAATCCTCACCATGGGAAACAGATATGTCAAAAGAGCATTTACAAGGCAGTCATTTGAAAGGTGTATAATTCTATAGCTGAAGACATATATAAGAGCAGCTAGAAAACTGTGGGTGGATATGCCCCAAGCTATTGATATTGGTCACCTTGAGAGAGAACCTCAAGAGTTCTGAGGTCACCTTGAGCGGTCACCTTGAGAGAATGACCTCAAGAATTGGTCATTCCTTGAGAGAGAACAAGGAATGGAAAGGCAAATTCATTGTCTTTAATAGGCCGTTGTATTGTATGCTTGTTACAATGGATGTGTAACATGTTTGTAATCTTAAAAGTGAAAAAACACTTAAAGGGAAAGGGGAGGGGTTAATTTTGCTTTTCTCTTCTCCATGCTCCCTAACCGAGCTTTGGTATTTATTAAGGTGGTTCTGTTGCTTCTGATTCCCTGCAGCTGCAGGGGCAACCCTGTACGGTCTGGTGCCAGAAGGCTGGCCACCCTAGTTGGACATGCTGTGGACCCTGGATGGACCTGCTGTGGACCCTGGGTGAACCTGCTGTGGGGATACTCAGGGTTCTGTGGTTCAGACACTCCTACTTTAACTGTGCCTGGGGAGTGGTGTTTCATGTGAGCCTCCAACTGCAAAGGGTTTAACTTTTAAACATTACTAACACCTGAACAAAATAGAGTCATTCCTGAGGAGTGGGTTGTCAGTACAGGGAAAATATGTATACGTCAAAGAAGAGGTAAGGTTTCTGGGCAGGCCCAGAACCTTCCAAGAGCACCTGTGGAGCATGGTGGAGTGTGTTGCTCCAGCATCAATTTCATACAGATCACAACACCTGTTAAATCTTCCAAATTCACTGACAACTAAGAAAGACTAGGACGAAGACTAGTTTCATAATTCACAAACCTGAATGCTGAAGGCATAATCCAAGCTTTCAACTTTTTACAGGATAATAATCCAAAACAATTAAAGAAAGTATTCATTAGAAATAGAGCTACATCATTTTTATCAATGGCAGTTTTATTTGTTCTTCCTGGAATTTTCAATATTTAAGACATGGTTAGTTTTTAATGCCGGTGGTACTTGGGGGAGTACTATGGAAGAAAAAGTATCAACACATACAAATTATATACTTATGTCGGTAAATAAGATATTAACAACCACACATGACATTTAGTGGTTATTAAAATCTATTTACTTGTTAGTACTTTTATTAGGAGAAGTAAGCTCACAATTATATGGTGGAAATACTGTAATTCAACCCATAGCATCGTATTCCTGAAGCACCTAGTGAAGAAAGTAACTTGTTTATAGTTATGTGACCAAGGAATAATCTTCAGCCAAAGATTCCATACACTTACCAAATAGACTTTAAGTAACAAATGCAGTCCCCACGACCATAATAGAAAATCCTCTCACCCAGTGAGCCAAAAGCACAGAGTTGTCACCAAGCATGATTTTATAAAAATTTAATATTAGTATTATGATCTGTTGTTGTTATTGTTATTATGGAGCCCAGGCATTTATCTGAACACCTCTCATAAGAAGGAATAGGCCTCCTAATCAGTTTTTAGAGCTCAGTTCGAGTTTCTAGCTCCCTCGTGGAAATTCTGATTAGTCATTTCCAAATCCTCAAAGAAAGAAGCAAGTCATAACAAAAACCAAACTCATTTCTAAAACTGTGTAGAACACAGCAATTTTCAGAATTTTATGTTCTTAAGACTGAAATGAATTGACTAGCTCTCCCAGCTCCTAACATTGGCAGCAGCCCATGTGTGTAATGGGACTCCCGGGCCTTGCTGAAACACAGAGCTCAGGAGTACCGATCCACTTTGGAAGACATCCCACATCAGGGGAGTCCACGATGGCGTGGCTTGGTTCACATGGACGTAGAGAGGCCGGACGTGGTACATCTTTTATATTTCATTTTTAGTTGGTTTTTGTATAGGATGTGAGGTTAAAGTCTCGGGCAAGCTTGTCCAACTGGTGGCCCATAGGCCACGTGCAGCCCAGGATGGCTTTGAATGCAGCCCAACACAAATTCATAAACTTTCTTAAAACGTTATGATATTTTTTTCAGAATTTTTTTTTTTTTTTTTTTTTTTTAGCTCATCAGCTATCGTTACTGTTAGTGTATTTTATCTATGGCCTAAGACAATTGTGGTCTTCCAGTGTGGCCCAGGGAAGCCGAGAGATTGGACACCCCTGGTCTAGGGTGTTGTTTTGTTTTTGTTTTGTCTATGGATGCCCAGTTGTTCCAGTGCCTTCTTCCTCCATTGAATTGCTCTTGCACTTTTGTCAGTAAACAGGTCGATGTAATTGCATGGGTTCATTTCTGGATTCTCCATTCAGATCTATGTGTCTACTCCTCTGCCATACCACACTGTCTTGATTATGTAGCTATATAATATAGCTTGAAATCAGGCAGACTAATTCCTCCAATTTCATTCTTCTTTTTCAAAACTATTTCAGCTATTCTAGGTGTTGTACTGTTCTGTGAAAATTTTCAAATAAGCTTGTCTGGATTTTGGTAGGAATTGCATTAAACCTGCAGATCACGTAAGGAAAAATGGACATCTTTACTATGTTAAATCTTCCAATCCATGAAAAAATACATCTCTCCATTTACTTAGGGCTTCTCTGCTTTCTTTCATTTGCATTTTATAATTTTCAGCATATATTAATAGATTCTGTACCTGTTTGTTAGATTTATACCTAAGTATTTCATTTTTTGAAGCAACTGTAAAAACTATTATGTTTTTAATTTTGGTTTTCACATGATTTTTGTTATTATATACAAATGTAACTGAATTTGGGTGATAATCTTTTATCCAGAGACCTTGCTGAACTCACAAGTCCTAGGATTATCTGGTAGATTCCTTGTGACTTTCATGTAGACAATCAGCTTATCTGTAAATCAGGACACTTATTTTACTCTTGCCAATCTACTTGCCTAATAATTGCTTATTCTTGCCACGTGCAGGTGCTAGGACTTCCAGTGCGACATTGAAAATGACAGTGAAACCACACATCCCTGCCTTGTTCCTGGTCCTCAGTCTTTCACCATCAAGTTTGATGCTACCTGTAGTTCTGCGTGCATTTTGTAGATGCTTAGTATCAAGCTGAGTAAGTTTTCCCCTATTCTTAGTTTGCTGAGAGTTTTTATCATGAATAAGTATTATATTTTGTCAAATACATTTTCGCATAAAATGATATAATTGTATGATTTTTTTTCTTTTGCCTGTAATATGGTGGATCACACAGATTGATTTTGAAAGCTGAATCAACCTTCTATACCTGAAAGAAATCCCACCTGGTCATGATGTATAATTCTTTTAAACTTTGCAGGACTCTATTTGCTAATATTTGTTGAGGAGTTTTGCGTGCAAGTTCATGAAAGAAACTGCTCTGTTGTTTTTCTTTTTTATGCTGTCTTTATCTGGTTTTGGTATCAGGTAATATTAGCTTCATAAAAAATGATGGGGAATGTTTCCTTCTCTTCTGCTTTCTGGAAGAGATTTTGTAGAATTGGTGTTAATTCTTCTTTAGCTGACTGGTAAAATTCTCCAGTTACACCATATAAAACTCAAGATTTCTTTTTTGGGAACATTAATTACTAATTCAATTACTTAATCGGTAGAAGAATATTCAGGTTTCCACTTCTTTTATTGGTAGATAGTGAATTTAAAAAAACTGGTCCATTAATTCTGATTTTTTTTTTTTTTTTTTTTGAGACAGGGTCTTGCTCTGTCACCCAGGCTGGAGTGCAGTGGCACGATCTTGGCTCACTGCAACCTCCACCTCCTGGGTTCAAGCCATTCTCCTGCCTCAGCCTCCCCAGTAGCTGAGATTATAGGCATGCACCACCACACCCAGCTAATTTTTTTTGTATTTTTAGTACAGACGGGGTTTCACCATGTTGGCCAGGCTGGTCTCGAACTCTTGGCCTCATGATCTGCCCACTTCGGCCTCCCAAAGTGCTGGGATTACAGACGTGAGCCACCGTGCCCGGCCAATTCTGATTTTTAGAATAATGTCAAATTTATTAGTTAAAAGTCTATTATAGTATTCTCAACTTATCCCTTTAGTGGCTGTAGAATCTATAGTGATAGACCACGTTTCATTGCTAATATTGATGATTGGTGGTTTTTTGTGTTTTCCTCCCCTTTGTTTCTCATTCTTCTACTTCTCTTATCTTTCCAGGGATTCTTGAACATTTTATGGGATTTTTTTTTTATTCATAATGTTTTTAGTATATTACTTGTACAGTTTTCTTTGTGGTTGCTCTGGATATTACAACATGAATACATAAATGTTAGGGGCTGAATTGTGTCCCTCCAAAATTCGAATGTTAAAGTCCTAGGCCCCAGCACTTTAGAGTGTCATTGCATTTGGAGATTGGGTCTTCAAAGACGTAATGATGTTAAAATGAGGCTATTACAGTAGGTTCTAATCTAATACAAAAAGAAAAATCATAAGAAGAGAAAACTTGAACACAGGCACAAACAAACAGGGGAAACCATGCGAAGACACAGGAAGACAACAGCCACCTAGGAACCAAGGAGAGAGGCCTCGGAAGACACCAAACCTGATGATCTTGGACTTCCAGCCTCCAGAATGGTGAGAAAATAAAGTGCCCAGGCTGTGATGCTTGGTTATGGCAGCCCAAGCAAGTAACGCAACAACTTAGCACAGTCTACTGTCATCAGAGTGGCTTAGCACTTTGAGTGAAGTGTAGAAAACTTACTTCCATTTAGGTCCTTTTACTGTCCTCATTATTTAGATGTAATTGTCTAAGTATTTTCTCTGCATACTACATATTTTGCCCAATAATTACAACATCTCATTCATCTTGCTGTTGGCAAAACTCATTTCGTTCTCTTATTCAAGGGTGTCTTTCCTGTTTTGCTGTAATTCAAGTGAGTTTTGATCATATCCTCGGCACTTTGGACATATTACGGGACTGGGGCTAACTCATCATGTGTTGTCCCTTAAGTCCCAAGGTCACCAGGCAATCCGCCTTCTTCTTTTCCTGTGCTGGCTTGTTTTGTCATGACCAGGGACTTTTGGTCCTAAGAGGAAACCAAGAGCAAAGGGGCAGCTCCATCTTGACTGGCACTAGAAGACTCTCTGGTATGACACATTTTATCTAGTATATTGAGGGTTTTTATGTTTCTGGAATCATTTATTTTTGTCATTTTCCATATGATAATTTGCCACATATGAATTCTGCAAGAATTTCTAATTTACTTGGACAAGTAGAGACTTTGCTTGTCCTACTAGACTTAGGAGACTTTCAGTACCAAATCCTGGAATAGGTTTAGGGAAGGCTCAAACTCTTTAAAATAATCTTGATGACAACTGTCAAACTTCTTATTTAAAAACGAACAAAATATTTCCTCTTCCTAATGCCCAAGTCAAGTTGGCTTTAAAAAAAGGATATCATATCTTCAAAATTAGGTTCTGAGATACTGACATTCAGTTTTTTTGTGTATTTTTGTTGTTGTTGGTTTTTGAGACGGAGTGTCTGTCTGTCACACAGGCTGGAGTGCAGTGGTGCGCTCTCAGCTCACCGCAACCTCTGCCTCCCAGGTTCAAGCAATTCTCCTGTATCAGCCTCCCGAGTAGCTGGAACTATAGATGCCTGCCACCACGCCTGGCTATTTTTTGTGTTTTTAGTAGAGATGGTGTTTCACCATGTTGGTCAGGCTGGTCTTGAACTCCTGACCTCAGGTGATCCACTCGCCTTGGCCTCTCAAAGTGCTGGGATTACAGACGTGAGCCACCACACCTGGCCAACATTCAGTATTTTTTAAAAGACTGAATCTTCTCTTCCTGTGTTCTCAGAGCATATTAACAAAAATTTAAAATACTAAAATTGTGATAACTCCAAATCATTCAGGCCTAACTCTTTCTGTGTGTTACCCAGGACTTTGTTGTTACAGTTTCTTTTTTTTTTTCTTTTAATTCCTTCTCTTCTTATAAGACATCTGATTTAAAAAAAAAAAGAATAATAGATTTAAGAAGAAAAAAATTAGCTAATAATGACAGCAGGCTTGTAATATTATCATAATGTCATTTATCATAGATATCCTTATTCTCCAGGGCAGCACTTCTCAAATCCTTGACAGTATGACATTTTGGGCCAGCTAATTCCTTAGGGAGGGACCTTTCCTGAATATTCAGGCTGTTGAGTGGCCTGCTTGGCCTTGACCCGCTCACTGCCAGTAGCACACCTCCCCCAGGCTTCAGCAGCAGAACACCTCCAGTCACTCAGTGGGGACTGGGTAGGTGGGAGACAGAATCGCACCAGTTAAGTGTCTCTGCGGCAGGGTGAACAGAAAATTTAGAGAATATTATAATTAAAGCTGTAATCCTGAAAGACAAAAATGATTGGGAGTGGTTGGAAAAAGGAAGGAGAGACAAGAAGAAAGAAAAAGAGAAAGAGAAAAACAAAGGAAGTAAAGGAGGGAGGGAAGGAGGGAAGGAGAGAAGGTAAAAATAACTGAATAAAATTTTTCTATGCCTCAGGAAAAGTTGTGAATGAGGTGAGCTGTGTCTACAGGGAAGATACTCTTTCTTCCTAAGCCCAGAGAAATAGGGCCCTCTTTCTAAGCCCCAAGTACCCAGGGTCCCCAGGAGCCCATACTCTTGCCTCAAAACATCTGCAGCCTTTCTGGGCAGCTTCCTCTGCCTTTCCATTTCTTACATGCCCAGCAGCGGGCCAGCATCTCCAAGTATCTGCCCACCAGAGCTCAAAGTCTGGTAGAAGGATCTGACACTAGAAAAGCATTCAAGGCCAGGCGCGGTGGCTCACACCTGTAATCCCAGCACTTTGGGAGGCCAAAGCGGGAGGATCACCTGAGGTCAGGAGTTTCAGACCAGCCTGGCCAACATGGTGAAACCCTGTCTCTATTAAAAATACAAAAAAAAAAAAAAAAATAGCCGGGTATGGTGGCATGTTCCTTTAATCCCAGCTACTTGGGAGGCTGAGGCAGGAGTATTGCTTGAACCTAGGAGGTGGAGGTTGCAGTGAGCCGAGATTGGGCCACTGCACTCCAGCCTGGGCAACAGAGTGAGACACATTCTCCCAAAAAAAAAAAAAAAAAAGATAGAAAGAAAAGAAAAGAATCTCATTTGTGTGGTTCACAAGTGCTTTCACGTAGAGTTGGACACATACAGCAATAGAAAAACAACAACAAATACAAAAAGAAGGTGGACAGGATCCAAAACTGGTCCCTTTTCTGACCCAGTATGAATTTATTAATTATTTGGAAACTGGTTCCAGATTTGAAAAACATATGCAAACAGAAGTTAGTATCTTATAGTTATTGGTCCCTCCCAGAAGATACAAAAATGAAATGTATACACAGAGCTACTGACAATGAGAAGGAAAATGCTGGTTCTAATTTCATGCCTTGTGCAGAGATCCTTGTCCTAAGACAATTTGAGATTCCAGCTCAGCAGCCCTGGCTTCAAAGTCCAAAGATGAATAAGCTGTGAGCACAAAGGTGAGCAATTAACTAATCATCTCTCTGCTGAAAGATACAATTTTTTCTGATCTGCAAAATACAACAGAGGAACAATGATTCATATGGTTGACCAGATGTCTGTGGACATGTTTTATCCCTTTACTGCACTAGATGCTCCTGAAGGGCAGAGACTTCCTCTGATGAAACTCAGAATCCTCAGCAGCGCTGAGCCTGGAGCCCCTACACAGTTGTGCTCAATAAATATTTGCTAAACTAAATGACAAACATGAAGAAAAGACACGCAGAAACCAGAACCCTGCTTTGTGTGACGGTGCCCACTGTGAATCGTGAAAGAACAATTTGTCATGAGTTAGTATGAGCTGACTGGCTATACTTTGCTGGGAACCGTATGTGATGAATTGGAGCATTTCCAAATGCAAGGATCTGCAGCCTGCCAGGCTGACCATATGGTGGCTGTTGATGAGATGCGATAATCCAGGTTGGGCTGAACCGCTGGAAATGGAAGAGTTGTTGTGGGTGCCCAGGAAGGGAAGGCGGGTCCTGGGGGACATCCTGCAGCCAGGAGGAGCTCAGTTTCTGCATGCAGAGAAGGGATCAGGCATCCGTGTCTGAAAACGGGTTGGTGTGGAAGAGGAAGTCAGAAGAGGCAGAGCCAGGAGGAAGGCACGTGCTTCCCGGACCAGGTCTCTCCTCCTGCGCTCCACTGGGAGGACACTAAAGTCCCAGCCTCTCACTGCTTGGAGCACAACATCCAAAGAGAAAAACCTAAGTTTAGTGAAAGAATAGGGAGCAGATGATACTTGTCTCCTCTCCCATGCTGTGGCATCATTCTCTGCTAGAAAGTGATGAGTATACACTCGGTTATGAAAATTGTGGGACAGCTTTACAAATAATTAAATTATGAGGGACAACCACGTGTAACGCCACGAGGAAGAAGTTCACTGTGAGATACCACACCTTCCAGCACATTCGCCAGCATCTATGTGGAGACCGAGACCTACACAAGGGAAATCACTGTGATGAGAAAGCGTGTGTTTCCCACACCTGTCGCAAGAAAGTATATGGGGTGTGTCTTGATTTCCAGAACTCTCTTTTATCATCACAGAAGCATGTGTGTGTCTGCATATGCATTTACCAATTCTTATACCACAGTGAAGTTCTGTAATCCATGCACTTTTGCCAAAACAACCATATAAATGCCTTCATTCAACAGAGTTGCCAAGAGCCAGCCACACAGGGGCCTGAGCTGTTTGCTGCTGACATGACGGTGATAAGACAGTCTAAGTCCAAAGTCCTGGTGGAATTTGTTACTGAAATGTCATTTTTTAAAAAACTGACAATGGGAGACATCGGTGTGGCGAAAATCCAGTCCTGTTCATTTGCAGAGATGCCTGTCTCTCAGAGGGTGGAGAGTGTATTAGGGTTAAACACTGAGGCAGAGCTTTGAGGTACAGCTGTAAAGAAAAGAAACTATGGTATAGACACAGATAATTATGTGTCTTGTGTATAAAACAGGCTAGAAAATGCTATTCTCAGTGTAAATTGTGTGTATGTTTGTTGTCATAATATATATATTTGGAAAACTATATACTAAAATTTAAATGGTAATATCTAGGATTTTTTCTTCTTTGTGCTTTGCTATATTTTTAAATTTTAACAATAAATATCTATTTGTAATCAGAAAAGCAAATCTTTTGAGTTTATGCTGCACAAAGCATAAAAGTGCTGCTTCTAGTTTATTGAGTTAATTTATGTCCTACACTCTCCACCCTCTGAGAGACAGGCATCTCTGCAAATGTAGGTGACATAATGCTCTCAGGCCCAATTCCAACAAGGGAAGGCTCTCCCTGCTCCCTGCAGAACTGCTTCCCTCTATTTATGTTTCCTGAGCCCCAGGAATCTGTGCCTCCTCAGGCCCAGAAGCTTTTCTTAGAATCCAGGAAGGTCAATCCCATCTGTATGGCCACATTCCAAACACATTAAAACAAGATCATCTATTATCTGGGGCTGAGACTGGGAGACACTGTTTTCTAGACCAAGTACACTGCAAATATGGAGGCAGACAATTTTTTAAGAAGGCAGCTGGTGCAATAAAAAGCTGCAGAGCCTGATAGTCCTCATCTGGAAACCCTCATCACCTCAAATGCCTTGGGCCATGCACTCCGGCTTTCTGACCCCTGGTCTCCAAAGGAGTAATGAGGAAATAATGCTCACCCCTGCAGCCTCTGAAGGCTTGACTGCTGTGGCCTTCACTCTAAAATGGAAAAGGCAAGCACCTGGGTCCTTGGCACAGAACCCAGGACAGGACTCGTGGAAGCAGCCAGCTTAATTCAGGTCTGTGGGCTGTATGGAGCAAATACTCGCAACCACTAAGGGTAACTATATGCATCTCCCATGTGCCAAAGACTGTGCAATGTGATCTGCATGCATAAAACCAACATCAGGTGTCAGAACAATGGCAGGAGGACTAATACTGCTAATAACATCTTTATTTTTTATGTGAATGGTCATGGGGCTGAGAAGGTGTCCCATGGCACTGGCCTTGAAACCAGGTATTCTGACCAAACTGTGAGCCACTATGCTCTGTGCCTCCCAGCATGAAGTAAGGCATGAACCCATTTACACGCTGAAGGGACCTCGACATTTAAAAAGGTGCAATAGTGTCAATACCTTCTGAAGTTCCTTTTTTAGGGCTCTTTATGTCACTCTCTGACTTACAGAGTATCCATCATACTGGAAATTGGGTTTCTATCTTGAGTGCCCAAATATTGTTGCCAAAATTTTCTAGCCTGATATCTTTCTAAAATTTTTAAAAATAAAAATTTTAAGGGCCTTTCTTTTAACAAAACATCATAGCTACGACCATGCATAATCTTTCTGTATGTCCAATAGAAGGATCAACATTAGAAGTCAAGAGAATGCACACTCAGGACTGGGCCTTGTGTATATGAACAGCAGAGTCCCCGACTCCAGCAGGGAGCCGCAGGGCTTAGCAGCTCATAACAAACAGTACTTACGATGTCATGACAGCTGACTCTCAGAGAGCACCAGTGGACTGTTCAGTGCTTCATACGCTCTTCTCAGAACTCCTGACTATTATCATCATCATCCCATTGCACAGATGGGAAAACCAATGAGGAGGGCATGTAAGGGTCTGCTCACTGTCATGCAGTAAGTGTCAGAGCCTGAGTCAGCCTGGCTGCACCCCTCCACTTCATCACAGCTCTCCTGCCTCCACCTCACCAACCTGGCCACATGTGACATTGGTCTGTTCCGTTCTCATTTTTACACTCCCTTCCTCACTAGCTTCAAGCCTCAGGTGCCCAGGATACAATGCTCAGGCACTCTCTGAGTGAGCACCCACTCTAGAGGAGATCCTCTCTCTCAACCCAATGGCTGCCTGTCTAGAGGAGTCCGTGGGGTAGGGTTCAGTGACTGGGGATGTGTGCCAGGAAAACAAATTACAGAAGGAGGCCCCTTCTCAATTCCCTTTCAACTGCACCATGCAGGAATCTACAAACTCAGCTACCAGACCAAGTCTAGTGAAAACTCAAGGAGAAGACCCTGTGGATGGAGATACTGGTAATTATGTGGGGCTGCAGGGGGGACACTCTTCTGGGAGGGAGAGAGCTGCTGTTTGATGGACTTCTGTGAATTCCATTCCTTAATTTTGTAAAACAAAGACACCGAGCAAGTCATCTCAAAGGTCCCGCCCTTCCTGTTCTGAAAACTCTGTAATTCAACTTGCACACAAAGCAAACACATATTTGATAAGCACATCTATTTTTCAATGGCTGGCCTGACTGTTATTTTCTCCAGCACTAAATCACCCGAGATTAAGCACAGTCCGCTGCACGGCAGCTCACACGGACGGGGCAACACGACACAGAGCCTCCAGAGCATCCGCTTGTTGCTGCAGACACAGGAACAACCATTACCTGTGAGTGCTGCGGGTCCTTACACAGCAGCTACCTGACAGCAAACAGCTGTCCAAGGCAGGCAGGACCAGATAGTGAGGTCTCAGACAGTGGGAGAGGAGAGCAGAGAGATGAACATGGACACATAAAAATAGGATAACAGAGAAAACATGAAAGACACGCCCTGCCTCATTTGCATTTATTTGGAAATGCACACACACAAAGAAGCATTCTTTATAAGACTCAAATCTGGGAGACCATCCCCCCTAAAGATTCCCCAGTTCTGTCAGAAAGGAAGTCAAAAACTAGTAAACTGAGTCATAACAGAATGACATGGCTGGTGTGATCCAGACACAGAAGCCCGGGGTGAATGGGACATCAGAGGGTGCTTCCCGTAGAGGGCCAGGTGAGAGAGGAAAATGATGAGACTCTTTAAACTCCACAGTAAAAGAACTGTTGCTTCATAAAACAGTGAGTGCGTAAGAAAAGTTTATTTAACAGGTGTGACATCAGCAAAAGTGGTGGAGCAGGGACCTCTGGGGTGTTCCTCCTAAGAAATGCTGAAAAACTTGACAAAAACTGGCAGAATCAACCTTACCAGCATGCCGAAAGATAGCCACAGGGTTATAACAACCAAGGAATGTTTGCCACTGAAACAGGACAGGAGAACACTGCAGGATTTTAGCTTGCCGTAGCTCTGCCCCACGATGCAGTACAGCAGCCATCTTGAATAGGGCAGGCCGAGTTTCCCATGTGGACATTTCTGGAAAGAGCAGAGTGGATCTTATACCCAAGGAACCACGTTTGTTGGTTTTGACCTGACAGGGGTTTCCCTGGAAAGACATATGCAGGGAAGTGACTCACAAAGAAAATGGAAAATCCGAACAGATCTAGAGCAAACAGCGAGGTTGAATCAGTGATCAAAACTTTCCAGCAAAGAAAAGCCCACGATCAGATAGCTTTTCTGGGAATCCTACCAAATATTTAAAGAAGAATCAACACCAGTCCTTCTCAAACTCCTCCAAAAATAGAAGAGGAGGAAACTTCTAACTCTTTCTATGAGGTCATCATTACAAAGCCAGGAAGAGACATCACAAGAAAAGAAAACGACAGAACAATATCCCCTATGAATATATATGCAAAAATCTTTAACACAATGCTAGCAAACTGAATCCAGTAGCATGTAAGGGATTATACATCATGATCAAGTGGGATTTATCCCAGAAATGCAACAGTCATTCAGTATACAAAAAGTTAATGCAATACATCACATTAACAGAATGAAGAGAAAAACAAAATGATCAATTGATACCAAAAAAGGAACTCACAAAATACAGTATCTGTTAATGATGAAAAATTAACTCAATAAACTAGAAGCAGAACTTCCTCAACATGATAAAATGTATGAGAAATCTGCAGCTGACATCATGCTCAATGACAAGACTGCACCCTTTCTCCCTTAAGAACAGGAACGAGACAAGTATGCCCTCTTTTGCAACATTTTACTGGAAGTTCAAGCCAGAGCAATTAGGCAAGAAAAATAAGTAAAAGGCATCCAAATAGTAAAGGAAGAAATAAAACTATCTTTACTTACATATGATACACCCTTATATGTATAAAATATAAGAACACACCCACAGTTAGAGCTAATAGACAAACTCAGCAGTGTTGCAGGATATAAAATCAACTCAACAAAAATCAGTTGCACCAATTTCATATGCCAGCAATAAAAAGCCTGAAGAGGAAACACACTAGCAATAAGCAAAAGTAGGAAAACTATTTCATTTACAATAGAGTCAAAAATACTTAGGGATAATTTTAGCCAAAGAAGTACAAGTCTTGTATACTGAAAATTATCAAATGTTGAAACATTTTTTTAAAACACAAATAAATAGAAAGACATCCTAGATTCATTAGTAAAATGTAAATCAAAAACACAATCACATACCTCCTCACAGCCACTAGGATGACCATGAAACTAAAATAAAATAAGTGTTGTAGAGGATGTGGAGGAATTGGAACCCTCATAGGTTGTTGGTGGAACTGTAAAACGGTGCAGCTGCTATAGAAAACACTTTGGCAGTTTCTCAATCAGTTAAACATAGAATTCCCATATGACCCACAATTCCACTCCTAAACGCAGGTGCTGCTCAGCTTACAATGGGGTTACCTACGGATAACCCACCATATGCTGAAAATACTTTAAGTAAAATATGCATTTAATACAACTAATCTACCAAACATCATAGCTTAGTCTAGCCTACCTTAAACATGCTCAGAGCTCTTTATTAGCCTATAGTTCAACAAAATAATCTAACACAAAACATACTTTATAATAAAGTGTTGAATATCACATGTAATTTATTGAAAGTGAAAAACAGTATGGTTATGTGGGTACTCAAAAGTATGGTTTCTACTGAGCGTGTAGTGCTCTCACTCCATTGTAAAGTCAAAAAATCTTAAGTCAGGGACTACCTGTCTATACACAAAAGAACTGAAAACAGGTGTTCAAACAAAAACTTGTACACCGATGTTCATAGCAGTTCTATTTAAAATGGCTAAAAGGTGAAAACAACTAAAATGCCCATCAACAGATGAATGGGCACACACAATGTGGTATATCCATATAGTGGAATATTATTAAGCCATGAAAAGGAATGAAGTACTGACACGGGGTGCAGCATGGATGAACCTTGAAAACATGATGCTGAGTGAAAGAAGCCAGTCACAAGAGGGAGGCCACATGGCATATGATTTCATTCACATGCAATATTCAGAACGAACAAATGCACAGAGGCAGAAAGCAGATGAGTGTTTGCCGTCCTGGCAAGATGTCCTCCCTTCGCATGACCACAGCCTTCCTGCATGATCTGCCACTGTGCCCTGTGCTCGGGGGTCTCCAATCCAAGAGCCTCTCTCCCCCGCCTACCCTGAGGCCTGGCAGGGGCTGCTACTATGGTCACACACGGTAGAGTCCTGTGCAAACACATGCTTGTCTCCGAACTGCCTTTCAACTCTGAGTCTGGTTCCAGGGCTATGGACCCCGGATGTACCCTAGAGTCACCTGGGGAGGTGACTGAACCATACTAATGCCAGCCTGCCCTAGAGACTAGACTTAGAATGTGGACAAGAAGCCTCTGGTGTGCTCCCCACAGAGGACACTGCAGCCTGCACCCTCCTCCCAAAGTGTCTATACCATGGGGACTGCAGGCAGCAGGTCCACCTCGCTCCTCCCAGTTGCCTGCAGACGAGCTGTCCTCTCCAATCCAAGGGAATGTCGCGCTCTGTGGATTCCGCAGCTGATTCCCCAATGCTTGGCCACCGTTCTGCCTTCCCTGCGGCTCCTCCTGACCCCAAGGCCCTGCTTCCTGTCCATTCTTTGCACCCACAAGTCTGGTCCTTCCACGGTCCTTCCTGCCCTATGGCCCCAGCTCTTATCTTCCAGAGGATGTGCCTGGTCATTGCCCAGGCCTTAAGAACCGACATTCTGCTCTCAGACGCCCTGCTCAGGGCTCCAGAGCCCGGCGCCAGCCAGCCTGACACCCCCAGGCTCTCCCGTGTTCATCGGGCTTCAATGCCCTGGACCCGGCACAGCCCCATTCCCCTCCTTCCCAGCCAAGGCTGTGATCCTCCCCATGCATCTCCCCCATGGCTCACCCCGTCTCCCTTCAGAGTCCTCTACTGCAAAGTGCAGCACCGCTTCCTCGGGCACTCACATGGCTTGGCTCTGCGTCCCCACCCAAATCTCACCTCCAATTGTGAGGGGCCTGGTGGGAGGTGACTGGATTTTGGGGACGGTTTCCCCCATGCTGCTCTCCATAGTGAGTTCTCAGGAGCTCTGGTTGTTTACCTCCTCAGGTGCTCGCTCTCTCCTGGCCACGTGACGAAGAAGCCCGCTTCCCCCTCGCCTTCCACCAGGATTGTGAGTTTCCGAGGCCTCCCAGTCAGGCTGTTAGGCCTGCGGAACTGGGAGCCAATGAAACCTCTTTTCTTCAAAAGTTGCCCAGTCTCAGATAGTTCTTCACAGCAGTGTGAGAACTGGACTAATACAGGCAGTGTTCACCCGCAGCCTGCCCGGCACACAGCCTCCCCAGTTGGCCAGAGTAAAGCCCCTGGGGCTGCAGACTCCCAGCCCTGCCTCCCACGAGCGCCTGCCCTCTGAATAGCGCACCCTTTCCTTCTCCTGGGGCTTCCCCAGAGCCCTGGAGGCGCCAGGACGAGGACCCCACCTTTAGCCACCACTTCCCACTCCTGGCCCGCGCCCGCCCCCGCGCCCGCCCCCGCGCCCGCCCCGAGCACTCCCAGAACGCACCGCGGCGCCCATCTAACAAACGTGAGCCCGCCTGCAAGGCTGCCTTTCCAGGCCCACTCACACCCTCAGCTGCTTCAGGCCTCTCCACACACATGCGTGCACACACACACACACACACACAACCACGGCACATCACACACACTCACACACACACTGCAGCACACCACACACAAACACCACAGCATATCACACACTCATATACACATGCACACACACAACCATGGCACATCACACACAGAGACACGCACATGCACACACACACTCCACAGCACACACCACACACCACAGCACATCACACACACACCACAGCACACCACACTCACACATGCACACACACACCCCATAGCACACCACACACACCCCACAGCACATTACACACACATACACATGCACACACACCACACATAATCACACTCATATACACACATCACATTCATACACACATGTGCCTACATATACACACACCACACACTACAGCACACCAGACACACAAGTACATGTACATACCACACACATACATGTACACACCCCCACTCATACATTCCACAGCACACCACATATGCACACACAGATGCATGCACAGCACATACAATCTCACACATTTGCATACATGCATACACACATTCACCCTGACATGCACACACCTCAGGCCCTCCTTACTTCCTTTTCCTGCTTTACTTTTCCACAAAGACTTTATCACCATGTGGCATGTTCACATGTCCTTTTTAAAAGTCATCTTGGCCCACACTTTCAAGTGTCAGCTCTGTGAGTGCACAGATACTGTTCTGTGAACCACTGTGCTGCCAGCACCCCAAGGCGGTCTGACACAAGTAGGCTGTCAATAAATGCTCAGTGAGCCACTCATCCTACAGAGCTCAGAAGAACACGAACTGTGGACCCCGAGGTGAAGCATGCAGGCCGGGATTCCACTCAGGCCCCTGCCCTGGCACCAAGTCCCCAGAGGTCAAGGCTCCCATGCCCTGGCATGGCATAGACATGCCCGCTGCACCTCACTGAGCAGCAGCCTCGCTCGATGTCAAGTGTGGTTTCGATCAGCTCAAACTCCCTCGCTGCTGAAGACGCAGACTGGAAGGGGCCTCTCAGGTCACGTCACCCATCTCTCAGTCTCCAGTCAGTCCAGCCAAGCACGGGGGCTGGCCCCGTGCAACCTGTTACTGTGATGGCTCATGAAGCAAGAACTCAAAGATGTGATTTGGGCACTGCGTGTTTTCTTTGGCCTGCAGACACTTTCTGGAAACGGAAGTCTGGGCTCCCCAGAGGGGTTCCTTTCCCTGTCCCTGCCCTTGTCCTGCATCCAGCTATGGAAAGAACCACAGACACAGTGGCCCACAAGGACGACCTGAAGGCAAGTGCTTCACCCAGCAGGCCTCAGAGAAGCCAGGACAGCACCTCAGAGAGAGCCTCCAGAACTCAAAACTCTCCCCACCAGAAACTGCTACAAACAAAACATTTTCAATCTGACAGAAATAAATCAGCAAATCCAGGCAAACCTGAATGTTTTTTGCATGCTTTACCTAAGCAGCAGCAATTCAAATAAACCGCCCATTGAAAAAATGCTTGTGGAACTAACCTAAATGTATGTTATAAAGCTTTGAATACAATAACTTCATTTTTGTTCAATTTCCTTTCCATGTTGACATTAATTACAGTTTTGACAACTTTCCATTGTATAGGACTTTCCAATTTGAAAAGTGCTGTCATACATATTATTCTTTGGATTTTCAATACATTCTGGCAGGGGAGGCAGGGTAGTAACTACAGCGCTCATTTTCAGAGATAAAGTTGGACTTCCCAGTCTAAGCTCAGAGACGTGCCCGAGTGACACAGACATGGATCTGGAACTGCACCTCCCCCACAACCCATGCTGCCTTTGTAAATGCGCAGAACTCTGACCTGCTCTGTCCCCAGTAGGAGCAGGCTGCTCACAGATGAAGGGGGGTTCTTTCTTCCACCAGTGACCCTTCCTCCTCCTGCTCCTAGGGAATATTTTATGAATTGTTGCCTGGCATGTCGGATCCACAAATATTCATTTATCTGACCCCTTACTCCCTCTACTCCATGTCCTTTACAAGAAAAAAAAAAAAAAAAACTGCCAAAACTCCAAAAGGTTCAATTTTGTTAAACTGTATGTAATATTTAATCTTAAAAACCAAGGAAAGTTTAGAAGCTGATAAAACAGGAAGTTCTTACGTTGAGCTCTGCCATATATAATGCAAATTTGGAGTTGGTTTTAAGTTCTTCAATGAAATGTTTAAAATGTTAGTTACTATAAAGTACACAGGTCACTATTCTGAATCTAAAAGCAGGATATATCCAAAGAGCATAGATGATCATTGTAGATTTGCAGAACATAGGAAGGATTTCAGTATACTAAAATAATATGCTAGGGAGAAAAAATAAGCTGAACAATTTTTATTGTATTTTAAAATTAGCATTTTGATATTTTCAAATTAACTGAAGCTTGCTACCTCCCTCCAATGCAGGCCTGTGTTGTTTCATTCAATCTCTCCCTATCATAGTTCATAAACAAAAAAAAGTTTGTTATTGATCACCAGATTAGCAATTTTTAAGTTAGAATAATTGATGTTATGCAGTGATTGTCAGAGGGAAAACAGCAACCTTCTACACTGTTGATGGGAGTAATTTGAGACAATATATTTCAAATTTTTTAAAATGAAATTTTGCAGTAACTATACAAATATAAGTGCATAGACCTTGAAAACAGCAGTTGAATTTCTAGGCACATATCCCAGAGAAATATTCCTAAAAGTATTTAAGGGTGCCTGTGTAAATATATTTCCAACTGATTTGTTTGGAGAAAAGCTGAAGACACCATCAATAGCACACTGGTTAAAAAATAGCTGGTGTACCAGTGCTATAGGTTATTTTGCCTCAATCAGAATGAGGCAGATCTATTAAGTCTGTGAAAGGTGATCTGTTATGATGCAAAAAATTACAAATAACAAGATCACAGCCTAGAGATGTGACATCCCATGAGGTCAGACTCCCCTCCTCTCCAGCACTTCCTCCAGGGTTCTCACACAAGTGTCAGAATGACTGTTCACACCAGCCTTGAAATGAAACCCTTATTTGCCCTCTTATGTGGTGCATGATACTCTCATTCAAACATGCACCTGCTGAGTATCGAATAAGCCTGAAGTGCTTCTTGACGAATACTGCCAAAAGTCACTTCTATGAATTGCTAAGATCAGAGGCCCTTCAACTACTGTACATGTCCCAGGGCCTGTGGAAGTGGCCCCTAGGGCTGGTGCTCACACAGAGAATTAAGAAGACACAGTGTCAGAAGGAGAGCCACGTTTTATGTTGATCCCATCTGTTTGCAGGGGGCTCTGAAGAGCCCAGGAAGCAGCTCTTCAGAGAGAGTGGCACCCCCCTGGAGACCCTGGCCTCCTGGCTTCTGCAGTGATGGAGGTCAGTGGTCAGTTGCTGAATCCAGGTAAAACTAGCGTAGAGTCTGTTCCATGTGGCTGAGGACGGTTTTCCTACACAGTACCCAATTTGCTAATTATTTGGTCCCCATGACGAAAACAGACATACTTAGTTAACTACTGACTATAATGGTTAAAGACTGAACAGTCTTTCCAGAAGGTTCTCTGACTCTTGTGCCATGCAGCCCCAGGCTAGCCTGAAGTGCCCAGGTTCACATTCATGGTTGTACCACCAGGACCAGTCTTCTCAGTGTTTGCTTATTTGTCTCACTACAAAAGAACCTTGGGTTAAAGACTGAGGCAATCTCCATCATATCTCAACATTCTGGCTGAGGGTCAGGGCAGAATAACCTCCATTTCCCATTTGGAGGCACCTTGCCAGGTAGAGACACACACACTAAGAATTTTGTCTTTCTAAAAAATAAGAAATGTGCCTGGAAAACTCAGAAGCAAAAATGAAAAAGAGGCTGTAACCAAAGGTCTAAGAGAGACACAGAACCGCAGGATTTCAGAGGCACGTGGGATAATCCCAAAAGGCTCAAGGACAAGATGGTATTTGAGTCTGAACTGAAAGAATCAACATTCCATCAGTTTATCTGAGCAGTTCAGCTGGAGGATGGAGCGTGAGCAAAGTGGTTGAGGCAAGACGGCCTGGATGAGATGAAACGTTTGCCTACTGGGACCCAGGGTTCTCAGGTGGGGTGAGGCCTGAGGCTGAGTCTCTCCACTGTGCCTCCAGCCCAGACACCAAACCAGGCTTCCCTGCACACACTTTTGCTGTGGATGATGTGGTGACAAGTCATAGGTGGACTGTGATCATGTAGACAGGGAAAGGTTGGCAGCTTACCTTCACAGCATGTCAACACGGAGGCTTATTGAAGAAATATAAAGAAAGAGAAGTGTGGGAAACAATTACCTATTTAAACACTGCTAACGGGTATTTGAAACACCCATGCCCCACATACATGGTGAACACATACTGCAGATGGTACCTGGGGCTTTGTGACACTGTTTGGAAAGAATGATCCATATGTAGATTTCAACATCCTTCATGAGGCCATGGTTTTTTGGCCATTGCATATAACTGCAGGCACTTGGAAGTCATGGGAATTAATTGAAAATAGAAAAGTTGGCTGGGCACGGTGGTTCATGCCTGTAATCCCAGCACTTTGGGAGGCCGAGGCAGGTGGATCATGAGGTCAGGAGATCGAGACCATCCTGGCCAACATGGTGAAATCTCTACTAAAAACATAAAAATTAGCCAGGCATGATGGTGTGTGCCTGTAATCCCAGCTACTCAGGAGGCTGAGGCAGGAGAATCGCTTGAATCCGGGTGGCGGAGGTTGCAGTGAACAGAGATTGCACCACTACACGCCAGCCTTGGTGACAGAACTCAAAAAAAAAAAAAAAATCAATAGCTCTTACTTTTCAAGAATCCAAATTTTACCACTTGTCGGTTCAGATGACTAAAATTTTGATGCCACTTCCTTTCTGAATGAAAGTCAGGAAAAAAATGATCTTAGCCTTTGTTACTACAGCATTTGTTAATGCTTGTCTGCAAGTATCATTTGAGTCATAAAAACTGCCTCTATTTTTCCCTGCCTCATTTGTGTTATGCTAACAAGCCTAGAGCTTGTAAGTTATCACTAAAAACATGAAAATGTATTTTATATAGTTTAGGCTGGTTTGATCTTTACCTTATGTGATAAAATATAATGATGAAACAAGCTGCACTACACAGACACACAGACAGCCTTTATAAAGCACAAGATAAATGGTTAACGGAGAAAACTTGTAGTCCTGAGAATTCTGTAGTAGAAGCCAAGATGCAGGGAGTTCGGGGAGGCTCACCTCTTGCAGCAGAGAAGGCATGAGTGACAGAGAAGCGGGAGCAGGTCCCTCAGGGAACAGAGCTCTAGCAAGCATCAACATTCCTGCTGCTGTCCTGGCTGGTCTTCATTCACCAAGCCAGGGTCTACTGCGGCTTTCATTGCAGCGGACTTTAAAAGGCATCTGTGGTTCCTGGCAGTCATTTCTTATCCTACTGTTCATAAACTAAATGAGTTTGCTTTCTTTATCCTTTCCACATCAATCACGTTCTGCAACTACGGAATGACTCTGTGGTTTTATCGTGATCTTGAATACTCCACAACATCCTTCTTCAGTTGTGGGGGTGGGACGCAGACCCAACCCTTGCCCAAGTGGCTTCTAATCAGGTTCCATTTAATGCAGGGCACCCCTTGTCATGATTCCTCTCATAACATTTCTGATCTGAAACATTGCCTGCAGAATTTTTTTTGTCTTATTATGTTTAAAATTCAGCTATGAATGCTGATGAATGTCATACAAGCTCGTGCGTTCCCCGCATAAATGCAAGGTTATGCATTTGTGGCATTCTGGAATCTTTCTTCTACAATTATACCTGCAACTTCATTTCCTTTCATGAAAAGCAGGAAAGAGGCTTCATGTGAAATTGGGTGGCTTTTCAGGTCAGAGGTCAAATGCACTGTGACTTATTTTTCCACAGTGTTTTTGTGCCTGACACTTGTTGACCCTGTGAATCAGCATACAGGACTCTCTCCGTCATCTCAGGGAGGACACAGCCACAGGGTCAGGGCCATGTCTGAACCTACCTCCACCAGAAGCAGGCAAGGGAATCTTGACCACAGAGCTTCTCATGATGACAGTGAGGCATTTTATTTGTAATGTGATGTGACTGTGTGCCTTGCTTCACTACTAAACATTCACCAGGATGTGTTCAGATAAACACTCTAACTTAAGCACTCTCTGGGTCCCCAAGAGAACTCTCACTGAAGATTAGAACTCAATTCAGTGAAATGTAACCTGTTAACAGCCACTGGAGGGATCTACCACACCAGGAAATATAGCTCCAAGAGCCTCCTTTCTATTGAAAATCGATGTCATACCCATACGGGAAAAGCATGAGCATCTGCAGTATGTCTCCTGGGGAGCGGGGTCGACCACAGCAGCTGGATTCAGTCACAGGCTCTCAGCCGCTGGTTCTGGGAAGCCCATGTTGTTGGTATCATAGTGGCATGGGAGGGGACTCGGTCCTGCCTGCCACTCAGTGTTTACTCCAGCTCCCTTCCCTCCTGGCCCATGGAGTAAGTCAGTGATCCATACTGCGTGCTGTGACATCCATTTGGGGCCAGCCTCCTCTGCTGCACCCACACATTGATAAGACATAGCTGTGTGGCCAAGAACTCCTCAAACAATGAACATATTTTTCAATCAATGAATGTATTTCTATTCAAGAATAAATGAGTGAATATTTAATAATATTCAATAATTTATTAATATTTAATAAATTTCAAATGAATATTTAATAAAAGTACAATAGTTAAGGAAACTACTAATTCTACCAGAATATGTATTATAATTCATCAGTTTCCCAACCCAAAGCAGTCTAATCTAGTAGGAGAAGCACTCAGCAAAACATGAGAATTAAAAGATCCTAGTTCTATCAGTATGTATCTAGCATCCTTGTAGCCTCTGGGCCCCAGCTTTCTAATTTGCAAGCCACCTGTTTGTGGGGGGCAGCATCTATACCTGTTAGCTTTTACTATAACCAACACTCACTGGCTTAAAGCAACAGCCATTTATTACTGCTCAGGAGTCTCCAGGTCAACTTGTGGTCCTGCTGATGTGGGCCAGGCTTAGCCAAAGTGGGCTCAACTCACTCAGCTGTGTGCCCTCAGCCACCCGTTAGGGACCATTTCACCTAAGAGGACCTGAGTGGGGTGGCCTGCCTCTTCTCCGAGAGGTCTCTGTCCCCCTCCCCACCACCACCCCCACCAGCAGGCTAGCTTGCCTGGTTTCTATGGTGGTTAGAAGGGTTCCAAGCAAGTCACTGGGAACCACAAGGCCTTTTGCCTCCCAGGCTTGGTGAGGGCTAACTAGCACCAGCTCCTCTTGTTGGAAGCAAGTCCCAGGGCCAGAAAGAGACTTGCCTCTGGATGGGAGAGATTGGAAACTCACACTGTAGAAGAATGTGGACAGAGGGCCATAACTGTGGCCACTGCTTATAAGCAATCTCTTACGGTGTCTTATCACTCATTCTCCAGTGTGTGTTCCTGGACATTTCTTTTTTAAAACTTTTTAATTTCATTTCATTTTATTTTTAGAGACAAGGTCTCGCTGTGTTGCCCAGGCTGGTCTCAAACTCCCAGCCTCAAGTGATCCTTCCACCCTGGCCTCCTGAATAGCTCGGAATACATGTGCAAGCCATCATGCCCAGCTTAATCAGAATGACTATAAATCATGTTTTGTTTTCTGGTTTTTGGTTTTTTAGAGATGAAGTCTTGTTCTGTCACCCAGGCTGGAGTGGCTCACTGCAGACTTGAATTCCTGGGCTTAAGTGATCCTGCCACCTCAGTCTCCCAAGTAGTTGGGATTACAGGCACACACCACCATATTCAGCTAATTTTTATTTATTTATTTATTTACTTATTAGAGAGAGGTTCTCGCTATGTTGTTCAGGCTGGCCTTGAACTCTTGGGTTCAAGTGGTCCTCCTGCCTCAGTTTCCCAGTAGCTGGGACTACAGGTGCATGCCACCATGCCTGACTTTCTAGACTATTTCTGTAGCAAGATGGCCCCTTGCTACAGAAATGGTTTGGGGAGCCTTGAGGCAACCTTAGAGAGGACGCATCTACTCTAGGAAGATGACTCTCTTCCAAATGGACTTGGCTTCTTGGAGATATTGGCAGATCAGCTGGCATTTCCCCTGATCCCTAGAGATGATGCTTAGCCTGAGCCAGCCCTCAAAAGCTCCACCTCTGCATACTGAGTGAGCTGGGAGTGATGTTGGGAGGATACCTTTCTTCCAGGAAGACAATCAAAAGAAAAGCAAACCTGAGAAAGTGCGGGCTGATTTTTATTTAATTCTCCACTAACTCATCCTTAGCCATTAGAGGTCTTAATGATGCTATGTCTGAGGCTTGCATGATCCAGTTTTCAGAGCTGTTTTGGGACAGTGTTGGAGACTGTATGTTCAATTTACCTTGCTTTATAGCAAAGTGATGGCAATGTTATTATTTTTTTAATTCTGTCCATGAATAGAAGGCCCGAGGCTGGGTCTCACTGGTGAGAACCATCAAGCTTCCTGCCAGACTCCTTCAGGGGTTCTTGAAACGGCTCCACTTCCATTTGTCCCTTTTATCCAAGCTGCTTGATAGATTGTTAGCCCTCGCCAAGACTTACATCAATCCTGCAGTGAAATCTCACCCACTCCCAACACACACACTCCACACGGCATCTTCTAAATTCACTCTATTTGTGGCTTCTGTATGAAAATCACAGTGATTATCTGTTCTGCAAACACATGTGCCTCCCTGCTCCTGTTGTCCTTTAAATCCTATTATACTTAATTTTTAAAAGTATTCTGACTTCCAAAAGTTCCTCAATATTGTATAAAAACAAAATTATTTGCCTTTTTTTTGGCACTATCTTGTTGCTTCTCTACTCTTTACATATGCAGGCTCCTTTAGCAACTCCTGGCTCTTTGATTAGGGATTTTCATGAAGCCTCCCTGAGCACTGGACATGTCTCCTGAGGTGCTGCTGCCTTGCTCACACCCGACCATGCCTACAGTCCAAAACAAGTCATCAGCTGGGCCATGCTCTCTCTGCAGGGTCTGGGGGAAACGGTTCTATGCCTTCTGTCAGCTTCTGGTGTTGCCAGCAATCCTTGCACTTCTTGGCCCACAGATGCATCACTCCAGTCTCTGCCCCCATGGACATGAGTCCTTCTACCCCACTGGGTGTTTTTCTCTGTCTCTTCTCTTCTTATAAGAGGAGTTACAATGGATTAAGGCCCCACCCTACTAGTCCTGTGTGACCTCATCTTAAGTAAGTACATCTGCAATGACCCTATTTCCAAATAAGGTCATATTCTGAGGTTCCAGGAAGGATATGCATTGCAGGGGGACAGCATCCAACCCAACACTGACCACTTTACTGGCCAGCCAATGTTTACTGAGCCCTTAATATGGTCCTCATGCGAAAGACACTTCAAGCATGGTCTCCTTTCATCCTGAAAACAAAGGAATCAAGAAGACACTCTTATTATCCCCTCTTTAAAGACGAGGAGCCCCTGGGCGGTGACCAGTGACAGCTGGTGTTACATCTACAGAGATGTGCTTCTCCTATCATAGCCTCGGTACCCTTTGCCTGGCATATGTTTCCATTTCTCTACTGCAGTTTCATCTGACATCTACAGATTTCCTGATATGCTGTGGTTAAGGCATGTTTTTCCTTTCATAAAAAGAAATTTTTCCATAGCATATAGAAGAGCTAAAAACTTGGTTTTTCAAAGTTAGAAGTAAGTGATCAAAACCCCAAATAATAAAGCAAAACAAGGTATATTAGGGTCCCCCAAAGAAACGGAACCAAAAGGATGTCGAGAAAGAGAGATTTATTGGAAGGAACTGGCTCACACAATTATAAATCTGGCACCTGACTGACTGACTGACAGTGTCATTTAGAGGAGGTCAGCCTTTCATTTTTCTATCCGGCCCTTCAACAGATCAAATGAGGCCCACTCACATTGGGGAAGCCTAGTCTACTGACTCAATTGTTAATCTCATATAAAAACACCCTCACAAACACATCCAGAATAATATTTGACCAACTATCCGGCACTCCATGGCCCCCAGTGAAGCTGACATATAACACTGATCATCACACAAGGAAAGCCCCGTCTGTGTGTCCAGCCAGCATCACAGAGGGCGCCAGAGAAACAGAAACATGGCACATATTTCAGAACCTGAAGCCACCTCCCCCAAACCCCCGGCGGGGAGGCTGAGGAATGGCTGGGGTGCACAATAGCTCCCCTGATATTTGCTGGGCTGTGATGATGCTGAGAACTGCCCTCCACAGTGGCCCAATCTTAGTGCTAACTTTTTGGTCCTCATAGGACTCAGCCTTAAATACTGTTTAGGACAAGAGAGAAAAAAAGTCCTTCCTTTCATTTCCAGAGTAATCTGCAGCTGAATAAGAGGAGAGAGATCAGGGGAGCATTACAAAACCTGGCAAATCACTTGCCATCTCAGAAAATGGTTGCTTCCATCTTTACCCAATTTTCTCAAAACATTCTGGAAATCGACAGAGTGATGGGGAAGAAGGCTCACACGGGGTCTGGGGAAGATGTTCCTTTTCCTGCTGGCTGCCTTTTACCCACGAAGGTCAGCACAGAAAGCAATCAATTAAGCCATAAGGGGCATTTGCAAATTAGTTTCCATTTGTCTTGGCATTTCTAAAGATAATGCACCCCAGAATAGAACAGAACAGAAAAAAAAATGAGAGAGTAAGAGTCCAGCTGCTCTGGAAAATGCAGCTGGCTGGAAGGATCCTAACAAGCCGGTGTGTGGCTCCACAAACCCTGGGTGCATGGGGACCTGGTAATCCTAATTGTCATCTGAAGAAAGCCTGTATGAAACAGAGACAGGCAAGCACGGTTGGAACCGCTCTGCTAATGAAACATAACCACAAACGCGCTGCAACACAGTGATACCCAGAGAGGCTGGGCATGCAGGGTGCTCCCTAGAAACTCTCTCCTCCACGAACACCCAGCCACTGTCATGCTAAGACTGCCCATGGTTTGGCCTCACTGTGTGGTCTGTTCAGGAAAATTGCAGAGGAAGACAGATAGGTCAAGCATGAAACTTCAGCAGCGTTACAGAATCCAAACTCAAAGGCTATTGGGGATCATCAGAGGGCAGCCTCGGGTTGGAGCAGGTCACCTGAATGCTCAGAAACCAATGTCTTCACTTTTCATAAGGAAGATACATTAGCTTCCTGTGGCTGCCATGGCAAAATACCACAAACGTGGTTGGTAAAAGCAACAAAATGTTTTTCTCTCACAGCTCTGGACACCAGAGATCCTAAATCAAAGTGCTGGTAGGGCCATGCTCCCTCCTGAGCTCTGGGGCAGAATCATTCCCCATTCTTCCGGCTTCTGATGGCCTCTAGTGTCTGCTGACTTGTGGCAGTGTCACTCCATGCCCTGCCTTATCTTCTCTTCTGTCCACCTCTCTCTGCCTCCCTCCTAAGAACACTCAGCATTGGATTAGGGCCCACCCAGGAAGTCCAGGATGATCTTGAGACAGGTGGCTCACCGGGCACGGTGGCTCATGCCTGCAATCCCAACACTTTGGGAGGCTGAGGTGGGTGGATCATGAGGTCAGGAGATCGAGAACATCCTGGTCAACATGGTGAAACCCCATCTCTACTAAAAATACAAAAAAATTAGATGGGCGTGGTGCTGCACGCCTATAGTCCCAGCTGCTCAGGAGGCTGAGGCAGGAGAATCGCTTGAACCCAGGAGGTGGAGGTTGCAGTGAGCCGAGATCATGCCATTGCACTCCAGCCTGGGCAACAGAGTGAGACTCCATCTCAAAAAAAAAAAAAAAAAAAAAAAGACAGTTGGCTCAATGTCATCAGCAAAGGCTCTTTTATAAACATGTCAGCTGCTGCAGCTTCCAGGGATTTGGCATGGATGTTTTGGGGGACATCACTTTCCACCTGCCAAAGGACTGGGGAGAAGGTCTAGACCTGTCAAGTTCTGCCATTCTGTCAACCAATGAAAACAAAGTTCTTGGTGCCAGGGCTCTTGCTGAAACCACTGATGGCAGAAAAGAATGCAGCAGTCTACAAGATGAACACTCAGGACCAAACACCTGCAAGCTCAAGACTGTGAGGAAGCCCCCCAAATGACTCTGCAACCCTCAGCGCGGGGACACAGAGAAACTCACATGCTGCGCAAACACTAGCAGCACTTCCGTTCCGTGACTCGCACTGTGGAAAGGACCAGCACATGGTAGAACAGACACATAGCATCTGGATGACAGTTCCTTAAATCAGGACCTTTACACTGGGTTCCCCTGGACTGGAATCCTTCACACTCCTCATGATCTGACAGAGGACTTGTCCTTCAAGCACAAGTCTCACCCCCACCAGGGAGCCATCCTGATACCTCCATAGAAAATCCACCTCTTCCTCAACAAAATGACTTATACATCCTCTGAAGTGCAAAGCTCATATTGCCTTATGACACGGATTTCTTTTAATGGTCTAAATGATATGACTTTGAACATCTCCTCTAGCTTGCTTTCTGGGTTTTGGATTGTTTGACTCAGGTCCCATGAATTATTCAGAGGGCAGAATGAATTTCTTATATAAACAATATGGAAAGAGTTCTCTGCCGAATGTACAAAGCCTTCAGCTCTAGGGTTTGCCTTCATTTTTGCACTAGATTGAGGATAAATTTTATAACTTATTCATTGCATAGTCCAGCACTGAGCTCCTGCAATGTGGTAGGCACCATCCCTGATGCTAGGATGCCAAAATAAACCAAGATTCCATTTCCCTTCTCAAGAAACCATAGCATAGCTCAACCAGTGTAAAGCCTCCACACGTAATCATTTGCAAATAAAATGTCTTTGTTTAAAAAGCTTCAATATGTCTTAAAATTAGCATAAACCTATTCCACTAAATACCATGAGATGTTTTGCTCAATAAAAGAGGGAAGCCTTTCAGTTAAATAATTTTCACCTCATCTTAAGAATTATTAATAGTCAGTTATATTACTCTAAACAAATGAGAAAAAAATCACCAATATCTAAGTGAAATTCTAAAAAATTGTTTTTGAAAATCGTGTTCACATTTTACTTGAAGTTGATTGGGTTTTATTCATATATTAGTATCAATAAAAATGTCCTTCAACCTCACCTTTGAATGTAGGCTGTTAAGTCTGACCACAACTATTACTTAAAACTGATGAAGATGAGTACATGTTCTCATCATTCAAACACAGTGGCTCCTCCAGGAACTTTGGAATAAAGCCTCCATGTAATGTCCAACTCTTTAAAAACCAACCCCAACATTTCTTTTCAGCTTCACTTCCTTCGATTCGCTTTCCACCTGTGCCATCCATTCACTGCCTACACACACACTCCTGATGTGTTACACTAAATCCTACATTTGAACACCTGCTCCACCAGTTAGTGTCAGACACTAAGGGATCTCAACTTCAATTTTATTATTTGCGAGGTAAGGATAATAATAGTTGCTTCAATCTTGTAAAAAAAAAAAAAAGTAAATGCTATGGAATATATTCACACAGAGTAGGTTCTTGATAAAGGTTCCAGGATGGGCTGAAATTAGAGCCACCTCCTGGTACTCCAGCCTTGGGCAGTCCCATCCTCCGAGGAAGGGACAAGAGTCCAAGCTTGGCTTGCACAGGGCCCAGCCAAGCCAAGCTTGGACTCTTGTCCCTTGCACTGAGCGTGGGCAGCGTGTGAGACATGCTTCTAGCCAGCAGCACAGAAGGAAGCGGTCACATGTCACTCCTGTGATTATGACTGTGATATCCACCTTGCTGGAACACTCTCTCTCTTGGGGCTCTGACGAAACACAGCCTTGTCAGAAAAGGCCACGTGGTAGTCTCTGGTCAACACTCAGTAAGAAACTGATATGGTTTGGCTCTGTGTCCTCACCCAAATCTCATCATGAATTGTACTCCCATAATTCCCCTGTGTTGTGGGAGGGACCCAGTGGCAGATAATTGAACCATGGGGGCGGTTTCCTCAATACTGTTCTCCTGGTAGTAAATTAAGTCTCAAGAGATCTGATGGTCTTATTAGGGTTCTCCCTTTTCTGTCTTCCTCATTCTCTCTTTGCCTGCTGCCATCCATGTAAGATGGGACTTGCTCCTCCCTGCCTTCCACCATGATTGTGAGGCTTCCCCAGCCACGTGGAACTGTAAGTCCAATTAAACCTCTTTCTTTTGTAAATTGCCCAGTCTTTATAAGCAGCATGAAAACAAACTAATACAGAAACCAAGGCCATCTGTTGATGTGAGGAAATCCATGTGAACAACCACCACGAGGGCTTGGCAGTGATCCTTCCTCAGTTGAGCCTTCAGATGGAAACCCAGCCAGGGCCGACACCCCAATCTCCACCTTGCAGAAGGCCCAGCCAAGTCAAGCTTGGACTCTTGTCCCTTGGAATATGTGAGCTAATCCATGTGTGTTATCTTAGCCACTGAGCTTGTGGAGACATTATTAAATAGCAATAGCTAACTAGTTCACAAGGTGAGCTCAGTCAAACATGGATTTGTGCAAAAGCAGAAATAAACAGTAGAAGAAAAGGGAATCCAGGAATGTGCATCTGGAGCTATATGATAGCAGGCAGAATTATAAAGGACTTTAAGCTACAAAAGCCTGTTGAGAATTCCCAGTCACAGCTGGTGGCAGCACTTCATTAATGACCAGGTGAAGATGTCATCTCTAAGCCAAGCTTCTTGTTTCATCTGCCTTGGACACAGCCACTATGAAGCAGAAGCAAATGGCACATGGGGTGGCACCCCTGAGGCATGCTGCTGACACACCTCACTGGAGGTCCTGGAGGACCATGGACAAGAAAGACCTTGCAGAAGTACAGCCAGCACCAGGGGTCCCCTCCTCTTCCAGGCAGACATGCTGCAGGACATCTGCCAGGCAGGATCTCATGAGGCTCCATTCCTGAAGGCTGTGTGAACTCCTCTATTCCCTTTCCAGGAGGGAGTTTCTAGAGAGGATTCTGCCTCTGCTTCCCTATCATGCTTTGGATGGGTGTGCTGGGAGTCCTCAATCCCTGGACACATCAAGTCACCCCACACTCAACAGACTGCTCAGGTATCCGGGACCCTGGGCTGGATGCAGCACTGGACAGGAACTTGTTTTTGTTTGTTTGTTTGTTTGTTGCTAGTTTGGTAGTAAATGTATTTGGCCTACATTTGGAAAATAGGGTCAGTCTGACTATCTGCTGGCCAGAGCAGTGGGCTGTGGCAGGGATGGCCAGCCATATCCCAGAATTCCACATTTTCCACTCCACAGGGAACAATTTCTCCTGGGAATTAACTTTCTGGGCTGTCTTGCAGTTGAGTGAGTCCACAGGCAGAGAGAAGCGTGGCACTTCTGAGCCTGGCCCACAGTGCCTCTGGCAAACCCCCCTTCCTCCTCATGGTGGGTGGTATGGAAACAATCCTGGGGCACCTTGGGAGCCAGGGGCTGAGGAAGGCAAAGTCCTTGTCAGCCTTCTCCCTCAGGCCAGCTTGGAGACGCACTGCCCCCGACCTGTTCCTTCCGCAGTAAGTCACTTGTGCAAGAAATGGACTGGTGTCATTTGAGTCATTGTACCCTCTGGAGTCTATCTGTCACAACAATTAGCATACCCTAATAAAATGAATCCTACAGGCTGATATGAAGTGAGATGAAATGTCCTGAGAGAGGTGGTATCTGAAGCTATTTTGAGTGTCCTCTAGAATCTTGGACTAAGATGAATACCTGGGTGGTTAGGAATGAAGGAAAAAGGAAATGAAGGAATGAAGAAAAGGAAATGAAGGAATGAAGAAAAAGAAGGGTGTCCATGGAGAAGGAGGTAGGATGCTGAAGACAAAGTTGATGTACCTCACAATGTTACCGAGTGGACTGGGGACACAGAGAGAAATTCCATTCGTAATATGAAAAAATAAATAATGTATTTCCTTGCAGGCTTGAGTTTTCAGACCATGAGAAGACTCACAAGGAGAGCTGGCAGCCTTCAGGACCTTCAGGAGCAGAAGGAAGCTGTCATTACGAAAGCATGATTGGAGGTGGGGTACTTCGAAAGGCTCTTACTTTTAAGGGCGGGATGAGAAAATCAAGGCTGTAGGAACTGCAATAGCTAACCAATCAGGTGAGCTCTTTGTGCGGCTTTGCTTATGGCTTAAATACCGTCCTGATTTAGTAGGAAATGACCTGATCTATCTTCCAGCCTGAGAGGAGCTGTGGAGACTGTTTTTTCTTATCCCCACAACTGTGAAAGAGGAAAGTAATCAACTAATCAAGTAATAACTGCTCACCAGAAAAGCCATCTTAGTACGCTTGAATACAATCTTCAAGCTTAAGATACACTTTAAGAAGGTAATACCTTAACAACCCAAATTCAGAGTAAATATCCATATCTGTCTGCAAACATTACAATTTTGACACCTCTAGAAAATAGGTCTTCAGCATATCTCCAGTTGATATTGCTTTATCGCTGAGGGAGAAAACCCCAGCCTCACCGTACTACAGCCAGAGAGAGCCGCCAGGTGCTTTTGCTGCACCTGCGCTGGCCTTCCCACAGTGTGCAGACTGCCCCAGTCAGGAAAAGCAATCACATCTATGGACACGGTACTGAAAGGCAGACATCCGTCAAGCTGGAGAGCTCTATCAGGACAGGTGCACCAGCTTCCCTAATGGGAGCACTCAGGTTTGCTGTGTCGTTGCTGCATTTACCAGCAAAAGCAACAAAGCAGGTGTGGGGCAGGTATGTCAGCTAGTGTGCAATTAGCACAGGCCTTCCTCTAGCCTCACCTCGAATCAGCGCTGTCCGAGGCGACTGGACTCAGAGGGAAGAGAGGAGAAGGGGGTAGGGTGGCAAAAGGGTAGAAATGCCCCCTCCTTGGCCTCTACATGCAACACAATGCCACCAAACACCACTGGCTCCTAGCAGCTTTGGCCCCAAAGGGTCAAAATGACAATATCAACACAGCTACTACCCAGGGACCAGGGGTTGTGACTTAAACACACAGGACGCCTCCCACTTTGCATTCTCTCTCCTCTAAATGGTTGCCTAGGATACGAGGGAGCCCAGATTTTGAAAAACAACACAGACACTGATTGTAAGCTCAGACTTCCTCCTAGTTATTCAGATGAACAGGGCATTAGAAAGCAGCCACCAAGCAGGTTCTCCCAGCGCTTCAGGAGGTCCTTAGGCTGGAGAGGACCTCGCAGTCCCGTCTGCACCTGCAAAGCGGAGCTGGGTTCAGCCAGCCACAGGGAGGCTCTGAGGGGCTACCTTTGAACACAAAGGAGTGAATTGGGTAGTTCTCATTTTCTAAATTCAGAATAAGATGTGACCATCCATCACTGAAACACTTACTTTAGTGATTTATTTCCAAGATTCCTATTTTCTAAATAAATCACCCTACCAGTGCACTCCATTTCTGGCTTCCCAAATGCCTTTAGGGTCACTGCTTGCTCAGGGCCAAGAAGAAATACATTCCAGGTTTTTCATTTATACAAATTGTCATAAACCTTAACATTTCATCAAATCCTCTACTTCAATCTCTAAAGCAAAAAAGGGCAAAAATATGAACTGACCAAATATTCTTCCAAATGTTGGTGACAAGCATAATTCCATTCTTAAGGGTGCAAGAGAGGAAATTTTACTGATGTGAAACTTATATTCACAAGATTTTTCAATGAGTTTCACTCATACGTGGAGTGCAGTTGGATTGAACAGAGGAGGGAAGCCTGGCATAATGGAATGTTCTATGTGGTCACAGTCCCTCTGAATGATGAAAACAGACATTTTCAACTTGGCATATGGTCATAACCTCTTGATAATGTTCCAGAACAGTTCCTGGGTCACACCAAATGCACATCCTACCAATGGGAAGCAATATCCTTATTTGATTATCTGTCTCTTTGTATACGGCACTGAAGATACAGAGAAAGGTCCAAACTGCATTCAGGCTGTTGCAAAAGGTTTTGTTTTGCAGACAAGATGACATAAGTGGAATCTGGGCACTTGCCCTGTCCTCACGTGGGGGAGGACTCCCCTCCAGGAGCATTGGATAGCCATCTTGTTCTTCCTTGGTTTTCTGTTTTTTTCACAACACACAATTCTCTCCTTCCTCTCTCTAATTCACTTCTCTTCCTGCCTCTTCTGGGAAGGGCAGCTTGCATTGTCTTCCAATGGAAACGATAGAATTACCAGCATGAGCAGAGACAGAATGGTATTTGGAAAAAGCACTGTTCCACAATGTACTGTTGCAAGATCCACAGGCACTACTGCAAGCTCTCTGTGCCCATTTCTCCAGTGGATATTAACGACCAAGGCATCTGATTTTTGCATGTGTTTCAACATGGGTATTTATACTCTGAAAACAGATGAGCTGAATATTACTTCTAAATAAGTTCTACTTTTCCTGATAATACTAGTGATGATTCCAGATTGTGTAACATTTGGAAGATCCAGTAAAGTATACAGGTGGAAATTTAAATCATAGTTTAAATAATAATCCTGTTTCTTATAATAACGGCAGTTAACATTTTAGTTTATACTCTGCTAGCCTTTCCCTTTCATATTTACACATAAACACACTCAGACCCTTATATGCACACAGCGAAAGAGAGGAGATGGATGTGTATGCACAGTTTTGATTCCTGCGCGAGTCTCTCTGACAGTGTACAGTTACCTGATACACGGTAGAACCGTAGAAGTGCACAACATTTTAGAACTTTTTCATGTAACTCATTCATTGTGGGCCCACAGCAATTGAGACAGGAGACACAGAGAGGCTTTCAGGGTGGCCCAGGTGCCTAGAGGGATGTAGCCTGCCTCTATGTCCAGTGCTCCCTCCACTATGCCATGAATGTCTAGAACAAGTGTCTAATCCCAAAATTATACTTGACTTTAGAAAATTCACAAATATAAAACCCTGGAAGTATTACTCATTGTTAAGAAGCACTGAGCAGCTTGAGGGTTCTGTGAGCAGACCCATGTCTCAAGGGCACACGGCACCCCTGCAGCTGCCTTGTGGCACAGAACTGCAAGCTGACAAAACAAGAACGAGGGCAAAATGATTTGACCCAGCGTAAACATGCCTTCTCTTAGTTATTTCTCTCCCTTGGGATTTAGGGTCCCATTTGCAAGGTGGGGAAACAAAGTCCTACTTAAAATTAGCAGTTCCTGCAATGATGCCTGAGTGGTGTGCTTGCTGGGAAACAGTGGCATGTGGTACCCAGAACAGGAGGTATCATCTCTCTCAGAAGGTTCAGGGAGACTGGGAGAGTAAGAGATTATGGAGCACTGATTAAACAAAATGCCCTAACTGCAGTTCCCAGGTAAATGTTTTTCACTTTCATTTTTGAAGAAGATACAACTCACCCACTTCAGTCTTTCTCTTTGCAACTGCACTGCATGTTTATCACAGACTCCCTGTCATATCCATGACTAGCTAAGAGGCCCTGCCAGTGCAACATGTAAGGAAATGAGGCATTTTTCCAAGTATCAATCCATGCCTCTCAGCTCTGAATTCACCCTTCATTGACTGTTTTGTGAAAATGGATCTGGGCCCTACAAATATATCTCCTTTGCTAACTGGCAGTAAGCTTTGTCAGCAGAGGATGCTGAAGAAACATTGCCAAAAGTTTCCTTCTTGTTTCTGCAGTGCTGTCTGAGCAGACACCTGCAGCCAGACCGCTGCCACCCATACAGTTCCCCAGTGCCCAGTTCTTACAGTGCATAGGGCCTTTCCAGCTCCAGGCTCCTACAGTGCACAGAGTTTCTGCAATGCTCTGCTCCTGCAGTGTGGATGGCTCCTCCAGCCGCAGGCTCCTGCAGCAGTTTCCCCAGTGCCCAGCTCCTGCAGTGCGAGCATCTCCCCCAGCACCTGGCTCCTCTGTTACACAGCAGTGGTTATGCTTCGCAGCCAGCAGCTTCCACCAGCACCTTCCTCGGGTGATGTTTCAGTGGAGTAATTCCCCAGTGAGACACCTTCCTGTGAGCAGATCTCTCTGGTAGCTTGGAGGGTAGATTTCTGGCAGGTTTCATGGGTGCAGCTCTGCAGCAACCCCTCTGCCATCCATTGAGCCATGGCCATGATCCCTCCTTAGGTATCTATTTCTTTTTAATGTGCTCCTTTTCTCTGCTATTCCTGTATTCTTCTGTGCACTCTACTTACTAGCTAAGCCTTCTCTACTCCAATGCCTATTAGTAATTCTCTATATTAAACTTTTCATGTTCAAAGTATGATGCAGCTTCCCTCTTCTGATCTGATCCTAGCAGATCCAGGCATAAAGCTGTTAGATCTCCTGATTGCAAGCAAGAGACACCAACCCTAGCTGACTTAGAACAGAAAAGAGATTAGTACAGGATAGCTGGGTGTTCACAAAATAAAGAGGAGGCCTGAACAGCCAGGCTTGGAAGGCAGAGCCGCCTGAACAGACCTAAAGTTCCAGGTGCCTAAGCTGATGGGCTCAGCCTCCCCAAAATCGGGGCCTGAAATGGGATGAGTCAGGAAAGGGAAGGGGAGTGGAGAAAGGAGGAAAAGCTAAGGATGCGGTCTCAGCTGGAGGCAGCTGCAGCCTGGCCCACAGGGGCACTCTGGAGCACCAAGGATCACAGAATCACCCCATCTGCAGCAAAGGCCCTGGGTGTGACCCGGTTGTCGGCCACCCTGGGGAGCATGGGACAAAACCTTCTGGGTAAGGTGATTCCATGTTCTCCGGAAAGGGGCAGAGGCGAGCCCTTAGCAGGAACACGCTCCCTCCATCATACATCACGAGAGGGGACACAGAAGGGTGCGGGTGGATGGGGAGTGAGGCAAAGTCCATGTAACACCTAGCCCTGCCCCGCCAGCTGCGTAGTGAAACACAGACACGAACTTCCAGGAGAAGGCAGAGAGCTGAAGCCCTGCCTGGTGGCTTTTATCTGGGTGACCCCAGGTCCACTCGGCTCCTGGAGTGCCACGTCTTCACCAGCCCCAGATGCTCCCACTGGAGGGACGGGAGAACATTACACGACAAAATGCTCCCTCCACGGCAAAGGTGCAGCCGCAGGGAGGCTGGGCAGGGCTGTGCTATGTTTTCATGTGTGCACGTGATTTAAAACCCAGGAACAGTGCACTCCTGTACTTGCTGATATTTGTATTTTTCTTGGCCAGAGAGAAGCTAGTAGTCAGATTATCCCACCATGCCCCTCAAAGTCCTGTTGCACTGAAGTAGTATGTAGTTGTGGTTTCTGTTTGCCTCACCCTTGACATTCTATTTCTCAGCATTACAGATAGCAGCAGTGTATCTATGTGATATTCTAAAGAAATACAAATTTCTTCACTCCTAGAACTTGAAGGATTTAACGGGATAAAATCAGGAAAGGGATTATTCTGGAAGCATGCAAATGAACAAGATATCACTTTTCAAGATAGAACAGAATGGGCGTCCAGGAAAAGTGACCCACATATGACCTCCTGAATGCTGATCAGGCTCTGGCCTCTCTCTGTGGTCAGCCCACACATTCTGTAATACCTGCTCTCAGACTAAGAGGTCTTTCCCTGCACCTGTGGATACCACTTGTTTTTCTGAAAGTCCTTCTGGTGGCCTGAGGTCTACTTTTAAATGCTTCCACTTAAATGGGGCCTATTTTTCTTTTTCTTCCAGGCATATTTAAAATCATAGCATCAACTATGTGTTGGCATCTCATTGAAAGCAGTCCCAATTGTTTCTAATGTTAGGAGCTCTTTCTTGTCTCAGGTTTGGACCAGCCAGTCTTCTAGACCATTCAACAGCAACGCTGAAACAGCCCTATCCCTCCAAAAGACATAAACACAGAAAAAATGGCCACACAACTTCAAGAATATGCAGAAATGGATGGAATAACTACAACAGGTGATGACTTTGATGCTTAAAAGATACACTGTTAGTATTGAGTGAGGTTTGTATGAACGTAACTATATCATAGTAAGTACTATTAGCTCTATCAGGGCTTAGGAAAAAAAGGAGTATCAGAGATGTCTGAAATATCCTGAATATAAATGACCAAAGGATGTTTTCCAGACATCTAATGTTTAATCATTGCAAACAGCCAATGTCACTTTCGCTGATTTATTTCAGCTATCATTGAGCAACAGTATAGGAGTATGATCATGCAAAATCAGTCATTTTCTCAGAATAGGAGGCAAATGTCATCTTCCTGCAGAGAATATTTTTCCCATTAAAAGTATAAATCCAGGTTGACATGTCTAAATTGACCAGGATTTTCTCTGTTTGGAAACCGAAGTCCACACAGTGTTGCAGCTGTCTAGTTAAATTCCCCGGAGAGGAATCCAATGGAGATCAAGGCTGAAAGAACGTTCAGGTTATTTTTCCATTATTTTTCAAAAAGCAGCAAGTAAAGTGCTGTGTCCTATTGGGCAGCATTTTGGTTGTTCAGTGGTGGCAAGGTGACCCCGGTGACTGCCGGAAGGCTGCTCAGCAGGCAGCTAAGGTCTCTTCTCTTGTAAGTTCTTTGCAAACGAAAGTCTTATGCTACACATCTTTTATCAAAACAACACAAAGCACACAGAGATTACTGGAGTTGACTCCACATTTCCTTGTAAATGTTCTGGTCCAAACCCAGGGGATATTGGGAATGGAAGGAACCGAGACCCACTGGCTACTCACAGCAGCTTCTCCGGGGACCAAGGGAGAGAGAAATTGGGCTGCTGTGTCCTCACCATCGGGAAACATCCGACCAACCAGGGAAAAACACATTCCTGGATTTCTGCCTTCAATTCTTGCAATAATAATGTAACAGCCTCAGATCCTTTCCAGTTTTTAGACATAAAGATGACTGTCTAGCAGCAGGTTTTGCTGAATCCCCAGCACAGAAGCAACAGCCAAGTCCTATTTAAACGTTTCATTGTGCAGATCATAAAGCAGAATTCCTGCATCCATTTGTTCACTTAGTATTCATTCATTCATTCATTCATCCACTCGTTATGGTGAGTAAAAAGTAGACCGCCATAAACAGCCTTTCCTCCTGAGTGTCCCCATTGAGAGTGGCAGCCAACGTGAGACTAGTCACCAGCTGCCAAGGAAGCAATGGGGTGCCTCAAAGAGAGGGTGCAGGAGCCCACCACACGGCACCTGCTCCTTCTCAGGAAAAATGATGATGTCAGCCTCTTTACTGGTGACTCTATTGGAGGAACAAAATTTAACTGACTAAAATTAGTGTCTCAATTGTATATTAATTAAAAAAGGAACACAACTTGACACACGTTTAAAGATGTTTAGATGGTCATGAAGAGAAGGTGGGACTCAGTCCTGATTTTTCAGTGCACCATCAATAACCAGTCATGTATGGCTACAAAATCATAAAGTATTGCTAACACACGGGATGGTGTGCAGAGGCCCTGAGTCCTGAAAGCACCTGTGGACACCCTGCTCTGATGAGAAGGCCCAAATGAGGCCCTCCTGTGGGTTGCGTGCTGCACGCTCATTCTTTAAATAATGCTTTGGGCCCCCAGCTGAGATGAAAGAAGAGTGGCTGGAGGATGATGGAAGCAGTAAGGCAACCCCACCAGATTATTTAGGATGCTTCCTGAAACACAGGGGCTAGAGGACAGCAAACAAAGAGGCAGCTGCCCACCTCAGCCCTAACCCCTCAACAAGACCACCCAACCAAGCCAGACAAAGGCCAGAAAGCCCAGCGTTCCCTTTCCTGAGGAGCCAGTGGGCTGGGGCTCCTGAGAACGGGTGAGATTCATGGACGAAGAGAAGGGTCAGAAACGCTGCACCAAGCTCCAATTTCACATGACTCCAGCGCAACCACAGGCCTTACCGCCGGGCCTGGAGGGACTCTCACACCTGATGGTCAAGACCCGATTCAGGCTGAAACATTTCACTTCTCTAACCAGAGTGACGTGTGGCCATCTGCTTCTCACACCTCATGCTAGCCAACACTGCAAGTATCCAGTATCAAAAGCATGTTTTCCACCCTGCGCCCTCCTGGGGAGAGGCTGCGGACTTCCTCTGTACCTCCACCCTGCACTCTCTGCCACCCCACTACGTGTCCAGTTCCTTCCATTTCTCTCTCCAAACTCAAGGGATCATTTGCATCTTGAGATAAACACATTAAACGAATCTACTGCGTCTCCAAAAACAGTTGCTTGGTTGATCATTTCTCTGACTGGGGACAGCACCTAGAGGGCAGTAAGGGATGGACTGTGTGGGTTTCATGTCAACCCTGAAATGACACCCATGTCAGGAAAGGAGGCAAAAGGAGAAGGGGTGTGGGGAAGTGGGTGAGCAGGCCGGGTGGTCAGCAGGTCTTTCCTGCCTCCCAGAACAGCTTGTGTTGCTCATTCTGACCTGGGGGGCTCTGCAGGGGCGGACTCTGTGCTCATTGCAAAGATGGCAGTGATTGACGCCAGGCTGCAGGGCAACCCCACCTGGCCTGAGCTGGCTCATTCCTAAGGTGCTGTCTTAGGCCATTCTCGCAAGGCTATAAAGAAATATCTGAGACTGGGTGATTTAGAAGAAAAGAGGTTTAACTGCTCACAGTTCTGCAGGCTGTACAGGAAGCATCTGCTTCTAGGGAGGCCTCAGGAAGCTTCCTTTCAGTCACGGGCAGAAGGCGCATCACATGGTCAGGGCAGAGCAAGCCAGGGAAACAGGGGCCCACACAATCTTAAACAACCAGATCTGGTGCAAACTCAGAGCTAGAGCTCACTCATCAGCAAGGGGATGGCCCAAGCCGTTCGTGAGGGATCCTCCCCATGATCCAGATACCTCCCACCAGGCCCCACCTCAGAGACTGAGGATCGCATTTTAACAGAGATCTGGAGGGGACAAACATCCAAACTACATCAGGCACTCCACAAGGTTTGCCAAAGACACCTGCAGATCTGGATCTCCACCTGAAAACGTCCACCCGAAGACACTCCTGTGTGTCCCTGAGGCGCAGGCAGGGATAACACTGAAAGGGAAGCTGTGTTGGTCAGCTGCTTTCCACTTTTGTCATGGCTCCAATTTTGTCCTCATCTTGCAACAGTTTAGTCGGGCTTAGGCAAGGGAGTAATTAAAACTACACATTTCATCCTTTGAGCTCATTCCTCATTGGGGGGGAAAACGCATCACGCGTCACCTGCTGTTTACATTTTGCAGTGCAAAATGCCGTCTCACGACATTGAACCATGATACATGAATTTCTTTTCTATTGAAAGGATCAGCAGATATTAGTGCCAAAAAGATCCCAGATATAATTTTGGCCAAATCCACTTATTTTACAAATAAAGTAATAGCGCCAAAGAAATTAACTGTTAAATTTCTCTTTTAGGATTTACTTTATCTTTTAAACACATCCTTTACAGTTCAGTGAAAATTAATGGAGCATTAACTAGTAAGTACTAACTCTCTACACCTGGCCCTTGTGGCACCTGCACATGAACATAAAACATCTGGTTAAAGGATTGTTCACAGTTAGTTAAAACTATCTATTCCTGCTCTCAAGCTAAAGATTGACATACTCAGTGATTTTTCTTTGTTTGTTTTTTGTTTTTGTTGGTTTGTTTGTTTTTTGAAACACAGTCTCTCTCTGTCGCCCAGGCTGCAGTGTAATGGCAGGATCTTAGCTCACTGCAACCTCTGCCTCCCAGGTTCAAGCGATTCTCCTGCCTCAGCCTCCTGAGTAGCTGGGATTACAGGCACCTGCCATCATGCAAGGCTAATTTTTTTTTTTTTTTTTTTTTTTTAGTAGAGATGGAGTTTCACCATGTTGGCCAGGCTGGTCTTAAACTCCTGACCTCAGGTGATCTGCCTGCCTCGGCCTCCTGAAGTGCTGGGATTACAGGCGTGAGCCACCACACCCAGCCGATACTCAGTCTTTTAAAAGTGGTCAGGGTGAACTCACCAGCACCCACATGCCCACCTGCACATATAAGCACAGCGGAGCCAGCTCCCTCTCCTGTGACTCCACATCCACAGACTCTGGCTCCAAAGGGGAGTCCCCGTTTGCACAGCCAATAGTCCTGTGGGATGGCCAGGTCTGGAAACTCTATCACAGGCACTCTCATGGGACAGGAAGACTCAGAGAACATGACAGCTGCCGCCAGTTGCCCGGAAGGCAGCCCATGATGGTGGATGAGAGAGATTCTGTAGCACTCCAGAAGGCAAAGTATAGGGTCAGTGGACAGAAGGAAGGAGGAGGCTGATTTCAGCTTCCTGAGAAGCATCTGTTAGTCATAGGAACTGTTCAAACATGGAAGTGCCTCCTAGGGAAAATGCCAGAGCAGAGGGCAGGCAGTGCCTCTCGGGAGCACAGCAGGATTTCCACACGGGGCGGGAGAGGGGTGCTGAGGCTTCCACCAGGCCCGGATACCCTTTAAAATCCATCTGGCTTGCTACTGGAATGCAATTTATTCAAGGTTATCAACTAAGTCAGGGTCAAAGCTGGCACTGCAGTTAGCAGGGAAAAGACTTTTTTTCTCTTTGGTGGGGAGCAGGGGGATAGGAGATAGGGAGACTTGCCCCATCAATCAACTTGAGCATTTTCTTTGAAACCAGTACTGCCCATAAATCTCTACTGCTTGTGACTGGCATGCGGGAACATCACTCATAAATACATGGATGAAACTTGAGACAGTTTAAATCATAATCTGGAGGGCTTTATGCAGCTGAACAGTTTGTTTTCTAGTGAAAGGGCAAAATATGACATTTAATTTTAACAAAAAAAAAAAAAAAGAGCAGTTACCTCAATGGAGCATTGTTTTGTTACGATAGACTTATTAAAAACCCTAATCAGCCAGATGGCCAGCGTTCAGAACCCACCCAGCCCCGTATACAGTGTGAGAGCAGGCAGTGCGGTGTTCTCACACCGTTAGCCACTGGGGCATCCTCGTTCGAGTGATGCAAGGACACCATTCACTGCACCAGCGATGTAAGAGCAGACGCCTGATGAACACGGCCATGGTCGTAAAAGTACACAATAAACTCTCAACCAATTGGCCTTTCACTTCTTACCAGCATAGACAACACCTGTCTATAGGTTTACCTTATTGGGAGAAGAAAATATTAAACACAGGTAAGCAATGGCAATTGCCTCATTCTTCATAGACTCCTGTTTTGTATGATGACCTTCTCATCTTTTACATTCAAAATGTGCTACTTATGGTGTCACTCAGGAAAATTGTAGGGAGGTATGGCCATCGCCCTATTAAGTAAACTAGAGAGTATTTGGTGGCATTTAGTGATTCCAAAAAAACCTCAGAGACCTATTAGGACCATACAGAAGAAACAATGGAACTATTTGTAGTCAGAACCACTAGGAGACATGAGAGCTGAAGAGAGACATATAAAAACTAGACCAAAGCCATCATTCCCTTTATGGAGGGGAGAAAGTGTTGTGGCTATTTTCAAGCACATAAAATAACCAGTGAAAGTGGCAAAGGAAGAAAGGTCCCTCCTTCCTTACACCCTACAGCTTGGTCTCTGTATTTCCACTTAGACGTGACTCCTGCTGCCTCATCATTTGATTTTCCTTTTGGGCAGGGACTCGTCAGAAATAGTCTCTGCATCATCCCCACGCCACTTAACGTTTCACACAGAATGATTCCATCAAGTTCACTGAATGGCACGGACTCACGAAAGCATGCATCTGTTGACATTCTCGAAGTCTCAGGGAACTTCTAAAGCTGAGCTGAGTCCTTACAAGCAGGGATTTGCTTTGCAGCATGTGATAATGACACAGTCTGTTAGTTCCAAGAGCCTGTGGGGCCACCAGCAGTTTCCCAGAGCAGTTTCTGGAGCAGCATGCCACATCTTTGTGCACCAACCTGCAAAGGGAAGCTCCAACCCTGCTCAGGGGCCAGTGTGGCCAAGGAGGAATTGCACCAACAGGCCAGTGGGCTGCATTCAAATAGGTGCCACCCCACCCTTTCTTGCTGCAAAATAAAACCAAAGTTCACATTAGACAAATATGCATAATGGTCTTAGACAATCTCTTCTCCTGGGAAAGCTCTTGACAACAAGCAGTTAGATACAAAAATGTTAAAAACCAACTGGATTTTAAACTCCCCTTACTGTCACATAAATCAAAATACACATTTTAAAATAATGTAGTTGCCATTTTTCCTTATCTCTTGGTTTATGACCACATTGTGGAAAGTCTAGTGTTTAATTTTATAGCATTACTAAAGGTTATAATAAATTTCTACTTAAGAGAAGAAAATCTAAAAAGAGAACATTGTTCTTTCTTCAATAAGCTTTGACTGCACAGAGGTAGCAGGAATGGCCACCTTTTGCTACAATAGAATACAGATCCTTAAGGAAAGAGCACTCCCAGCTCCCTGGTGATTGGTGCAGACATTTCTATTCTCCGTGGTGCCACCTAGTGGTCAATAATCGAACTGTGTCTTTGTTCACAGTGAAGCACCATTGTCTGCCAGGACCCAGACCTATGCCCATGGCAGGAAACCCTTTCACTCTGCATCACTCGCCTTCATGCCATCTCAGGACCACAGTCTTGGAACACATGTCTCCTCTCTTGGACATCTAACATAGAAATGCAAAACAGTGTATGTCAAATGCCTTTAGGTTTCTTAACAGCGTAAGAGGTGAACAGTTATATTCTTGATTTGGAACTATATCTCCAATTCAATGTTTATTGATCCAAATTTTCAAATTGGAATAAAAGTGTTATAACAGCTATCAATAGAAACTTTGAAATTATAGCCAACATAGTATCTCATAACTGGGATTCAGCTTATAAAATAACAGAACGGTGATGGAGACTGCTATTTGTCCACCAAAATCCGTTTTGCCAATTTTCTACAACAGAAGGGCTGCAGGTGGGAGCATGGTCTCTGTCAGATGGGAACCCCGCTTCCAAACCACCTGTAGCTGGCTGTGGCCCCAAGACTCAGCTCTCCCCAAAGGAAATGTAGAGAGCAGTAGGGGTGCCCTTCAGGCCTTCCTGCTGGCTAGAAAGAGCATGTATGGCAACCTTTGCAGCCTCGTGTTGGGAGTGACAGAGCCTTCATTGTCTTCTGCTTCCCTGAATGGCAGAGGGCACCAGGGCAGCCTGCCAGCCTGAAATGCTCACTTCAGAGTTCTTATATGAAGAATTTCCATATTTTCCAATTCAGTGAATTAGTTTGAGCCTGCTGTTACAGCAGCTTAGCATTCCCCAAATGGCAAATCAAGATCTAAAATTGTTTTAATAGTGGCCACAGGATTCAAAGTTCATTTGTGTATAGGGTTCATTAATGGTTTTATTGGTGATGACGGTTGCATTTAGTCTAAGAGCTTTTCAGAAATATGTACTATAGCAACACAAAGATAGTTAAGAAGCAATTTTACTTTATACGATATGGCATAGTTTTATAGACAGTGCTAATCACTTATCAATTTTGATGAGGCCCGCGAACTTACTGGTTTCTAATAGACTAAATCGGTCTTAAGCACTGTATAGGTAAAGTCATAGCAAATCTCTAATCTCTAATTGTTTAAAGATGGTGGCTCCTGGTTTCCAATATGGCAATTTGACTTTGAAAAAAAAAAAAAGTACTTTCACAGGTTGCAACAAATCAAAACAATGACCAGACACTTGACATGTAGCCGGACAGTTGGGAATTTATAAATTAACTTCCCAAACTTCAAAGATGCTACAACTCCTGGTTGAGCAAGAAATAGCTCATTTCCTGTTCAACAGGCTTCCAACACTGAGTCAAACAGAGCAATCAGATGATTCAGACCTCTGCTGAGTGGCCCTAATGGACGCCTCCAAAACTTACAATGAAAAGCATACTCAAAAATCTTTACCCTCGTCTAAACTGCTCAGCAAGGCTCTGCCATCTGTAATTCTGAGCTCTGCTGTGCGGAGATAGCCTGGTGTGGACTCTTGTCCCTATCATCTCCATTCTCAGATGCACCGTAAATGGGAACACCTGGACTTCCTTGGAGAAATCAGCGCTTCTCTTATTTTGTCCCTGCGTATTTAAGATCCATGTGTTCTGATGCGTTATCATAGTGAGTCATCACAGGAGTCCAGTAAGACAGGACTTTAAAATTCAAGGCTGGCTCTGCAGATGGAGCAGATGAGCACGAAATGCAGCCTCACCACCCAACCACGGGCAAAGCCTGTATGCTTCCTCAGCTTTGAGAACTGTCGGCAGATTCACTGTGAGAGTGAGTATACAAGCCGCCTCCCAGTGGATGGAGAATGCACTCATGTCCTGTAAGAAGCCCGGTTGCAGAGGCCAATGCACACATCCTCTCGAGTTGCAATGGGAGCGGACTGTCATGACTTTCCTTCTGGTAGTGGATGTGCATGGAAACTTCCTTTATTTCTTCATCAGTGGGACTTCTTTGAGGCAAGTAAACATGGCTTTTCTATGTCTCGATTAAATGGCGAATGTCCTGAACTACACCGATTCCACCTGCTGGTATGATAGATTTCCAAAGAATAAGTACGTGGTAAGATTCCCAGACAACAACACCAGTTTTTACTTAGGAAACACCTGAAGGACATGAGCAATGGGAGCCCCGAGGGTGACCTGGCGGCCAGGACACCTCTCTCCATCACAGGTGCCCTCCACAGCCCAGAGGCCTTTCCAGGGGGCTCAGACACGTCTTCTAGGATCGTGCAGCCCCGTAGATGTATAAGGCACAGGAAACTGAGCAGACCTCAAACCACCCCATGACATTCTCTGAAATGTTTTTGTTTTAATAAATCTCAGGCATTGTACTTGTCATTTACCATTTTCTCCTAAAAATCAGAGGCATAAATCACCGTAAGTGTTGATGCCTTCCTGTAAGCTGGTTTCAGAAAACATTCTCTACTGAAACTACAAGAGCAGAAATGGTTTTAATCCCATAAAAATTATGTTCTGTGACTTTTGTCCTGGCCAGATCGGAAAACTTCTTTATTGAAGTTGTCAGCCACAATGGGCACAAGAAGCAGAGGAGTTTCATGTGTGTGAGTTAGGAAGAAAGATCCACCCTTGGAAAAAACCACCAGCTAAAAATCTGATGACCAAAAAAATGGAATCAAGGACTAAAAGCTTCAAGAAGGGGCTGGGGTTAGGGGTTCTGGCCACTGTTGGAAGGTTTATTTCTCCACCTGGACAATGGACATGAGAGCAATGTTTACTCCACACCCTGTCTCTGAATCCTTCCCTTGATAATAAGCAGGGAAGAGTATAGAGTCTGAACAAGAGGAGATAGGAGACAGGGACAATATTTTTCATTAAGGAGGACCCAAGCACACACTGCACACAGAGGAACTAGATGATGAGAAGGTGCTTTTTCCCGATCACAGTCTTGGGTCTCAAGAGAAATCAGTGAAGAATCCAGAATAGTGTGCTGGAGCCATTCTTAAAAAGCTACCCTACAAACGAGTTCCATTTATTGCAGAATAAATCAACAACTTTAATGAAAACGCTCATCCACCACCTCTCCCATCCTCACGTCCACTGGTTTTCTGTTTGCAGTGGAAGCCACCGTGGGGGGTCTTGTGAACTTCCCATTCAGTCTGAGCTTGGAGCACCAACAGCAGGATCTGAGCTCCTTCCGGCGGAGGCTTCTCACAAACGCTCTCCACACACCCCAGTTTCATTCTCCCACCAACACTGGACAACACTTCTCACTTTCTTTCCACAGCTTTTTCCAGCACTGCATGATCACTTTTAGAACATTCTTGCAAATTCTCAGGCTGGTTGTCTGGTGTTAATTTTCATTTCAGGACCTAAAACCATGCCTGACTCAAACAACGGGTTCAATATCTCAATATGTATGTTTATTTTCTTTTTTCTTTTCTTTTTTTTTTTTTTTTTTTTGGAGACAGGGTCTCACTCTGTCAACCAGGCTGGAGTGCAGTGGCACAATCACAGCTCACTGCGGCCTCAGTTCCCCCCAGGCTCAAGTGATCCTCCCACCTCAGCCTCCCAAGTAGCTGGGACTACAGGTGTGTACCACCACACCTGGCTCATTATTTTGCATTTTTTGTAGACATGGGTTTTCTCCATGTTGCCCAGGCTGATCTCGAACTCCTGGACTCAAGTAACCCACCACCTCAGCCTCCCAAAGTGCTAGGATTACAGGCTTGAGCCACTGCACCCAGCCTGTACATTTATTTTCTGTTTGTGACTATTTGTGATTTTTCTCCTCCTGCAAATTTTTAAAAAATATTACCTTGAGTTGATCACTGCAGAATGTATACATGTATCAAAGTGTCACATTGTACCTCATCAATATGTGCATTTATTATTTGCCAATTAAAATAATATAAAACTCTTTAAAAATTAAAAACCATATATTTCCCTAGTATTTCTGGGATGATTTTTTTTTCTCAATGACTTTTGAGAATGCTTTTGCTTTGTTCTCAAACCTTTGATAATCTCCATCATTACTGGTTGGGTATCCCTTATCTGAAATGCATGGGACCAGAAGTGTTTCAGATCTCAGATTATTTCATATTTGAAAATATTTCCATACAGATAATGAAATATCTTAATAATGGAAACCAAGTATAAACAGGAATTCATTTATGTTTCATACACACCTTATGCATGTAGCCTGAAGGTAATTTTATTATTCCTATGGGAACGCTGAAAACACCGTGTGTTCTGCGCCAGCGTTTGACTGTGACCTGCCATGTGAGGTCAGGTGTGGGATTTTCTATTTGTCGCATTAGGTCAGTGCTCACAAAGCTTTGGATTTTGGAGCCTTCTGGATTTCCGATTTTCAGATTTGGGATGCTCCGCCTGTATCTAAGTCTTCCATTATCTCCTTTTGACTTCCTAAATAAATACTTATAACATTAGCAAATAATGATAGCTTTAGAACTAATTTCCCCGAGTTACAGATGTAACAAGTTCAGGTTATTTTTTTGTACTGATTGGTCTTTCCATCCTTCTTAAGATGTTACGGGGTGAAAGCCCGGGACGTGCTAGCAAGCTGCTCCGGTGCGGGACACAGAGTCTCTATCACAGGCTGCTCCGGTGCGGGACGCGGAGCCTCTATCACAGGCTGCTCTGGTGTGGGACACGGAGTCTCTATTACACAGCCTTCTTTTGTTTGGGGGGCTAGTTGTTGTTGCTGCTGCTGCTGTTTTTCACAATCCTTTAAGAATGTAAAGACTATTATTAGCTGACAAGTCATTTAAAAAAAAAAAAAAAAAAAAACAGGTCTTGGCCCTTGGGCTGTAACTTACAAACTTTGCCCAGTTTCACTCTCAGGTTTGACGCTCTTGCTTTGTGGCTGACAACCATTCCACCAAGGGTCCACTCAGAGTCCCCCTCAAAACGAGGACAGTAACTTAGACTTTTGTAGTCGATCTTAATAAAGACAGGTAGTTCCCCGCTGGTCTCAGGGCTTCAGTGTGGTGCACAGCAGCTGTTCCTCCCCGCTCGATACAGAGCTCATCTCACAACCTGAAGCCCCCGGATCTGCTGAGTGTCCTTTCAGAGTAATAGCTGCTTTTGAAGCACCGTCCCTGGCATCAAGACTGATCTGTATCCATTCCATCTGACGGATCTGCAGCTCTGCGTTGTCCTGGCCAGTTTTCTGTATGGGAGTCAGGGCGGCACCACAAAATAAACGGATGCATTTCCGCCTTTCTTGTAACACTCAGTCAAGTCTTACAGCCTTGGGAATGTTGCTTCTGAAAAACGTGACTTTGGCTCTGGAACCTGTTTTGGAGGAAATTCTTTGATAACTTTTACAGTTTTTTCCAGTGTTGCTTATTTCCTTCTTCCTTGTTTATTTCTATTTTTATTTTAGATTCAGGGGGTACACGTGCAGGTTTGTTCCCTGGATATGTTTCGTGATGCTGAGGTTTGGGCTTTGATCGGTCCCATCTCCCAGGTAGTGAGCACAGAACCCAACAGGCAGTTTTTCAGTCCTTGGCCCCCTCACACCCTCCCTCCTTTTTTCTTTTTTTTTTTCTTTTTGAGATAGAGTTTGGCTCTTTCGCCCAGGCTGGAGTATAGTGGTGCGATCTCGGCTCACTGCAACCTCCGCCTCCCGGGCTCAAGGGATTCTCCCACCTCAGCCTCCTGAGTAGCTGGGATTACAGGTGCGTGCTATTTTTTTTAGTAGAGATGGGGTTTCACCAGGTTAGCCAGGCTGGTCTCGAACTCCTGACCTCAGGTGATCCACCTGCCTTAGTCAAAGTGCAGGGATTAGAGGCGTGAGCCGCCACACCCGGCCCCTCCCTCCTTTTGAAGTCCCCAGTGTCTATTCCCATCTTTATGTCCATGTGTATCCAAAATTTAGCTTCCACTTATAAGTGATGACATGCAGTATTTCATTTTTGTTTCTGCATTAATTCACTTAGGATCACGGCCTCCACCTTCCCATCCATGTAGCTGCAAAGGATATGCCTTCATTCTTTCTTAATGGCTGCGCGGTATTTCACGGTGTATATTTACACATTTTCTTTTTTCTGTCACCATTTATGGGCACTTTGGTTCATTCCATGTCTTTGCTATTGTGAATAGTGGTGCAGTGAACATACAAGTGCATATGTCGTTTTGGTAGAATGATTTATTTTCCACTGGGTATATACTAGGTAATGGGATTGCTAGTTCTGTTTTTACTTCTTTGAGAAATCTCCAAAATGCTCTCCACAATGGCTGAACCAATTTACCTTCTCACCAACAGTGTATAAGTGTTCCATTTTCTCTGCAGCCTCTCCAACCCTGCTGGCTTTTAACTTTTTAGTAATAACTATTCTGACTGGCGTGAGATGGTGTCTCACTGTGGTTTTGATTTGCAATTCTCTGACGGTTAGTGATGTTGAGGATTTTTTCATTTGTTGGTCACTTGTATGTCTTCTTTTGAGAAGTATCTGTCCATGTCCTTTACTCACTTTCTAGTGGGGTTATTTGTTTTTGTTTGTTGATTTAAGTTAGTTATAGATTCTGGACATTAGGCCTCTATTAGAAGCATAGTGAATATTTTCTCCCATTCTGTGGGTTGTTGATAGTTTCTGTTGCTGTACAGAAGTTCTTTAGTTATTTGGTCCCACTGTCAATTTTTGTTTTTGTTGCAATTGCTTTTGAGGACTTAGCCATAAATTCTTTGCCAAGGCCAATATCCAGAAGGGTATTTCCTAGGTTTTCTTCTAGGATTTTGTTATTTTGATGTCTTACATTTAAGCCTTTAATCCGCCTTGAGTTAATTTTTGTATATGGTGATATGTAGGGTCCAGTTTCATTCTTCCGCATGTGGCTAGCCTGTTTTCCCAGCACTATTTACTGAACAGAGAGTCCTTTCCCTATTGCTTATTTTTATCAATTTTATCAAAGATCATCTGGTTGCATGTGTGTTGCTTTATTTCTGGGTTATCTACTCTATTCCACTTGTCCGTATGTCTGTTTTTGTGCCAGTACCATGCTATTTTGGTTAATGTAGTCTTGCAGTATAGTATGAAATTGTGTTTCCCTCTTCTTTTGATCCAGGTTAATCTTTCCCCCAAATTGTCCACTGTATCTAGACTTTTTAAACTATGAGCATAGCTCTACATTAGGTATTTTAATCATCTGCTGATCCATTTGCTGAATCTTCTTGCTCATTTATTTTTGTTTGTCTTGATACTAGATTTCGTGTGTTTTAGAAGCAGCAGGAGGGAAGTGGCCTGCCATCATGCACCCTCACAGGCACTGTGGCACTTCTTTTGTCAAGGAGTTACAGGAGGAATGAAGGGCCTTATGCTTAGATTTTCTGTGATTCTCCAGGCCTAACACTCCACATTGGCCCACAGAATGCCAAGTTTTTCTACCACCTGTGCCACACGCCGAGGCCCCACTGGCCACTGGCTATGGTGCCACCACCTGAGGGCTGAGTCCTTTCTCTGATCTGGTCACCATTTGCGGCACGGGAGTGACAGCACCCCCCCAAGGTGATCAGAGGTGTTGTGATCAACGTAACTCAGCACTCTCAAGAGACAAAGACAGACCAGTCCCCACCAGAAATTTCATGGGGGTGGGACAGAGAACACACCATCCTTCTACCAGACATGGCATTCTTCCTCTTAGATCAGGGGGCCCCAACGCCCGATCTGTGGCCGGGTATCAGTCCAAGGCCTGTCAGGAACTGGGCCACACAGCAGGAGGTGAGAGGCGGGCGAGCAAGAGAAGCTTCATCTGTATTTACAGCCGCTGCCCATCACTCACATTACTGAGCTCCGCCTCCTGTCAGATCAGTGGCAGCATTAGATTCTCACAGGAGCACGAACCCTATTGTGAACTGCACATGCAAGGGATCTAGGTTGCACACTCCTTATGAGAATCTAATGCCTGATGATCTGTCACGTCTCCCATCACCCCCAGATGGGACCATCTAATTGCTAGAAAACAAGCTCAGGGCTCCACTGATTCTACATGATGGTGAGTTGTATAAGTTGTATAATTATTTCACTGTATATTACAATATAATAGTAATAGAAGTAGACTGCACAATAAATGTAATGCACTTGAATCATCCTGAAACCCCCAGCCCTGGTCCGTGGAAAAACTGTCTTCCATGAAACCGGTCCCTGGTGCCAAAAAGGTTGGGGACTACTGTCTTAGATGGTATCTTCCTGCTGTGTCCCCACACAGAGGAAGGGACAAGAGTTATCTGAGGTCCCTTTTATAAAGTCACTAATCCCATGTGTGGGGCCTCCACCCTCATGACTTAATCCCCTTCCCAAAGGACACACCTCCTAATATCACCACCTTGGGAGTTAGGATTTCAACAGATGCATTTTGGGGGAGACACAAAATTCAGTCCACAACATATACTATTCATCAAAATGTGTATCCATTATAAACAATGGCTAATTCACTATAGTTTATCTTCTGGATGGACATTGATGGATAGATGCATTTTGGAGGGACATAACCTCAATAAAAAAAATAAAATCAATAAAACAGCATTTCTTCTGAGATTCTAAATTGCCAGTAAATTTAGGTCAGGTCTAATCATTACCTAAAATGACTGAAAACAGGAGAGTCAACAATTGTAGCTTGTCTAGATTTTTTCCCTTTGGAATGAAAGTCTATAGAATTTAAGGCAAATGTAAAAAACAACTGCACTATGGTCATCTAATAAATACAAAGAATTTGTGGTCTGAGTCCTATTGCCTCAATTTATCTGGTTACACCTAGCATTGTATGACTTTTATGTGCTACAGCTAACAGCAGTATAAATTTGACCATATTTGGATCATTTTCCTCTTACCATATAAAATGGATAAATCTCTTCCTCTCATGAGTTTAAAAACTACATAATTTGCAATAGCAGGACCATGATATTAAACATCATATTATAAGCAAAATATGTACAGCTATTGGTAATAAATTGTAATGCTTAATATATAGTAATCAGTGGTAATACTGTATGACTACTATAAGTAATTTCCTTGTAATTACAGATAATTAGTCTATAACTTAAGAAATAGTTAATAATATTATAATTAAATTTAAAAAGTTTATAAAAATAACTTATTGTCATCCACTTGGAAATAAAACACCCAAGAATAAAAACAGCCCCCTCCAGAAGTCTGAATCTTAATAACTCAGCTGCTTCTACATTACTGAGTTTAGGTATTCGAGGAAATCTTGTTCTCCTGGGCAAATAAGGGCTTTACAGCTTTACTGGTAGTAAAACCCAGAGATCCTCCTAAGATCCCCTGAGATGCTATCTTATCCTAGGAACAGCAGGACGAAGGGCAAGGCAATGGTGTGTGGCTGCCCTGCCACCTCCCAGGTGAAGGGAGTTGGCTGGAGACCTGAACAGCCCTGCTGTGCCTGCGAGAAAGGGACAGTAATTTCACCCACCCTCGGGAAGCAGGGGAGAATGCAGTTTGGGGTCACCAGGGGGCCCCAGGGACAGAGTTTCAGGCATGAGCACAGAAGAAGGAGGAAACAGCTCAAAGCAAATGCCTTCCTTCATACAGGAAGTAAAATATTGTGTCTTTTCCCTACGGCTAATCTCTTTGTGTGTCATCAAAGAACATGTGGAGACTATCTCAGTCCATGCCCAATATAGAGACTAAATCTCACTTTAGAATCTGCATATACATAGGTATCAGAACGGGATGTACCAGAGATTAAATTTAAATCTTCTTCCTCTACCAAAAAGCTGTGTGTTTCCTCTCTGCTTTTGGAAAGGCCCGTCTCAGAACAGAATAGAGAAACCCACTTATTATAGGTCTTATTCAACATATTTCAGACAACATCACAGGCATTTGATGTATTATCTAATTAATCCACAATCAGCCCGTCCACAAGAGGGTTTAACAAATACAAAAACAGAGGCCCAGGGAGGGCACACAGGTGTCCTGCTGTCACACAGGTGGATATGACCTTTCATCCCCGCTCACTGTGCCCCTCCCAGAGCCCTGCTCTTCTCCTGGTCTAGCAGCGTGCACGCATCACTCATCCTTTCTTACTCTTCTTTCAGGGAGTTAACTATGAGCTATTGCACTAAACACATCTACCTGTTTATGCATTTCTGATGTAATTCTTAAATATATTTGATAGGTGTTTTTATTGTGCCTGCTCTTCAAATAAGGGAAATGAAAAGTGTCATGTTCAGTACTTGGGAGGGAGCATTTGAGCCCGGGTTTGCCTTATTCCGTGACCATGATCACTGGCATCCCTGCTGGGTGTGTGGCTTTCATTTCTATGGTCGGTCCTCAGCTCAGGGGAGTGATTGGTAAGGCTGCTGGGAAGAAATTGAGCTCCCAAGTTAGAAGCAGTAAGATTAGAAACTGGAAGAAACTAATACAAACAGTGTGAAGCACAGACAGCTAGCAGGTGCTCCAGGAAGATAGTGAAATTCTAAGACCATATGAGGGTTTAAATAAATGAAGCTCTGATTTGTGCGACTGTAGTCTGTGGACCCATGTAACGCGAAAGCATGAACTACCTGAAGGCAAAGACACATCAGCAGCTGGGCTGCCTACATAATTTGTGGGGCCCAGCACAAAATAAAAATGCAGGGCTCCCTAATCAAAAACGGTTACGCACATCAAGAGAGAGACACCAGAGCATTAAACCCAACCCTGCATGTGCAGGAGATGCATGCTCATGCAGCCACCCTGCCCAAAGGCAGCTCAGCACTTCCTGGGAATCTCTGAGCTTGCAAAGCCGCATCTTTCTCTAGTGTCCGAGTACTGACTTCCTCTAACAGGCTGTGCGTCCGAGGCTCACAGAGCCCCGTAGCGTGGTGGGCAGCAGGCCCCAGGGTAGCCCCCAAACACCTGAAGGAAAGTCAGGACCTGGCTGTCACAGAAGAATCCAACTTCCATCCATTTGCAGGGGGCAGGAAGGAAGGAGAGGGAGATACAGTCAGAGATGGTCAGGGTTAGGAGAACCAGGGCCTGGTGCCTTGGACTCTGAGATGAGGTTGCCACAACCTGGCACAGAAGCCACATGATGGTGACATATTTAATCCCCACATCTCTCAGGAGAGATTTAAGTATAAGGAAATTTCAAATCGTCATTGAAGACATCTTTCTTTTTGAAGGAAATTGACAATGCCTGCCCACCCGTGGGCAGCTGATTAATGTTATGATTTGATGCTATTAGCTCCAGTGGCAGTTTCAGGGGACCGAAACCTGCCTGTTTTTCTCAGACACCTAAGATCTTCATAAGACCATGGGGGACGGGTGGAAGAGCAAAGCCCCAGCCACCTGCCTGCAGGCCCTATGGAGGGACTGAGGTCAGCTCCTGGGGCTTTGGGCTCCTCTGCTGAGTTCCCAGCTGGCTCCTGCTGCCGGGGCCAGATGAACTCCCTGTTTCCGAACACATCCATATCTAGTCTGCTTGTGAGGTCAGCCGGGAGCCTGGCACCTGGAGCTTGCATTTGCCCAGAGATTCTGTCTGGACGTTCTGGATCAGAGGGTGGGCTGGCACACAAACCATGTCAGTGGCACCTCTGAGGGAAAGGAAGCCTGGGCCTCCACACCCTCTTCAGAGTAAATGAGCACATGAGAGGCACACAGCCTGCTCCCAGGGCAGTGGGGTGCAGTCCTCTGGCAGGTATGGGGCCCCTGTACTCACCCCCCTGCAGCACCCCTTGCTGGGGCCTCTCCCCAGGCTGGAAGAGGATGGAGCCCCCTCCAGACTCCCTGAGCCATGGCGGCCCTCACTCACCGACTATCTGTGTTGTACCTTGCCTGGATGCAAACGACCTATTCTCAATGCATTTTCTGGGACCCCTGCTCATCTGATTCTCTCGTTTTCTGTAATTCAGTTATTTCACAATTTAAATTTTTATCTGGGTTCAACACATTTAGCAAAATGACCACCAGTTAAAACTTAATAGATCCAAATAAAGATAAAGTGCACAATTAAAGGTTGTCTCCTAGACTAAGGTAATCCATCCTGATTCCATTTTTAGCCCAGAAATAGATTCACACTGCCTCTCCCAGATCTGCAAAGTCGGCAGCAGCCCAATAGCAAAGACAATATCATTTTCAGCTTGTCCTTTTAAAATCGACCTGACCATGAGTCTCAGACACTGAAAATTAACTGTTTTATAAGGAGGCTTGCAAGGTATAAATCTGAAAAACTTTAAACTGTGCATTGCCAAATATTTCTCAAGTATTAAAAATTCCCTTTCTTATTCACTAAACAAAGTTGATACAAAGGGAACAGCCCTTGACTTTTAGCTGAAGTTTTTCACATGCAACAGATTTATGAGAACCAAGAATCATGAACACATATCTGATTTTCATAATTAACTATGATATGACGTCAGGGCTCCCTGTAAGCCAGGCCATGGGCACACATTTTCAATCAAAATGATAGTCAGTGCCCATGAATTACAGTAATGGAGGTGCTGGGCCTCATCTTATTCAGTGATTCTACAGATAATTATGAGACCTGCGAGGGTGACATGTTTCCCTTACCCAAACATGCATAGTGCACCCTGGACTGCTAATTCTCCAATAATGTCAGCAGTATGATAACTGTAAGACTGGGAAGTCTCGGGGAATATGGAACATTTGGCCAGAATGTTCCTTCAGAACACAGCGGCCTGAAGATACCCTATATGTTGGATTTAAAATGAGTATGTGGTGGTTTATCTCTGGAGAGGAAACCAGCATGAAAAATTATGCAACAACTAGCTGAGCAAGCAACTGACACCATATGGTCCCACTGCAGACATTATCTTACATCGTCTTTCACCATCCCAGAGGATTAAAGAACAGAGTCATTCAAGAGACATTTTAAATAAATAATAAAACTGATAAAACAAGAAAGAAGTACAGTGGCAATAACACTTCATTTGATAACATCACTTTGTCTGAAAACATCAAATTCCTCTAAGTGTTTGAGAGCCACAGATGTGCCTGATTATATTCTACCTCCAAAAGAAAAAGCTGAAAGACAACGGCAAAATGAACATCCTCTTCCTCTCCAAGAGTGGACTGACATTTTAAAGGTGTGTGCCTATTTTCAGACCTCCAAAAAAGATACCTCACATATCCAAAAGGGATGTAACACCAACATGCTGTGACTTTGAAACTGGAGTTTAATGAATTTGCTATCAATACATGACAGAGCAACAGAAGTGGGAAGGATTAGCTTTCTCTTGCAACACAAAGCTGTGAATGAAAGATGGACAAGCCAGTAAGGGATGCGCACAGCACTAACGATACAGGAGAATGACCACACAGTGATCAGCACAGGCAAGGGAAGACCCGTGGCTGTCTTCATGCAGCTGGAGAATACAGGAGTGAGCCAGGGGACACTGAGTAAGGGGAAACAACTTTAAGAAGTATATAAGGGGCCAAGCGTGGTGGCTCACGCCAATAATCCCAGCACTTTGGGAGACCGAGGCAGGTGGATCACCTGAGGTCAGGAGTTCGAGACCAGCCTGACAAACATGGAGAAACCAGTCTCTACTAAAAATACAAAAAAAAAAAAAAAATTAGCCAGGTATGGTGGTGCATGCCTGTAATCCCAGCTACTCGGGAGGCTGGGGCAGGAGAATCACTTGAACCCCGGAGACGGACGTTGCGGTGAGCTGAGATCGTGCCATTGCACTCCAGCCTCGGCAACAAGAGTGAAACTCCATCTCAAAAAAATAAAAAAGAAAAAAAAGAAAAAGAAGTATGTAAGGATTCAAGGGCATCCCTTCCCTCGCCCTTCACACTTCCGTGACGCTTCCCTCGGAACTCGGAGCTCTCTGCAGTTCCCACGTCTGCCCACATCCTCCTCTGGCAAAGCAAACATAATTAGTATCACCATGTGCAGGTGAAGAGGCTGAGCCAGTGTTTCTCCATGCATTTAGAACTCATCGGCCCCTGCATGAGGACTTGGTTTTGCTGCAAAGTGAAGACAGGTGGCCTTGCAGAGCCCACGCTGCCTCCGGAGGAAAGACCTGGGCACGGGCATTGACCGCTGTCTCACTGCACTTGGTTCCCTGTCTCCAAAAAGACGTTGTGGGCTCCCTGAGGACAAAATGAGGTAATGTGTGCAAACTGGCGCACATTGAAACTCAGTGGATCCTAATTCCTTTCTCTTTCGCCTTCCATGAGTGTGCACCTGCTTCTGATAAAGTGAGGCAGAGCAACTGCTGATGCCCCTTGATGCCCAGCAATTGCAGCAGATTTACGGTTTTGTGCTCTAGCTGAGAGCTGCTTAAATTGATTGTTGCCAAAGCATATATCAATTCCTTCATTCTAGATAGTTTATCTTGCAGTAGATGCTGGGTGCACACCGGAAAGGGAAATCAGATAAAGGGACACTATTCGGTTGTGTGCAAACTAATAATGACAGAGCATAAGGAACTGACCTTCTGGAGTTTGTTCCCCCGGTGAGAGAAGTGGGTATGTTCTACCCTCATGTGAGTTTCGGGGTGTGCTGTGCGGCACCTAGCACGAGGCCTTTGCACCTGCCACTCCGTCCTGTTCAGGACAACCTGAAATCACCCCTTCGCCTGGCTGACCTCTGCTCAGCCCTCTGGGCTCATAAGCGCCTCAGGGAATTCTCCAATAGGTCTGATCTAGGCCATGCTCCTTTATATATAATGCAGCTTCAGAGCTTCTCATTCCACTTCTGAAATAACCCCTCTGACTTCTATAATAATCTGTCTCAGTAGTTATGTGAATTAATGACTACCTGCATCTTCTAGGCTTTATTTTATGGGTATTCCAATTTAAGATTACTTTTTAGTATTGATTGTTAGACTGCTGTTAAATCAAACTAAATTTGGGCTTTAGAGGCCTCCATACCAGCTGTGTGTAATAAGCTCCAATCTAACTCAGTATGTAAATAAATTGAAAGGCTAACTTATGAGTATGCTTCTGTAACAAATAATTGAGTCTCAGCCAATCACAGCCGCCAAGCTTCAGCCAGTCACAGGCGGCCAACTGGTTAAACCAGGTTCAAATAAGGCCACACTGAGTGGCAACCAATGGAGCTGTTTCTGTCCCTCATTTCCTTTTCTCTGTCCATTAACATTGTTTGACTACTTTTTGGTTGTAGTAACAGACTTTCTGAACCTATTCTGATTCTAGGGCCTGCCCCCTTCATGATTCACCCTTTGCTCAGTTAAACTCTGTTAATTTAATTTGTCTAAAGGTTTTCTTTTAACACTGGCATTGTACTTTATCATTATGTATTAAAAGGTTTTGCTTTTCTTCATTCATGCAAATATTTTATCTTAATATTTTTGCAATGGTATATTTAATATCAACATTTGATTTCAAAATGTGAAAATTATAAGTATTTTGACAACAATGGATATCAACAAGTTTGCATTTTGACATCTATTTATATTTTCTTTTAGTCAATACCTATTGATAGCTTCGATTTGCCTAAAAATATCAAAACCGTGTTTAGGGCAAGAACAGAAATCACCTTAATTTCAGAAACCATGTCTGGTTTTACTTCTAGAACAGTGACTGGCACAAAATAAGTGTGTGGTCTTCAGCTTCCAAAACAACTCCTGAATATCTCCCCTCCTGACATTCAGGCTTTGAGTATATCCTCCCAGCACACGAGGGCTGGGCCTAGTGATGTGTTGTTCCTAACCAACAGATATGGCCAAAGTGACATGACATCACTTCCGAGGTTAGATTATAAAAACATCCTCCCCTCCCCTCTCCTCTCTCACCTCCCCTGATCCTTCCTTCCTCTTTCCTTCTAATAAAGCCAGTTTCCCAGTGGAGGGGCCCTTGTGCCAGGAACTGAGCCAGGCCAGGCAAAGGCCAGGGAGGAGTTGAGACTCTCAGCCCGACAGCCTGAGAGGAGCTGCATCCTGCTGGCAGGCAGGAGACGGCTCTGGAAGCAGCTTCTTCTGGGCCCAGCCTCGGGAGGACTGCAGGCCCAGCACTGCTGCAGACTGGGAGGGACCCTGAAGCGGAGGAGCCAGCTAAGCTCTGCCCAAATTCCTGACCATATAAACTGCGAGGTAAAAAATGTGTTCTTTGAAGCCACAAAGCATTGGGGTACTTCGTTACACAGCAATAGGTAACTAACTCACACTGTTAAAAGACAAAAATTAGGACAATTCTAGAATCAAGCAATGCCTCATTCCATGAGATAGAATGAGTGTTCCAGCGAGCTGAGCAGAGGAGGGGGCTCTGCGGGCAGAAAAGGGCGGAAGGAAGCAGAAGCATGGGACAAACAGCAGATCAGCCATCTCAAAGTTACTCTCCTTTTTGGGTTAAAACAGAGGGGACTTCCTATGATACCAGCTCAGGTGAGCTGGCCCCTTCTGACGGGCTGCTGTGCTTCTCTGCCTTGGAAAATGCCTGTTTCAGAGTTCAGTTTGCTGATATAGAACATGAGTGAGTTGGTTCTGAGCTGGTCTGGTCTGCCAATGCCTAGTGCAGGAGCTCAGTCTAAACCCACGGTCTCCTATAAACTCTTTAACAATCCTTAACTGCACACTCCTAGCCTGATGGATAAATACAATATTTACATCAAAGCAACAGTCGGGGAATGTGGTGTTGTTCTGAGTTGTAGAAAAACTGAGGGTCCCACCAAATTCCATCTAATCAACAATTCTGCCTGGGCTTTGTGAAGGAAGGCTTTACTGAAGAGATGGAGGGTATTAGAATGGGGCTGGAAAGATGGGGTGGGGGGAAGAGATTCCAGACACAGGAAGGAGCACGAGCAAGTTAGGTTCATATAGAACAAGACAGTTATTGAGCATCTGATCAGGGCTGGACGCGGAGCCCGTGGCTGGAGAAAGGGATACAAGGCCCCCACCCTTGACAGCTTATGACTGAGTGCAACATGCAAGCCTCAAGACAGGACAGTGACAACAGCATCTCCAACTGTCTGGCACCTGTCTGCACACACTTCCAGGCCACACCACAGGGAGGCCCTGGCCCTGCTAAGAGTGATGCAGAAAGCTTCCCAGGACAGGCCAGCCTGACTCAGGCTGTCAGACCCGACGGTGAGAGTCATCCAGGTGGCTGAGCATTCCCATGGGAGGGAGCAGCACCACCCAGGGCATAGCCCCAAGGGCATGTGGAGAGACTGACACCCAGGCACCGGGAGTTTGGGAGTTGAGCCTGGAAGCCAAGGGAGCATGAAGCAAGGGGCGGCTCCCACAGAATTGCACCAGCGAGTGTGGTGATGTGTGCGGGACATGGTGGAGGGCAGGGGAGGAGCCAGGAACAGCACCCAGGGAGGGTGAGCCAGCTGCAACCACCGCACTGCAACAGGGAGGCAACGGGCATCCTCTGAAGCTGGCAGCAGAGGGCCGCCAGGCCCCTTGGCCCGTTCTGGAGGGCGGCTTGGCAGCAGTGTGGAAGAGGGATGGAGGAGGATGTGTCCAAGTCAGCGAGCAGCAGGAGGGCTGCAGCATTCGGGTGAGGGCCCTCAGGTGGCAGGGGAGGCCCCAGCTCCCTCCGCCCACTCGCATCCCTGAAGCTCCAACTTTCATTCATTTCATATGCTTGGCTCCTGTGTAAGTCTTTAGAGGAACGAAGGGTGGGGATTCGGGAGCTTCTCAACCGGAATTCTCTGGTCTAGGGGACAAATGCTGCTGAGAGGGGAGGCAGATGGGACCCACATGGGCAGCCGCTTGCATCCAGCCAGACCACAGTATCCTGTGTCCTCACACGCAGCTCTGTCCTTTGGAGAACCTCGTTCACTGAGGTCAGCCTGGGCTCCCTGCCTTAGTTTCCACTGAAGAAATCAAATCACACAAAACAAGGCCTAAAAGAGGAGACCTGCATTGCACGTAGAACAGGAATGTTTGGAAGGATGCCACCCTTCCTTCATCTGCATGAAGACCTCTCAGAGGTCTCATCCCCCACCTCAAGTACCAGAACACCTCAACCAGGGAGGGACGGCAAAGTCCTCCCCCTGCAGGACCCGAAGTCCTGGGACTGATGGCACCTCTCCTCTTGCTGTGTCTTCCTGGAGGCTTAGAGAGGAGTTCAGAGCTCAAACTGCATGCTGGTAGGATCACCTGGCCAACACATCTGGTGACCAGACACATGCAGAAAGTCAAAGACACAAGATCAAAGATGATTCCAAGTGTTTCTGGCTTTGATGATTGGCAAATGTAGTACATGAACACACTACGAATAATATGGAAACCAAAAAGGGAAAGTTTATTTAGAATAAGTTAGGATGTTCAATTAAGAATTTACTGAGTGAGAAGTATTTACTGGATAGCCACACCATGAGATCTAGGAAGATGGTAGAAATTATGTCTGCAGCATAGGTTTAAAAAGGTTTAGGTTGGCTGGGCGTGGTGGCTCACACCTGTAATCCCAGCACTTTGAGAGGCCAAGGCAGGAAGATGCTTGAGCTCAGGAGTTTGAGACCAGCTGGGCAACATGGGAAAACCCTGCCTCTATCAAAAATACAAAAATTAGCTGAGAATGGTGGTGTGTGCCTGTGGTCCCAGCTACTTGGGAGGCTGAGGTAAGAAGATCGCTTGAGTCTGGGAGGAGGAGGTTGCAATGAGCCAAGATTGCACCTCTGTGCTCCAGCCTGGGTGACACAGAGAGACCCTGCCTCAAAAAAAGTTTACGTTAAAAAGCACACATAAACTAAACAAGATGCAAAAATTATAGGAGTTTTATAATAAGCATTGTGAATGGTGCATATACCATCTAAATTTGTCTCTTTTCAGTGGTTTTTGGTTCATTCGACATTGCAAAAGAGAGAAAAAAATTTCAGTAAATATGGTCCACAAATGCTGTTTGAATGTTGGATATTGGAAGAGGTTTCTCCCCGCACGAGCACACCTCACAGAGAGGCCAGAGCCTACTCTTCACAGAAACAGGGTCTTGCTCATCAGTTTTATCATGATAGAGTCGTTCAGAACAATTTCAGAAGAAGAAAGGAGAACCAACTTCATATGGTCCCTTCTTATCTCATGTAAATTCCTTTCCAATGCTTAAACCTTAATTGCTTTCCTCATTTAAATGTCTTTCTCAAAATCTCTAACGTGTAACTTTGCAGCCAAAAAAGAGAGAAAAGAGAAAGGAAAACAGTATTTTAATACTTTCTTTGATAACTCTAATTCATTTTCCCTGCACAGTTCCAAGGACGCTTCTATCTTTAGACTGCTGTATTATGAGAGAGGATGGGAGAAATGAGAGCATCAAGAAACAAAAGGTGAGTGATTGCAAATCACTGGCAAAATTAATTGTTGGTAGGAAATTTTAAAAGACTTTCTTCTGTATTATAAAATCAAATTTTCCTTTTGTGTCACAGACTCATGGAATCATAGGACATTCATCTTGGATGAGACCAGAGAGGCCAACCCATGTGTGTATTTCCCCACCCCATCCAACCCCCAGCAACTCACTCTCCTCTGGACACACCCAGTGACTTGGGAGCAGTCAGCTATGCCCTATGGGAAGCACAGGAGCTGCCTGCCTGCTTGCAACGACCAGCCATTTGATTTGCCTGCTCTGTACCCTGGCTGCATCTCAAGGGCTCTTCAAGGGACAAAGAAGTTACAGTCAGATTGGTTTCTGTGGACGGAAGCCTGGCAGCTCAGCACCTGTCATGGGCCACCCCGAACACAGCAAGTGGAAATGCGTCCTCTGGACCCCCACCTGCCTGGGACACTCACCTCATCCTGACAGGCCCAGCCCTTCTCTGCCATCCCGTGCTGCGAGGCACCACCAACTGCCAAGGTGTGGGCTGAAGGGCAGCGGCCCAGGCCAATGGAGACTTGGGGAAGGTAAGGAAAGGAGAACCAAGAATTAAGTGGGATGGAGGGAGCAGAAAAGAGAAGAAGTGTCCCAGCAAGGAGGAACTTCCTGGGAAGATGAAATAAGAGGCAGATTCTCCTCGGTGAGTGGTTGCATAAGTCTAGGGCAGCTCCATAGTAAGATTCCAGGGGCAATAGGGGTGGATGGAACATCAACGCAACCTCAATGGCGGACCGCGGGGTGACAGCGAGGGGTGCCTCCTGCACACCGACAGGGTCTGGTATTTACTTTAGCACAGGCCTCAGGAATACAGTTCTGCCTCATAAAAGACTAGGGAATGCTGACAAAAGAAAGTTCTGTGCTTTCCTGACAACTGCATGCACTGTCAGGAAACAGTGGGTCCTACTTAGAGTTGAGTTGGAAAATGGATTTGGGGGCTGAAGAATCAAATGATGCTGTGAAGCACTCTCTTTGTGGCGTCTTCATAACACTTCATGCTTGTGGAGCTGGCAGTCACTGGATTCAGCTTCCTCCCAATGCAGGGATTCCTTACACACAACTGCTGAGCAGCATGCAGGGACCTAAGGCCACTCCGTGGTGCAGCCGGCTAAGAAATGACAGGGCCACCAGGCCGGCTGCACTCCTGTACCTTCCTCTCTTATTCAGTGCAGGAAGCCCAGTGTTCCTGTAGCAGGCAGCCCCATGGTCTAGCTCAGTCTAGCTCCACATCCTGTCCTCAATGTGACAAAGATCCTGTGCTTGGCCAGTCTTTAGTCAGGCCCTGATCCTTCTCCTAGGCCCATTAGCAAGAACCCCAGCTAAGTCAGTCTGGCAAGAATTCCCCACAGAAACATGCTGACATGCTGACCTGCCTTCAGCAGGAAACCCTTTAGGCTGGTTTGGCCAGAACTGCCCGCAGACTTGGCGTCTCCTCTGAGTAACTTTACACCCACTGACCCTCTGCTCCTTGGCCATCAGTGCCCACTCGTCCCCGTTGTACTTGTAACGGAGCCCAACCCAGCTCTTCACTGGAGTCTTTTTTGCAATAGTCCTGAATAAAATGTGCCATCACTGATTTGATTTCTGCTGGCTCTGCTTTTCTTTGATAAGGCGCCACCTTGCTCATGGCACACATCTCCTCAGGCTCCACCCGGGAGGGGAGAGTGGCACACCTTTCCCTCTCTCAGGAGATCAGTTTCTTCCTGACAGTTCTTTGCTGACATTCCCATGGCTGAGCTCCAGCTCTTCTGCTGTCACTCTGACATCCCCAACTCCCCAACACACTTGCCCCCTACCCTCTGCCTTTCTGGGGCGGGGCTCCCTGCACCCCTGAGAGGCCACACTGCATGGTTCCCATGTGCCCCAGGCCCCAAGAGCTTGGTTGGTCCTGGAGAATATGAGGAGGTCATTCACAAAGTGGGAAAGATATCGACACAGTCTGTGCCACTTTCCCAGCTTTTCAGGCTCTGCCAACCCTAACACAGGGAAGGGAAGCCGGTGGTGTCCAGGAGAAGAGCGTGGTGCCAGGGAAGAGTGTGGTGAGCAGCACCAGTGTCCACAGGTGGTGGGCACACCTACCACGGGACAGGAGAGGCAAGAAACTCATCAAACTCCCAGCCTCAGAATTTGATGCCTCAAAAGAATGCCTGGGTTTGGGGAGTAATAAGACCTTGGTACAGAATGACATGACTGAGAGACCATGCAGACATGAAGGAAGGTCGTCCTTCACATTTATGTCCCCTGCACCATGTGACGACACACAGAAAGTACCACAGAAGCAGAGAGCAGCCCTCACCATACGCTGCACCTGCCAGCACCTTGATCTTGGACTTCCCAGTCTTAGACTTGGACTTCCCAGTCTTAGACTTGTGTGCAATAAATGTCTGCAGTATGTAAACTACCCAGTCTAAGGTATTTGTTACAGTGGCCAACCGGACTGAGATGGGGCTGTTCTGGGACTAGTTACGGAGCATGGACCAGGACCCGATCGGGACAGCTCTCGACCTTGCTAAGCAGCTGCACACAGAGGGATGCTGCAGGCTCTTCCCTGCATCTGCTGGCCAGAGCCTGGCTGGGACCCTGCATGCTGGGGACGGGGTGAGGGCAAGGGTGAAATGCAGCCTCCCAGGCAAGCAGCAAGTTGGTGGCATGTGGAAAGTAGGAATCTGACAGAGCAGGAGCACCATGATCTTGGACAAACACTGTCACTTTAAACTCCAGCTCCCTTTCTAGACTCCTTCATTTCAAGGAAATCACTTCTCTTCTAACTACCAGCAGCCAGAAAGAGCAGACAGTAAAACACAGATAAGACAGCTCGGGCACAGAAGGAGGTGGGAGGAAAGTCTCTTGCGTAACTGCCAAACTTTGCCCTCATCCAATGGGCCCCAGTAAAACAGTGGCCCTTAATAAGCACCTTCCTTTTCCTTCAGGTGTACTAAGATAGGGAAGCTAAAAGCAGACTCAGGGGATATGCCTGCAGCTGCAGAAAGATGTATGGGAAGAGACACACAACTCTCCCTCCCAGATAAGCACAACAAAGAGGCACAGAAGCAGTCCAAGACTCTGATAAACTCTCCCACCCTGAATCCTTACAAACTCTTAGTCTATAAGACAGAGTGCCTCTGACCTAACTTAGCCAGTCGACCCTCTCAGGTTTATTGAAAATAAACCTGTCCCTGTTGACTGTCGAGCCACCCTTTGTGTTTCTCTCCTGTTTCTTCAATTCTTACAGAATCTCTTATATATGGACAGGACCTGCGAAATGTAGGCTAGGCCTGTGTTAGTGCTAGTGCTGGGCTGCTACGGTAATGCAGCACCACTGCCCGGGGCTCACACAACAAATGTGTTTTCTCTCCGGGTTCTGGAAGGTGGAAGGCCGAGATCAAGGTGTCAGCAGGGCTGGTGCTCTCTGGGGGCTGTGAGGGAGAAGCTGCTCCAGGGCTCTGCCCTGGCTTCTGGTATTTGCTGGTATCTTTGGTGTTCCTTGGCTTATAGAGGATCACCCTGATCTCTGTCTCCTTCTTCACCTGGTGTTCTCCCTGTGAGTGTGTGAGTCGTTTCCAAATCTCCCTTCTTCATAAGGACATCAGTCATACTGCAGTAGGGGCCACCCTTCTCCAGAATGATCTTAATAAATTACATCTGCAATGACTCTATTTCCAAATAAAGTCACATTCTAAGGAACTGGAGGATGAGACTCAACGTATACCTTTTGTGGGGGACATAATTCAACATATGAAAGGCTCCATCAACAAGATTCATAGCTGTATTCTACTGTCTCCAAGGAACTGAGGTCAAGGAAGGCTGGCCTTTCAACCCCTCACATAGTCAGTGTACAGCATTATTAGTATTATTATTATTTTTGAGATGGAGTCTTGTTCTGTCGCCCAGCCTGCAGCGTAATGGTGCAATCTCAGCTCACTGCAACCTCTGCCTCCCAGGTTCAAGCGATTCTCCTGCCTCAGCCTCCTGAGTAGCTGGGATTACAGGTGCATGCCACAAAGCCCAGCTAATTTTTGTATTTCTAGTAGAGACGGTATTTCACCATGTTGGTCAGGCTGGTCTCCAACTCCTGACCTCATGATCCGCCCGCCTCAGCTTCCCAAGTCCTGGGATTATAGGCATGAGCCACCGCGCCCGGCCGGCATCTGAAAGTGAAACACGTTACACAATTTCCCTGCTTACTACCTTGCATAGGCTTCTTCCAGAGCCCAGAACAAAACGCAGGCCCCTCACACTGGTCTGCAGGGCTCCCCTGTGATCTGGCGCCTAGGAGCTCTCATGTCGAAGCTTCCTCCCCTCTCCTGCCCGGCCCAAATTCTATAAAGGAAACCTTCACGGGGTGGCCACACCCAGGAGTTTAATTTCTTTATAAAACTGTCCACAATTTGAAATAACAGTGTGCATATTTGTTTATTCGATGTCTTACCTCAAATAAACTGAAGCCTCATGAACACCACAGCTTTATTAATTCCGTTCACTGCTGTGTTCCCATTACCTGCTTCAGCATCTTGCACATAGCAGGTGCTCAGCCATATTTATTGGATTAGCAAATGCTGTTAGGATGTGAGTCACCCTTGACTTCTCCCACTGTCTTGGAGGTTATATTTCTCAAATCCACAGCCTCTTCTGCAGCCCACTGCAAATCTTCAGACTCAGAACTCACCATTTCTCACCCTGGAATTTCACATTTCCCCTCACATCTGTGTAACTCAGCCTTTCCAGCCCCCACCGCCATTCTCCACAGTGCTGCCCAAGGGGCTTCTGTGAAAGATGCACATCAGCACCCACCATAGGGCCCATAACAGTGCCTCGTCCTGTCCTTCCCCAATCCTGCTGTCCACGCACACTCAGCTGTGGCAAGCTCCACGTGGCTCCCTGTCTCTAGGCAAGTGGGGCCTGTGCGGGGGCTTGCAGCAAACCTGTCAAGGTAAAGCGGGAGAGTTTCTTCAAATGTGCTAATAGGGGGCCCAACCCAACAGCCCCACCTTTTCACAAAAGGAGTTTTGTGGAACATAAAGACGGTGCTCTTGTCAGAGGGACATTATGTAGCTCACATTGTGAAGAATGAGGAAAATCAATTGTGAAATATCCAATCGAAGTGCAAAAGTTCAAGATGAAAGGAAAATAAGAAGCTATTCACACATTTGAAGGAGTCAGTGCATGAGATCGCTGCTAACAAAGATCCGGTGTCTTATCATGATTACCGACATCTCAGTGTCCCTAAATCACTGAAAAGTTACCATTCATTCCTACAATAGACAACACCCCATCCTACCAGGTGGCATCTCTAATGACATTTTGTATAAAATGGTGACAAGTTCTAAGACACCAGAGGACAGAGAAAAGAGGACACAGAGTGTGAGTTTAAAATTAAGCAGTTTTACATGTCAGACATGCCTTTTAGCCAAGCCCACCTGGGTTCTCTTCTTCTTCCAGGGATGGAGACATGTGCGTGGTGGTCCTTTCATCTTCCAGATGGACGGCCTATGAACTCTCAGAGGCGTCTCCTAAGCTGCGTTGCTCCATTACCTGTGAGTTCAGGTGCTGACAGCCATGGCCTCATAGGTTTAATGTCAGGATTACATCCTCAAAACAACAGAAGCCCTGGACACAGTGTTAGCTAAGACTACTGGAGCAAAAGAAGCCTATTAACTAAGGAAATTGTGAACTGAAGACAGTAGTGTACAGGCATGTAGAGCAGGATGTGTTCACACACAAAAACAGACTAGCAGGCATGCACGTGAGAGGCAGAGGGAGATAAGGACTGTTATCCATTCACTCACTTGACACATATTTACAAGGGCCTCTGGACTGGATGATTGGGGTAAGTAAGTGACCAAAAAGACATGTGGGCCTTGGTCCAGGGCTCATGGGCATCTGCCACACAAGACTCGATGGATCTCAGGCTCGAAAGCCTTTAAGTGTCATCTTCTTTTTTGTTCTTGGAGATTTTTTTTTTAATTTGCAGAGATCATTCCCACAAAGCTTGTGTGGCTCCTCCAGGCTATTCTCTATTGTTTTACTTACTAACATGTATACCTTAAATATTATTGTTCCTATTGTTATTAGTGTGGAAAGAGTTATTCTTCCAGTGATGAAACAAATCTTGAACACACACACTTAATGTGCAAAGGTATTATTTTTCACTTCTTTTTTTAAATAAAACAAAACAAATAAATAACACACTGACCACGTGGCCATGGGCAGACTTCTTAATTTGCCCCAACATAAAATGAGAGCATTAAGAGAACTGGCCCTGAGTTACATGCGTGGCCTGAATCTTCAGTGATGGACTATTCTCTAACTCTGCAGAAAGAGGACAACAGGAGATCCACAAAGCCAGAGCAGTTGTATGCTTTTCGAGAATAGAAAACATCAAATTAAGGCATCAATACAGGCATATACGTTTTCATACAGGGTAAGTTGTGTATGCTTTTCATATGGAGAAGTCATGGTGAGTTAGATGGTATCCCTCACATTTTAAGGTGGATGACAATGATCTGGAGATCCTGTTAAAATGCAGATTCTGATTCAAGGAGATCTGGGGTTTGGCATGATTCTCTGCATTTCTAAGAAGCTTGCCAGTAATGCCAATTCCTCAGGTCCAAAGGCCATGAACACTGAGGGGAGAATTCACGGATGACATAAAACTGAAAGTGTCACAAAATTTACAGGTTGTAATACAATAGCAAGAATAGCAACAAACAATCCTTTTGAACATTTACTATATACTATATTAATGCATAAAACCACAAAAAAATCTACGACAGCAATAAAATTTTTTCATTTTTCAAGTGGAAAATGAAATATTGTTCATTTTATAAAATAATATTAAAACCACATATAAGACCATCATCCTCTTAAACAACTGAAAAGGGCCACATGCTTTTTTTCATCTAAAGCTAATATTGCTAAAAGAAATACATAATTCGTATCCTTTAGTGTCGTTCAAAGCATCATTATTTTATAGAAAAAACCTGAAAACAATGGACCCTAGAAAATCCTCTTATTCGCTAACCTGAAGGCAGTTCAGGAGGTTACCAAAGCAACAACAAAAATCTCCCAGTCAGATTGTATCTGCTTTGACTCTGCTCCAACTTACTTCCTTGCTAGCTATCCAGAATCAATCCTTATTACACCTAAACTTAAATTTCCAAATCAAGGATGCATGGCTAGGATGGGATACCTTGCAGTAGACTGGCACCCTCACTAAGAGCAAGCGAGAAAGCTAAGCAAAAATCCATCTGAAGAAGCCAAAACAGAGGCAGCAGGCTCACCATGGTAAACATTTCCTGCACGCCACTTCCCCCGAGAACTTGTCTTCTGCTGACAGGGCACGTAATGTGAAAACCTGGACAGAGAGAATAAAGAACCCGGGAGAGCTTGAGGGAAAAACTGGCCAAGAAGTCAAAAAAGGAGGGGCCACAATTTCAGGGAATATGAATGTCAGAGAAGAAAGCCAACCAATACTGGTTATCTCCTCGACACATTTACTGACTAAGTTGTACAACATAAGAGGTTAAAAAACAATTGTAAAAATGGCTTAAAAAGAAGGGCTGTATTTTCAGCCATTTTTTGGTGTTGACACATTCCAGGCCCTCAGTTGGGACCTCTGGGGAACGATGCAGAAAGGCAGGGGAACCAGAGTCCAGTGGAGCCTCTGCAAGACTGCAGGTCAGCCCCATGCCAGCTCAGACCTACAGAGAGGCAAGGGAAAAACCACTCAATGCCTCTACAAATCTTTGTACACAATGAAAATTGCCAGGTGATATGGTTTAGATGTTTCATCCCCTCCAAATCTCATGTTAAAATGTGATTCCCTTGTTGGATGTGGGGTTTGGTGGGAGGTGTTTGCATCATAGACATGGATCCCTCATGAATGGCTTAGTGCTGTGCTCATGGTAATGAGTGAGTTCTCACTGTTAGTTCACAAGAGATCTGGTTGTTTAAAAGAGGCTGGCACCTCCTCCCTCTCTCTCTTGCTCCCTCTCACCATTGACAAGCTGGCTCCCCCTTCACCTCTGCCATGATTGGAAGCTTCCTGAGGCTCTCATCAGAAGCAGATGCTGGTGCCACGCTTGTACAGCCAGCAGAACTGTGAACCAAATAAACCTCTTTTCTTTATAAATTACCCAGTCTCAGATATTCCTTTACAGCAATACAAACAGACTAATACATCAGGCATACCAAGTAATAGAAAGAAGCAAGAAAACAGACATTAGAAATGGAACCAGAGATGGCAGAAGGGACTTCATGGTTAATGTGTTCCAGAAAACAGATTGCAAGATGGAGAATCGCACCAGAGAACTAACATACGTTAGAAAGAATCAAATTAAAATTTTCGAACTGAAAACATAATAACTGAAATCAAGAACTCAATAGACAGCTTTAAAACATCACAGAACAGAGATGAAGAGTGACTTCATATGCCAAAAGATGGAGTGCAAAGGAAGAAATAAAAAACAGCACAAGCATAAAAGCAAGTGGGACCTGGGAGAAGCATGTAACCTTCACATGAGCAGAGTCCTAGAACGGTGCCAAAACAATATTTAAGAAATAATGGCCACTCTTTTTCAAACACTGCTGAAAGTTATCGAACTACAGATGCAAAAACTGCTATGAACTTTACGCAGGAGAAATGCAAAGAAAAACCAAACAAGGTCAGGAGCACCACGGTGCTTCAGCTGTCACTTATTTTAAACTTTCCTGAGCTTAGATGACTCCAAAAGAGTTCCACAAAGCAATAGATCATCCTCCAGTAATGACCAAATGGAATTTACCTTCCACAGGCCCTAATCAGGACTTGGTATCCTGACTTCACTTCTTAAAGCTTCAGCCACAAGTGGAATGGAGCAGAGATAGGGTTGAGAGGCCTCATGTGTTCTTTATGATTTCTCTGGCTGCATGTCATCTTTTCAGTTTTAAATGTGTAGGTGATCTATCATATAGTATAATTTGGTGATGTTGGACCTGTCCCACAATCCACAGAGCCATCCCATCAATTTCTGGTAACACATGGTCACGCTATAGTCACATTACAGTGGCTCGCTACAAGTCTTAGATTTCCTCAGATGAATTGGTATCAGTACTTTTTAAAACGAAGGAAAAAAAGCCATCCTACAAGGTTGACTATTGTATAATTTGAAGTATGTGACACTTAGGAAAAAGCAAAACTATGGAAACAGTAAAAATATCAGTGGTTGCCAGCGTCTGGGGATAGGAAGGGATAAACAGGTGGAGCACAGAGGATTTAAGGGCAGTGCCACTGTTCTTAAGATACTATAGTGGCAGATACATGGCATTAGACATTTGTCGAAATCCATAAAATAAACAACACCAAGAGTGAATCCTAATGTAAGCCATAGGCTTTGCATGATAAAGATGGATTAAGGTGCATTCATTCATTGTAACAAATACAATACACTAATGCAAGATGTTAATAATAATGTGTTATGTGTTGTATGTGTGTGTGTGTGTGTGTGTGTGTCTGTGTGTGTGTAGAGGAAAATATATAGGGGAACTCTACTTTCTGCTCAATTTTTATGTAAACCTAAAAATGCTCAAAAAATTTATTAATTTAATTCTTTTAAAAAACACAGAAAAGTAATCCTAACACTGAGCCTTTTGTGTCTATGTTAAGGCTGTGGCCCTACAGGTATGTACAGCTGCTGTGTGTCCATATTGACTAGGAAACAAAGCCAGGGCTTTGTTGCCAAGCAGGTCACACTCAGAACCTTGCTCTAAGATGTCTTCCACAAGCTTCCACTTACTGGACTCAAACAAGCAGGAAGGTCAATATCTTCTCCACTATGGTCTTGTGAAGATTAAAGGATTTGGGGTCAATAGCACAGAGTGTCAGAACATTGGTTTTCTTCTTTGCTTTCCTAAAAGGCTGCTTGAAGTGGATATTCTCAAAAATAAACTCACAAGCCCCCTTGCATGCAGCTTTCCTGGTGTGGAAACAAACCACACACACTTTCTTTGATGAATGCTACACATTTAGGTATGTTGCAGCGACAAAGGCAGAGGATGCTGTGAAAGCTTCATGTAGAGGAACATTCCCCTGGTCCCGTTTCTAATCTCGATAACTAGAAAAAGCATAAACAGCTCCAGGATAAACAAGACAAAGATAATCTATTAAACAATAGATTGAGACACAACTTCATTTCCACTCCACAGAAGGAATGGCTGAGGCAGAATCTTCAGTGTTAATAATATCAATAAAAGGCAGAAAGTGTGAAAGAAGGAGGAGGAAGAAGAGGAAGGAGAAAGTGAAATAGTCATTGTTCCCTGTTTCATTGATTGTTAAATGACTATTTGGACAAGAAGCCATAATTTTACCAGGCTTTACCTTTACGGTCAAACCCCCAATACAAATTTACATCCTTAAACCCTGTCTGCATCTCTAAATTGTGCTTCTTCTCATCTTGTATTCTTTGATTGTTTTAGTCTTTCTTATATCCTTTTTTATTGCTAACTCAATCCCCAATACCCACCTACACCGTCAGTTCTCTACTTTAAAATTTCTATTATTTTTCCTAAGATCTGTGTTTCATTTTTAAGCCCTTTACTTCTTTTAAAATTGCGTCGTTTGGTTGCACAGATATAGCGGGTCTATGTGATGCACTCGGCAATGTGAGATGCCCTTATCATTCTGGCGTCCCAGCAAAGCATTCCCAGCACAAAGGTAAGAAACACTCATTCTTCCAGAAGTGGTCCCCGAGGCCCCTGCCTCCTGAGGGCTTTGAAACTTCCCTCAGGCCAGCCAGAGCCTGCCAGCTCGGGGCTGCTTAGAAGGGAACCTACCTCCACTGTGGCACTCAGCTCATCCACAGACTTGCCCCACCAAAGCAGGCCTTGGTTCCTCGTGTCTCACCTTCACCCAGGACAATGCCTCACACTAGTCGGATGGCAAATGTGCGTGAAGGAACAGAGAGAGACACACAGCAACTCACCCAAGGAGAACATGGGAATTAAACATATAAATGTGCGTGTGTGTGCGTGTGTGTGCGCCTGTATGTGTGCGTGTGATGCATGTGTGCACACGTACGTGTGTGCCTGTGTGTGTGCACGAGTGTGTGCATGTGTGCATGCGTGTGTGTGTGTGTGTGTGCATTTTAAACAAATCCTTGCCTGCCCTCTATGCTTTGCTGAGCCGAGGTAGGCTAGTAGTACGTTGTGTCTTCCTCAGGAAATCAGACTCCAGAATGGCCTAGACAGTGCCATCCCTGCTGAGCGCTGACTGCGGCCTCGGCGCTGTTTGCAGAGGAAAGCACTTGCTAGCATTCGGCTTCCCCAGGGCTGCGTGCCAGCTGCTTCCAACTCACACAGCAGCAGGCAGCCACACAGGCTCCCCACCCCTTCAGTAGGGTAGAGAGCCATGCTAGAAAGAAAACCAACTGGACTAAGTGAAGTTTCAAAATATTCAGGGCAAGTTTTACAAATGAGAGAGTTAATAGAAAATAGCTTTCTACTCCACATCCTGCCACAGCTCAGCCTTGGAAACCTGCTGTGTCAGCCTCCAGATGAGCAGGATGCTGGTGCACACGTGTTCTTCTCCAGGGCCCAGGGCTTACAATGCCCCCGGCCATTCTAAGGTCGTTTCTCACCCCACAGGGAAGGATCAGAGTTCATGATTTCAAGTCCCTAATGTGAGCTCTGCATCATCATGTAGTTTTTGTTTTTTTTCAGGGAGAGAGGGGTCTGACTAGCGATCTTACTGGATTTTTTTTTTTTTTTTTTTTTGAGATGAAGTCTAGCTCTGTCACCCAGGCTGGAGTGCAGTGGCTCAATCTTGGCTCACTGCAACCTCCGCCTCCTGGATTCAAGCGATTCTTCTGCCTCAGCCTCTCGAGTAGCTGAGACTACAGGCGCCTGCCACCATGCCCAGCTGATTTTTTATATTTTTAGTAGAGTCAGGGTTTCATCACGTTGACCAGGCTGGTCTCGAACTCCTGACCTTGTGATCTGCCTGCCTCAGCCTCCCAAAGTGCTGGGATTACAGGCGTGAGCCACTGTGCCCGGCCTGGATTTGAACAAATCTCATGAAATATGACCTGCTCAGATCTCTGATGGGAAAAGGTTTTCACAGTTTCCAAACGCAGGGATCTGTTTTGGATGAAGAGAAGGCTGAGGTCCGACCCTTAACTGCAGCTTCAGGGCCTTGGTCACAGCTGCCCCCATGTGCCCCTCCAGGCATCTCTCCACACATCACTCCCTCGTCCCCAGCTGTGTGACGCACTCTGTCCTCCTGTGTTACTAAGGACCTTCAAACTTTATCCCACCTAGCACACTCTTGCCTATCCGTCAAGTTTCAGATGAAGAGGACCTCACTGGAGAAGTCCCTTCCACTCCTGCAGCAGGGCCGTATCACCGTGAAGGAGCCTGTCACTCACTCGGCCTCCTTCTCTGCAGCCCGTGATTTCCACATGAAAATTCCCGTCTATTCCAATAACAAAGCCTAACACGAGGCACAAAGTAAATTCTAAAGTTAAAGGCCTGCAGGAAAATCCCTCTATATGCAAATGCAATTGACTTCCTGAAATAATTCTGTAACCATATATCCAGGAAGGCACTTCTTCTTTGAGTGTTAGACATAAACACATGTTAGACGTAAAGGTGTTGAATAAACGGTTGTGGAACAAATGCAAGAAAATAAAACTCCAGAACAAGAAACATACATAAGAAAGGGTTACTCTGAGCAGTCAACTGAATAATGATGTATCAGGAAAAGGGAATATTACACTCACAACTTGATTTTAATATACAGCCATCTGCAGCACATAGGTTGTGTGAAATAATTCTCCTTTATTCATTCCACTTCTTTGCTCCAGTTTAGGGATGATATGGAGATTTTTTAAGTGAATCACCCACAAATATAACTTTACCCCTGCATGGAACCCTTATATCACCAGAGAAAAGAACACTTTTAAAATCTGGCAATGAAAAGAAACGATTTTGCTACTAATTTTGGAGGGGTTATTTCCATCCACAGAACACTGCAATGAAAAGAAGAAATTTAAGTCAGCATTTTGGCAATTCCCCTCCCTCGGCCTCACGTCTCCCCAAATCAGGAGCAAATGTGCAGCAGGGAGCACAGGCAGGACCTCCGCAGGCGGGGGGAGCTCCTGACAATGCTTGAGGCTGCAATAGACAGGCCTGCTTGGGGATCCTAGGTAGTCCTGTTAACCCCTTGCTGGCAGGTGGACTGTGGCCTTCAGCCCACCACAGAAGGCTCTCACCCTAACGTATTTCAATACCCCCACACTCACTTCATAGCCAGGCACTTTTGCACAGGGAAGGGCTTCTTTCACATCCAATAGTTCTTGAGCTGAATTTGCTTATAAGCCTGTGGGAATACCCTACTCGGGGAAAGCACATATTTGATCCCATACTAAAAAGCAGAGGCAGTTTATTTACTCTCAAAGTCCAAACTGAAGACAAAAGTATAATCTGAGTGATCTCGAATCCTTTCCTAAGAAACACTATAAAAGACAGGTCTCTTGGATGTTGAAAGAAGAAACTAAAAGTGGAAATGCTACTACCATCACAAGCTATCTTTCTTCATTTTTTTTTTTACCATTTTCAATATTCCAATAAGTGTTACAGATTTAAGAAGTCAGTGTGAGTTTTAAACCGGCATGATAAATCTCAAACAGAAATCCACAATGAGAATGTAACAAGAAGAGGTGCAACAGCCGTTAGATCAGAAAATAAAGGAGCTTCTTACCATGTTTATTGATGACACAGGACCAATGCTGTTAACATAAATGTCAACGTCAATTACGGTCGGTTTTACTGTGGAGAAAAATACATGTATGTTAATACTTCGTGCCGGAGAAAGACAGAGGAGAGCACATTCAAGTCCTAAAGTCTCATACATAGCATCACAAGGACATGGTGGAAACACACATGAGCAGGGCTTTCTTTGGGACTTCTCTTGTAATTATAATTCAAGCCCTGCCTGCCTTTCTTTTCAAAATTCTCGAAGGATGAGAGATTCTTACTTGTATCTTTTCAGTTCTATCTAGGAAAATAGAATATTTATACACTGCAATTTGCCAGTCATAGAAGACTATAAAGATATACCGTAACGTTACTTAAGCTGATTTTTATGGCAAAGATAGGAGATACAAGGTGAGCTACTGCATGAGTAATTTAATGTCAAAGTTTTGCTATAAAACTCAACACAAGAGAGGAGCAATGTCAGTGACGTTGTTGGGTTATGTGTCCACCACATAGCTGTCAAGCTATCCTTCCAAAGCAAAGCAACTCAAGGCAAAGTTCTAGTGAGTCTATACACCAATAAAAAATGAGAAATATTATTTATTGTTATCAATATAACTTAAAGATACATATATGCACATACATCACAGAGTTTAAATCCAACTCAAAACACAATGGAATGTTAATAAGTCAAAGAATTACTGTTTCAACTATGAAGGCATAACATTTATATAATCACAGGTTGATCTCTCTAACGCCGTATGTCAGAGGCTACCCTGGCTCACTTGGCTTTAAGGGAAACCAGTTTCTCTTTTGATGGCAGCAAAAGAACTGAGCAAGCCTGATAATGAGACAGCTGAGCCCACGGACCTCTGAGTCGGGGGCTGATGTCCTCTGAAAGGAGGACATTCCCTTCACCCTGCACTCAGTGGCTGACAAAGGATGACGCAGAGCCAATTCCAGAAAATTTCTGCCCAGGAGGAATATGAACAAGACTCCTGAACCTTTCCCCATGAAACAGACTGTTTCTATAGAAACAAGAGTGTAGTCTATGCAATTATGTGAATGTGCTTCCTTCAATTGTGCTGAAGAACTGAACATTCACAAATGGAATTCCACACTCTACTTTTGAAACAATGAATGGCAGCTCTGAGCTCTCGGTCTCGTAAAATTGCACATAAACTGGTCTGTGCCCTGGGCAACGATCCCCAGACCTTCACGTAATGAAAACAATGATAATGACTTTGAACCAACTCCTACAACGTCTGTCAGTACAGCCAAGTCACGTGAGCTGCAAGAGCAGCTGGCATTTTGGAAAATGCCCCAACACAATTCCATGCACTATGTATATGGTGCTTAAGTTTCATAAAAGGAGTACTCTTCATTTTAGACTAAGCTTTGCTAACTACTATGGAAATTAGGTAGCATCTTTCTTCAAATTATTGGATTCAACAAGTGTTCCATCTCCAAATACTGCAGAACCTTTGATTATGCTATACCAAAGGGTGTTAAGTCAGTTGGTTAAGGACCTACATTTAGTGAGAGAGATTTCTGGTTGTTTCATACAACTTATTAGACTTTGGGCTTCCAGAGATTTGTATATCATTAAATAAAAAGAACCAACAAACATAAAGCCTTAACAGCTTGCAGTGAGCAGCGGCAAATGTAATAAGTGCAACAGTGCCATGAAGGGTGTAAGAGATAAGAGTTTGCAATAAGTGTGCGCACACACACACACACTCACAAAATGCCAAGGAAAATGAAGCGCTTTTAGTAGATGCTTTTTTTTTTTTTTTTTTTTGAGACAGGGTCTTGCTTTGTCTCCCATGGTGGAGTGCAATGGCGCAATCTCAGCTCACGGCAACCTCTGCCTCCCGGTTCAAGCGATTCTCCTGACTCAGCCTCCCAAATAGCTGGGATTACAGGCGCCTGCCACCACGCCCAGCTAATTTTGTATTTTTAGTAGAGACGGGGTTTCACCATGTTAGCCAGGTTGGTCTTGAACTCCTGACCTCAGGTGATCTGCCCACCCCAGCCTCCCAAAGTGCTGGGAATACAGGCATGAGCCACTGTGCCCGGCCAGTAGATGCTCTTTTAAGCAGTCATGCTAACGTAATTGAAGCATTAGAATAGTGGCTCTGACAGTAGAATCCAAGAAGGAGATTGGCCACAGGCAGCTGAAGGTTTATAATTCAAAGACTCAAGACTAAACCCTGACAAATGATCTTTCACAAAGTTGCCAAGACCATTCAATGAGGGAACGGACAGTCTTTTCAACCAACAGTGCTAGGAAAACTGGATATCCACAGGCAAAAGAATGAAGTTGGACCCTTACCTTATGCCATAAACAAACATTAACTCAAAATGGACTTGAGACCTAACTGTAAGGCCTAAAACTACAAAACTATCAGAAGAAAACACGGCGGAAAGCTTCCTGACATTGGATTTAACAACAATCTCTTGGATATAACACCAGAACATCAGGCAACAAAAGAAAAATAAATGAATTTGACTATAACAAAATTTAAAACTTCTGTGCATATAGGGCACAACAGAGTGAAAAGACAACCCATTGAGTGGGAGAAAATATTTGTAAATTGTATCTCTGATAAGTGGTTAATATCCAGAATACATAAAGAACTCCCAGAACTCAACAACAAAAACAAACTAACCTGATTTAAATGGCAAAAAAACGTAAATAGACATTTCCCCCAAGAAGATATACAAGCAGACAATAAGCACATGAAAACATCATTAGTTATTAGGGAAATGCAAATCAAAACCACAAAATAACACTCACACCCATTCGGATGGCTACTATTAAAAACAAACAAACACAACAATAACAGCAACAGAAAATAACAAGTGCCAGCCTGGATATGAAGAAATTGTAATCCTTGTGCACTGTTTGTGGGAAGAAAAATGATATACCCACTGTGGAAAATAGTAGGATGATTCCTCAAAAAACTAAAAATACAATTACCATATGATCCAGTAGTTCCACTTCTGGGTATACACCCAAAGGAATTAAAAGGAGGGGCTCAAACAGATTGAATAGCTATGCTAATATTATTCACAGTAGCCAAAAGGTAGAAACAGTTCAAGTGCTCATCGACAAATGAATGGATTTAAAAAATGTAGTATACATAGACAATGGAATATTATTTTGCCTTAAAGAGGAAGGATATCGTGATACGTGCCACAACATGGATAAACCTTGAGGACATTATGCTAAGTGAAATAAGATAGTCACAAAAGAGCAAATACTATGATTCCACTTATATAAGCCTTCTACGGCACTCAAACTCATAGAGACAGAAAGTACAATGTTGGTTTCCAGGGACTGGGGAAGGGGAAATGGGAGTTGTTTAATGGGTACAGAGTTTTAGGTCTGCAAGATGAAAAGAGTTCTGGAGATGGATGGTGGTGGTGGCTACAAAGCAATATGAACAGACCTACTGCCACTCAACTGTACATTTAACAATGGTTAAGATGGCAAATTTCATGTTATGTGTATTTTACTACAATATAATAAGCCCTATGTAGCCAAGAGAAAGATGGGGATATGAAGGTAGGAAAGCCAGAAATGGGGTGGTGGGGAGCAATTTTCTGAGTGAAAGAAAGCAGATTCTATTTTTTAAAAGAAATAGGAATATTTTAAAATAGGGATGATGGAACTGAGTCCCATACATTCGGTTTAAAATGGATTCTTCCTTTGAATTCTACCTTACTTATCTGGTTGCTATTATTTCCTAAGAATTGAGAATTAGTATGTCTGAGAAGAATCATAAACTCATAAGTTGTGCAGCATATGTGAACCTTGCAAAGATCCGCCAGCTAAGCCTCAACAAGCATCAGCCACATTTGCTCCGTTGATGGATTGAGGTGGTCCTAAGGGGAGTACATGGGCTGCCTTTTCTCTTTGCCTCTGTCACAACACTAAAGCAGACCTTTGCTTGGTTGTTTTTCTCCACTCTCCATGGCCGTCTTCATCCTGGAAGAAGCCAGTGAGGAGAGCTTGGTGGAGGGCTATTTGAACTATCATGATGAGCTGAGGAGACAGCCCCAGTGGGAAGGGGGACCTGACAGCAGCCTTGCTGGGGAAGGAATGCAGGGCCGGGCGGGTCTGTCTGTGGATGCACCTAGAGCCACGTACCAAAAACTAGGGGTGAGCAGATGCTTTGCCTTGCTTATTGTGGACGTTAAAGGAATCCTGTCATGGTCAAAAGGAAATAAATTGTATTTTATTTGAAGAAAGTTCCCGACATCAATTCCTTTGGGACTTGACAGGTAAAATCACATTTAATATAGTACAAGATTCCTGCTAAACTCGCCTCAGCCCCTCTCCTGATGATCTTCATATGGTAATAAGTGTCTCATTTTGCTAACTTTGATAGTTCCTTATTTGGCCCTGGGCCCCCTGAGGTGGGCACAGATGTTATTTAATAAGTCAGGTGGGTTAATAAGCAAGTTGTGTCCTTCTAAAATGGGGTTAATTCCTGGCATGATTCATAAGAAGAAGAGAAGAAGCCTGGCTGATCTGATTCTAGATGTTCTCCTAACTTTTCCAGCGTGAAGTGGCAAGTTGTATTGAGCTGGCTTCTCAAAACCCCAAGAAGTTTCTCTCTAAAACCAGACTTATGACAGCATGATTTACTTTAGAAAAATTGAGGAGAGGGGGAAGAAAAGGGTAGAAAAAAAGACAGAGAAATTGTGCTTGGCTCAGCATGCGTTCATAGGGCATGGGTTCTGCAGTCATCTACCAGGGGAAGGTGGCAGGGCAGGAAGGCATCCCAGAGGAATGAGCCTATGGATTTACACAGAGCCCCAGAGCATGGAGGTGGCAGGCATCCAGGGCCACAAGGACCAGTATTCATAGTCACTTAGTTCTTTCTGAGTTGAGTCTTTTGATTAATATCTCTTACAAAAGATAGTTCTCATGCAAATTTTTAAACTTATTGTATTTTATTACTTATTTATTTTGAGGCAGGGTCTTGCTCTGTTGCCCACGCTGGAGTGCAGTGGTGCAATCATGGCTCGCTGCAGCCTGGACCTCCTGGGCTTAGGCAATCCTCTCATCTCAGCCTCCTAAGTAACTAGGACTACAGGCACACACCAACATATCAGGCTAATTTTTTAATTTTTTTTGTAGAAATAGAGTCTCGCTATGTTGCCCAGGCTGGTCTTGAACTTCCAGATTCAAACAGCCTTCCCGCTTGGGCCTCCCAAAGTGCTGGGATTCCAGGTGTAAGCCACTGGACTCAGCCACTCACATAAATTTCGAGTAAGTGTCTGGGGTCTTTTAGGGAAATTAACTTAACATACAGTAGTGGAGAAGAAAAGATGTATTTCCTTTCTCTGAATCCCTACCTTGTATGATTACTTCCTACTTTTAGGTCATGGGCACCTTTTAGCACCCTCAACAAGAAAAGCTGGTCATTGGAAGGCAGGTCTGTGTGATTTACCCTCACCCTTCCCACAGCATCTGGCACTGTAGGTGACCCCTGGATGTTGCATAACTATGGTTCGTAAAAATTGCAGTTGTAAAGTTATAATTACTTAACTTTACATGTTAAATGCTCATGAGCTTGCCAATTGCAACACGAAAAAATATGTTCTTTTCTCTTTTAATTTTTTTTATTGATACATAACAGATGTACATATTTTTAGGACACGTGTTAATTTAATACATTTATATAGTCTATAAAGATCAAATCAGTGTCATTGGAATATCCATTGCCTTAAATATTTGTCTTTTCTTTGTGCTAGGAACATCTGAATTATTCCTTTTCAGTTATTTTGAAATATACAATAGATTATTATAAACAACAGTCACCTTACCGATTACCTAGCACTGTCTTACTTTTGAAAGAGAATAATTTTTAAATGTCCCCTAGAACATGATGACGATTACAAGCTGACCCAAGTAGTCAAGCGGGAAAAGAGCTGATAAAAGATCGTCTGAGACAAAGATGTTCCTAAAAATAATCATCTGTTACAACAAAAATTATATCACCTCCATGGAGAGGAAAAAGTAGAGAGTGACATCGCGAGAGCAAATGAAACCATGAACATTCATTCAAAAACAAGCGAGAGATAGAAAACAACAGGCCGGGCGCGGTGGCTCAAGCCGGTAATCCCAGCACTTTGGGAGGCAGAGGGGGGCGGATCACGAGGTCGGGAGATCGAGACCATCCTGGCTAACACAGTGAAACCCCGTCTCTGCTAAAAATACAAAAAAAAAAAATTAGCCGGGCGTGGTGGCGGGCGCCTGTAGTCCCAGCTACTCAGGAGGCTGAGGCAGGAGAATGGCGTGAACCCAGGAGGCGGAGCTTGCAGTGAGCCGAGATAGCGCCACTGCACTCCAGCCTGGGCGAAAGAGCGAGACTCCGTCTCAAAAACAAAGAGATAGAAAACAACAGAAACAGAGATTCCAACAGAAGAGCTACAGGACCAATAGGTGTTGACAAGGACAAAAAGGTGGAGGGGGAAGAGGTCGAGGTGTTTACAGCTGTCCATGCAAGGGAATCCCTAAAGAGCTGCCCCACACCAGCAGTGAGGATGAGGCATGCAGACCCTGAGGAATTCTGAGCAGACGTGTCAAGTGAGGGGACATGCCCATGGAGGGTGCGGCCTGACTGCAGGGGGGCTCAGCTGCTCACCAGCTCTATCATCTCGAAAAGTTTCTTCAGATCTCTGTGCCTCAGTTCCCCTACGTGGAAGAGAGGCTGAAAACAGAACCTAATTCAAGATGAGAGTGGAGGGCCGGGCTGTTAACGCAGTAAATAGTGGGTGCTCAGTAAATTTTTAGCTATGGTTGTTAAGGCCCCTGGAATTAAACGCAGAATAGAATGCCAAAATATTGCATTTGCTGCCTTTCAAATAATGTTTATGCTTAAAAATCACCCTAGGCACTTAAGTTTCTATGTTTTCATGAAAAGAGTAAAAATGACGTAATTATTTAAATATCAGCACATGAATTTTCAGAAGATGAATAAATAACATTAACTCTCATGCCCCCAACGCATAAGAGGCTCTTCCAATAACTGGGAACCTCCCTTCCATCTTTCCTGCTTTTGGGGACAAGGGTGGGGAACGGGGGCTCATCTGTCCCTTTCCTTTCCCTAAACTAAGAGTCCCACTGAACACAATGATGTATTAGGCAGAGGATCCCCTACACCCCATCACCAACCTTCCTTCAGTTCTGCCTTCTCTCCCTCTGCTAATGTCCACAGATGAAGGATGATAAGATTTATTACATGGCACTGTCATAAGCAGTTTGCATTTAATCAGTATGCAGTAGCATTCCTGTTCCCATTTTACAGAGAGGAAGTTAAAATAGGAGTGAGGAGTGACTTAACTGGGATTCTGCAGCTTCACCAAAGCAGAGAATCCGGGGTTCCACCCTCAACCTCCCGGAGTTTCTATTTTGGTAGTGAGGCTTCAAGAGACTCTAGGCTGGGCGCGGTGGCTCATGCCTGTAATCCCAGCACTTTGGGAGGCCAAGGCGGGGGGATCACGAGGTCAGGAGATTGAGACCATCCTGGCTAACATGGTGAAACCCCGTCTCTACTAAAAATACAAAAAAAATTAGCCAGGCGTGGTGGCGGGCGCCTGTAGTCCCAGCTGCTCGGGAGGCTGAGGCAGGAGAATGGCGTGAACCCGGGAGGCAGAGCTTGCAGTGAGCCCAGATCGCACCACAGCACTCCAGCCGGGGTGACAGAGCAAGACTCCATCTCAAAAAAAAAAAAAAAAAAAAAAAAAAAAAAAGACTCTAGGGAACAAATACTTCAATGGGATTAGTACTGTTTTTTACCATCATCATCATGATTATCGTGACAAATAATCTTTCAAGAATTTTTTAAACACAAATTCCCTGTCTCTGAGGATTATATTAAACCTATCCACAGCATCTCAGTGAAGATTTGTTTTCAAATGCTTTTTTTCTAACTTGGAGAATACTATTATGGGGACTAAGTGGAAGAATTTGGGTAAAAGGTACATGGGATAAGCAAACTTGGTCAATATTGCAGTTTTGCCAATACTCTGAGTCCATGCAAAAATGTTTTCTATAACTTAGTATTGAAGCCCTGAGACGGTAAAGTCACTATCACAGGTCCCATTCCAGCTCAGTTAAGGTCCAATTTGGCCAATTTACTTGGCTCAGACCCTTAAATATAAGGTTTACAGCTAATTCCATTTCCATTAATCCCAGAACTATAGATGTCAACTCCAAAGCCCTCACTCCTTTCCCAAACACCCTTTAAATATGTGATCTCAAGAAGGCCAGCAAGAGTTGACAAAGATAAAGATAAGGTTATTGTCATTTCACTGTGGGTCAGATATGATAAGTAACAGGGAAGGAGGCAAACAGTGACATTCTACATTTTTGCACATTCATATAAAATATACTATTAAAAGACCTTGAGAATTCCTATTCTTAAAAGAATAAAAACACTGGTGTTAAGTTCAGAACCACAAATCCTTCAGAGCTCTGATGGGTAGGTACTCGAAAGCTCAGATCTAAATTTCCACCTCCTGAAAGGATTTGATGATAAGAATATAAGAGAATTGAGGAAGGCATCTGCCAAGTCTAGTAATGTTATAAATTTGACTCTGAAGTAGCCATATGGCCTTGAGAAAGTCACTTAAATTTGATGGGGCTCATTTTCTCCATCTATAAACTGAATATTTGAAGTAAGTTCTCTTTCCAAACATGAATTCTGTTCGTTATAACAGGAAAGATAAGTTTTTAACAACTCCCTTCATAATAGCAGCTTCTCCCTTCCACCATCTGGCAGGGAATGCAGAACTGCACTGACCAGCAGAGCTGTGAGTTCAGAGCAGATGTGAAGGGCTAACTGCACTATGCCTTTAATAAAGAGGGCACTGAGGATGGTATGAAAATCCTCAGTGCTTGACAAACCTCACTGTACCTGAGTGACATGAACAAAGTGACACCAGCAAGATGGCAGAGTAGAAAGCCCCAGACCCTACTTTCCATGTGAAGCTACTGACTTAACCACACGATACAGACCAACTGCCTCTGTGAGAAATCTAGAATACAATTCAGAGGTCTCTGCAGCACCCCTGGCCAGTGCAAAGCCAGCCACACAGAAGTCCCCGTAGGAAAATTCTTGGCACACAACGTGCCAGAGTGCCTCCCGCCAAGTACCACAGGGTGTGTTCAGAACATTCCCAACTTCTCCCTGAGGAAAGAAAGAAAAGAGTAGGATATTTTCAACATTCCGACTTTTTGTGGGGCTGCCCAAGTGACTGGTTTCTGTGTTCTCTGAATTTAAGTGCTTAGAGGAACAGAGTGGCAGGTTGGTGGACTCACAACAGAGGCAATGAACAGGGTTTGTTCTACCACCAGAGTCTGCAGTACGATGGAATGACAGTAGGGGGAGTGCCAGTACCTCAGTTTGCTACACCACCAAAGAAACTGCAGTACCACAAACAGGCATCAGAGTGAACCCCTGAGTAGAAAGCAACACACCCATTATTAACTTGGTGCAAAAGTAATTGCGGTTCTTCGAAATTACTTTTGTACCAACCTAATATATTAAGTGTGCAAGTCCGGGGAGTACGCATCCCCAGAAAAGGCTTTAGAGGTCTCTAGAGTCTCTGGCCATGCTGACTGGTGAAAGTCCTTCCTGCATGAAACCAGACCACAAAGACTGGGCCCAAGGTAACAAATTAAATATCCTGAAACTAACCCTAAAGGCATGGGAATATATGAATTAGCAGATAAATAATTCAAAATAACTGTCGTAAGGATGTTCAATGGAGTAAAAGAAGGCACAGATGGAAAAAACTAATGAAATTTTTAAAAATGAACAAAATGATAATATCAGAAAAGAGACAGAAACTAAGAAGAAGAAACAAACAAAACTACTTGGAGTGAGGAATACATTAAGCGAATTTAAAAATTCACGAGAACTACTCAATAGCAGACTTGATCAGATAGAAGAAAGAACCAGTAAATTTAAGAACAGGACTTTTTAAATTATCAAGACAAGCAAAAACAAAAAAAAGAGTGAAGCAAAGCAGAGAGAGCCTAAGGGACTTACGGTAGAGTGTTGAGCAGAATAACATATGCATTATGCGAATTTAAAAGGAAGAAAGGGGGAAAGAGACTATTTGAAGAAATAATGGCTGAAAACTTCCCAAATCTGAGGAAAGAAATGGACATACATAATCAAGAAGCTAAAAGAACCATAAGTAGAATAAAAATAAAGAGATCTACAAAGAGACACATCATAATCCAACTGTCAAAAGTCACAGACAATGAGAATCTTGAAAGCAGAAAGAGAAAAGTGACTTATCATGTACAAGGGAGCTTGTATTAGATTATAACCTCATTTCTCAGCAGAAACCTTGCAGGACAGAATGAAGTTGGATAATATATTCAAAATGCTGAAAGGAAAAAAAATCAACCAACAATATTACATATGGTAAAAACTCTCCTTCAAAAATGAATAAGAATGTAAGACATTCTCAGATAAAGTAAAGCTGAAGTCATAGAGCCACTGCACTCCAGCCTAGGTGACAGAGTGAGACTTTCTCTCAAAAAAAAAAAAAAGAAAGAAAGAAAGAAAGAAAAGGGAAGGAAAGGAAAGCTGAGAGAGTTCATCATGACTAGAGCTGCTATATAAGAAATACTGAAAGTAGTCCTTCAAATTGAAGTGGAAGAATGATAAACAGCAACATTAAGCCATATAAATATATAAAAATTACTTTTAAATCAGGTATAGAATTTAAAAAACAAAAGCATAAAAAGTAATTATAAAACTACGTTAATGCATACACAGTATACAAAGAGGTAGGTGGAGTCATCAACAACATCAAGTGTGGGCAGACAAGTCTTAAAGACATGTCAAGACTTAAGACTTGTTAAGACAAGTCTTAACATATAAAGAAGATTTAAATTATTCAAAGTATTTTATTTGACCACAATGGAATGAAACAAGAAATCAACAGCAGAAGAAATATAATTTTTATATGCAATTGAAGTTATCAGTTTAATAGAGATTGTTATATTTCATGTAATGGTAACCAGGAAGAAAATATCTATAGAGTATACACAAAGGAAAATCAAAAGGGAATCAAAGCAGGTCACTCAAAAAAATCAAACACGGCCGGGCGCGGTGGCTCACACCTGTAATCCCAGCACTTTGGGAGGCTGAGGCGGGTGGATCACAAGGTCAGGAGATCGAGACCATCCTGGCTAACACGGTGAAACCCCGTCTCTACTAAAAATACAAAAAAAAATTAGCCAGGTGTGGTGGTGGGCACCTGTAGTCCCAGCTACTCGGGAGGCTCAGGCAGGAGAATGGCGTGAACCCGGGAGGCGGAGCTTGCAGTGAGCCGAGATTGCGCCACTGCACTCCAGCCTGGGTGACAGAGCGAGATTCCATCTCAAAAAAAAAAAAAAAAAAATCAAACACAAAAGAAAGTGAGCGGCAAGAGAGGAAAGGAGGGGCAGAAAGTTATAATACATCCAGAAAAAAAAATTAACAAAATGGCAACAGTAAGTCCTTCCCTATCAGTAATTACTTTCTAAGTAAATGGATTACAACCCTAATTAAAATATATAGATTGACTAAATGGATTTTAAAAAGATCAAAGAGTATGCTGTCTATAAGAGACTCACTTTAGATCTAAGGACATACATAGGTTAAAAGTGAAAGGATGAGAAAAGATATTCTATGCAAATGGGAACCTAAAGAAAGCAAGGGTGACTATATTTGTATTGGACAAAAGAGATTTTAAGTCAAAAACTGTCGCAAGACACAAAGAAGATTGTTATTCAGTAATAAAAGGGTCCATTCACAAGAAAGACATAACAACCATAAGTATATATACACCTAACGTTAGAGTTCCCAATTTTATAAGGTAAACATTGGCAGAGCTGAAGAGACAACTAGACAGCAACACGATAATAGTAGGAGACTTCAATATCTCACTTTCAGTTATATAAAGAACCAGACAGAAGATAAGCAAAGAAACAGAGGACTTGAACAACACTACAAACCAACTGGACCTAACAGACATATTCAGAACACTCCACCCAACAACAGCAAAATACACCTTCTCCTCAAGTGCAACTAGACATTCTCAAAGATAGAAGACATGTTAGTCCACAAAACAAGTTTTACCACATTTAAGATTTAAATCACTCAAAGTACAATAGAATGAAACAAATCAACAGGAAAGCAAAACAGGAAAATTCACAAATATATGGAAATTGAATAATTTACTCTTAAACAACCAAAGGGTCGAAGGAGAAATCACAAGGGAACTTAGAAAATATATGGAGACAAATAAAGAAAACACAACATATCAAAACTTATGGGCTACAACAAAAGCAGTACAAAGGAAGAAATTTATAGCAGTAAAGACTTACATTAAAAAAGGAGGAAAACCCTCAAATCAACAATCTAAGTTTACACCCTCAAAAAACTAAAAAAAAAAAAATAAAGAAATGTAGCTGAAGAAAGCAAATAATACAAATTGTACAGAGATAAATGAAATAGGAAATAGAAAATAGAAACAAAATCAACAAAACCAAGAGCTGATTCTTCGAAAAGATCAATGAAATGTATAAACCCTTAGCTAGACTAAGAAAAAAATGAGAGAAGACTCAAATAACGATACTTAAAAATGAAAGAATGTTACAACTGATGTCACAAAAATAAGAAAAATTGTGAGACTATTATGAATAATTGTACGCCAATTGTACTAAAGAGGCAAAGGACTTATACACCAAAAACTACAAAACATTGTTTGTAGAAATTAAGGAAAACACCAGTAAGTAAAAAGACATCTTGCTTTCACAGATTGGAAGGCCTAATATTGTTAAGATGTCAGTCCTATTCAAAGCAATCTACAGATTCTATATAATTCCAATATAAACGCCAACTGCATTTTTGGCAGAAATAGAAAAGCCAATTCCAAAATTATATGGAGTCTCAAGGGACCCCAAATAGCCAAAACAATCCTGGGGGAAAAAAAAGAAAGTTGGAGGTCTGAAACTTCCTATTTCAAAAACTTACTACAAAATCAAACAGCATGATACTGGTATAAAGACAGATATAGAGACCAATGGAACAGAATAGAGAGCCCATAGTTAAATCCTTGCATAAAGTAGCCAAATGAATTTCAACAATGATGCCAAGACTACAAAATGAGAAAAGGACAGTCTCTATAAATGATGCAGGGACAATTGTATCTCCATATGCAAAAGAATGAGGTTAGCACTCTTACTATATATCATATAAAAAATTCAACTCAAAATGGATCAAAAGCCTAAATATGAGACCAAAAACTATAAAATGTCTATGAGAAAACATTGGAAAAGATCATTATATTGAATTTGGTAATAATTTCTTGGATATGACAGTAAAAGCTCAGGAAACAGAAGCAAAAATAGACAAATGGACTACATTAAACTTAAAAACTCCTGCACATCACAATAGCCAAGACGTAGAAGGAACAGAAATGTCAATCAACAGGTGAATGAAAAAAGAATATGTGGCATATACATACAATATTGTTCAGCCTTGAAAAACAAAGAAATCCTGTCATGTTCTACTAGGTGGATGAACTTTGAGGACATCATGTTAAGTGAAATAAGCCAAGTATAAAAGGACGAATATGTTAAGATTCCACTCATATGAAGTATCTTAAAGTAGTTAGAAATCCAGATGTGAAGTCCTATGATTCCATTACAGCTGATAAGCCTAACTACTACAAAATATTTTATTTTTCACTGAATTATTTCAAATTTCTTTCACCTTCCAATCTATTCTTACAGTTCAAACATTTCCAGTATTATAAACTGTTTGAAGGGTTTTATTAATACGTACCTTTTAACAGCCTCCCTTCTAGTGTAAGTGGTAAGTAAATCTTGTTTTTGCCTTTCTGCTTACCACTATTCATTCTACAAATAATTAGTGGATGACTGGTGAGCTAGACAGAGTTCTAATGTCTGAGGACAGAGCATAATCAAGACACAAAGTCTCCACTTTCTTAGCATTTAAATCACAGTGCGTGAAACGGAGATTAAACAAGTAAACTAATCAATAAACCAGCTGTTTTTTATAGTTATGAGTACTATGAAAGGAATAAAACCAGGTACTGAGATAAAGATTGACTATGGTGTGGGAAAGAAGAGTCTACCTTGGATATGGTGATTCACTCCCCATATCCATTCCTTCCTATAGAGTTAATACAGCCTTGAAAAAGCACACAACCCAGTAACATCTAATGTATTACAAAGAGAATACATATATAATGCATCCCACAAAAAGATATTGAGATTTTAAAATATATCTGTAAAGATTATAGTCAAGAATTTCCCAAAAGTGATGAAAGACATCAAATCACAGATCTGAGCACTTCATCAAACTCCAAGAATGATGAACATTATGAAAACCATACCTGGGCACATCATTATCAAATTGCTGAAAAGTTAATAAAGAAACAATTCTTAAGATGAGCCCAACAAAAGGTACATTGCATAAATAACAAAAATAGTTAAGATCATGGCTGACACCTTATAAGAAACAACAGAAATCAAAAAACAATTGTGTGAGATTTTTTCAAGTACTGAAAGAAAAACATATTAGCCTATAATTCTGTACCCCCAAAAAAGACCTTCAAAAATCAAGATGAAATAAACATCTTCACACAGAAAAATAATAGAGAATTCATCTCCATCTGATCTGCAGTATTCAAAATATTTTAAAATATTCTTTACACTATTAATAAATTATAGCATATGGAAGCTTGGATCTACAAGAAGGAACAAAGAGCAGCAGAAAAAGTAAGCTATTTAGTTATCCACCACTACTGAACTCAATGAAAATGTGTTAAGAGTCTATATGTGAGAACTTCAAGAATCTGACAGAATAGCCATGCACCTCAATTTTCCAGAGGTGAATTAGAATTGTAGATCTTTTTTTTTTTTTTTTGAGACGGAGTCTTGCTCTGTCGCCCAGCCTGGAGTACAGTGGCATGATCTCTGCTCACTGTAAGCTCCGCCTCCCAGGTTCACGCCATTCTCCTGCCTCAGCCTCCTGAGTAGCTGGGACTACAGGCGCCCACCACCACACCCGGCTAATTTTTTGTATTTTTTAGTAGAAAAAGGGTTTCACCGTGTTAGCCAGGATGGTCTCGATCTCCTGACCTTGTGATCCGCCTGCCTCAGCCTCCCAAAGTGCTGGGATTACAGGCGTGAGCCACCGCGCCCAGCCTAGAATTGTAGATCTAAGTAGTATCCTGACCTAGGCTAAACTAGCAGATTGGAAAACATATTTTAATACATGAGGTTGGGGGTTGAAGCCACAAAGGCTGGTGTTACTATCAAATAAAATGCTGTATAAAATGAAGAGAAGAGACTGAAAGATAATGTATTGAAAGGCCAGGAATATGGGTGATGGAAGGAGGAAGAGAAGCCAGGAAGGGGACAGTGAGAGAGGAGAAGATATTTCATTGAAGCAGACAGAGAAATGGGTCCTTCTGAAGAAAGTGTCAAAGTTGTACACGTCACAATAAAGATAAAGAACATTTCTGAAAGTCCTAAGAGAGTTGCAGAATTGAAAAAGTAGATGCTGTGGTTAGAATTTAAAGTAAGAATAAGAATCTCAGTGTTTGCCCGGGAACAGTGGCTCACACCTGTAATCCCAGCACTTTGGGAGGCCGAGGCGGGAAGATCACTTGAGGTCAGGAGTTCGAGACCAGCCAGTTCGAGTCCAGCTGTCAATGTCCAACATGGCAAAACCCTGACTCTACTAAAAATACAAGAATTAGCTTGGGCATGGTGGTGTGGGCCTGTAATCCCAGCTACTCTGGAGGCTGAGGCAGGAGAATCGCTGGAACCCGGGAGGCAGAGCTTGTAGTGAGCCAAGATTACGCCATTGCACTCCACCCTGGGCGACAAAGTGACACTCCATATCAAAAACAAAACGAACAAACAAACAAACAAAAACAACCTCAGTATTTAAGCCTCTCTGAGTTATGTCAAGGACCAGATCTGAGGATAGTGGAACGGCAAAGGCAATGGAGATTAAGCTCTTTCAAACTGAGCATGTCCCACATCTACAACAACCAGGAGTTTGGGATATGGGTGTGTTTTTAAATAGAGAACAACAGAGATGAGAAAGGGGAGAGGGAAATGTGTGAAAGTGAAGCTCAAAGGAGGCAAGAGCTTCAAGAGAGAAGGTGGAAAATGGTGTGGAAATGACTTGAGAGCATGAAGTTGGCCAGTCCCAACTTAATCTAACCCTGCTATTGTCCAAGAGCCAAACTGATGTTACCCTGGATCTTCTCTTAAATTTAGGAATGCCTGGGGCTATTGTTTTGACCACAGTGAAGCTATCTCAGTTGTTCTAGGTAAAAGAATCAAGCAAGTTACTGCATTTCTAGAATATTTAATTAGCTGCTTACCCTGATTGCTAAAGTTATCACCCTGTTCATTCTGTGGCCTGGGCGTTCCTTGATGAAGAATCTTTCTTTCAGGTGAAAGCACAAACAGAGAGAGGACAAAATTCCTAGGAAGGTGCCTATGGAGGAGGGGTGGCACACAGCTCTGGATATCCAACAAATTACCCTAGATCCCAAGCTATCAACCTAGGTATGTGACATATCAGCCTTGTGTGCAACACCTTAGCTTAGGTATGCAACACCGGCTCTACAAAAACTACAAAAATTAGCTGGGCTTGGTAGTATGTGCCTGTAGCTCCAGCTACTTGGGAGGCTGAGGTGGAAGGATCACTTGAGCCCTGGAGGCAGAGGTTGCAGTAAGCCATGATCATACCACTGCACTCCAGCCTGGATGAAGGAGTGAGAGCCTGTCAAAAAAAAGAAGAAGAAAGAAGAATGAAGAAAGAAGAAGAAGCAGCAGAAGCAGAAGGAGGAAGAGGTGGTGGAGGAGGAGGAGCAGGAGGAGGAGGAGGAAAGGAAGAGGAAGAGGAAGAAGAAGTTGCCTGAGGAATCTAGGACTCCCACTTTAAGCATGCTTTACATCTTAGGAGAGATGGTCAGTTCTGTGCTGGGGCATATGTGTGATCACCATAGGATGGCCAGACCTTCCTGGCTGCCCTTTTGAATCTGGCTCCAAATTTGGATTGATGATACTGTTTGGGCCTCAAAAGGCTTTCATTGCCTTGAGGATGAGAACTGTCCTAATGTAGGCATTGTTAGCTTTCCCTGAGCATTTAGAACATGAGTATGGTCTTAGCAGTAGGCTCACTAAGTAAAGTCCTAGGCAAACAAATACATATTAGAAGCTGAAAAATACTGGAAACCTTTCTCAGCCTTTCCCAAATTTCTTCCTTACCTGGCTAGAACTTTTGCTTGTTTGTTTATCTAAATATGTAAATATGTAGGATGTATATATTGGATCCTAACGGTTTTTTCAATCGTCATGTGTCCTCTGACAAAAATGCAAATATCTTGGTAGGACTAGTACTTTCCAGTCTATATAACCAGCTCAGTAAGGGGACATCAGAACAAAACTGAGAAGAAAAGCAAAAAGATTCCCAAGACCAACCCACCCTATTACAACACTGACGGCTTGTTCTACACGGTTTGCTATCAGTATTCGAGCTCTCTCAACTTGGAATTCTTTATGTCAACCTAGAGGAGCCCGCAGCAGTCCAGTGTGCACCTGTGGAGTATGTGTCGATGCTCAGGGCAGCTGAAGAGTGAGCTGGGGACGCAGTGTCTTCCAGACGGCACCGTGAGCAGAGTCTGAGCTCAGCCTAGGACTGTCAGAGCCTACCGTCCTGTCCCCTGCACTTTCTTCCCTCTCCTTGCTCTACATCCTCGCCCCGTCCCACCCCTACCTCTCTTCTCTGGAAACATTCCTCATCCATGGGGGCTGCAGCTGAACTGAGAATGGGAACAGATGCTGGATTTTCTTCTGACTCAGCCCCTAGCGAGGTGCCATTGAAAAGGCCAACTGACACCCATCATCGCCTCAGCTGAGCTTTACCCCAGAGCAGCACTGCAGAGATGTCCGCTCACGGCGACCCTGAAAGTGAGCAGTGGCTGCTCTGCGGGTGCCATTTACCGGATTAATATTCTCTCCTTCCCTTTCCTTCCAACTTAAAAAAATGAGGTGTGTGCCCTTTTGCAGGGGGATGGTAGGGAGTGGTGGGGGGAGAATGTTATAAAAAAAAAAGCTGCCAGCACCTGATATTTAGACAAGCAATATGGGAATTTAAGAAAACAGCCAGATTAATTAGTTTTATTTATGGAGGCCACACAGGCCTGCCAACTTCTAGCACAGCAGAGTACCCCAGATTCAATTCTCGACTGAATCTCTGAGTGATTGTCAGCCAAAAGATTCCTATCCCATCTATATTTGGAAGAACTGTTCATCTATTTTTGGAGTGAAAATTAAGGGCATGTGCACATTTTTTGAGTGACAAGAAAAAGTCACCTGAACCTGCAATACAAATATTCAGAATATGAGACTATTGAGAGTGAGTTACTCTTTTTAGCCACGTGGGCTCATGTTTAACCTTCCAGATTAACAGTATAAACTAATGCCAAATACTTAGTGATTACGTTCTAATGCATTTGAGTAGGTTAATACATACTTACATATTTTCAACACTGATTCTGGATGTGAATTTTTCTGTTGTTATTTTAATGCACATAAAATATAATTATTTAGCTAAATTAATTTTAAAAGGCCCATATGCTGGGAACACTTAAGGCTAATTTCAATTCAATACCAGTTACCTGTCATATGTAACACTAGCTGTAGTATGTTTAGTAAGAGTTTGTATTATGCTCCAGAAAGAGAAGATGGACAGTAGATAACATATACTGAACAAAGATTTCATGATGAATACATCAAAAGCAATTGCAAAAAAAGCAAAAATTGACAAAAGGGACCTAATTAAACTAAAGAGCTTCTGCAGAGTAAAAGAAACTATCAACAGAGTAAACAACCTACAGAATGGATGAAAATATTTGCAAACTATGCATCCAATAAAAGTCCAATATCCAGAATCTATAAGGAAATTAAACAAACCAGCAAGCAAAAAACAAAAAACCCCATCAATAATGGGTAAAGGACATGAAACAAACACTTCTCAAAAGAAGACATATATGCAGTATATGAAAAAATGCTCAACATCACTGGTCATTAGAGAAATGCAAATCAAAACCACAATGAGATACCATCTCACACCAGTCAGAATGGCTATTATTAGGAAGCCAAAAAATAACAGATGCTGGTGAGGTTGTAGAGAAAAAGGAACGCTTATCCACTGCTGATGGGAATGTAAATTAGTTCAGCCACTGTGGAAAGTAGTATGGTGATTTCTCAAAGAACTTAAAACAGAGCAAACATTTGCCCCAACAATCCTATTATTGGGTATATAACCAAAGGAATACAAATCATTCTACTATAAAGACACATGCATGTGGGCCAGGCACAGTGGTTCACACCTATAATCCCAATACTTTGAGAGGCTGATGCAGGCTGACTTGAGCTCAGGAGTTCGAGACCAGCCTGGGCAACATGGTGAGACCCCTTCCCTACTAAAAATATGAAAAATTAGCCAGGGATGGTGGTGCACACCTGTGGTCCCAACTACTCAAGAGGCTGAGATGGGAGGATCGCTTGAGCCTGGAGAGCAGAGGCTGCAGTGAGCCAAGATTATGCCACTGTGCTCCAGCCAGGATGACAGAACAAGACCCTGTCTCAAAAAACAAAAAAAAAAAAGACACATGCACATGTATGTTCATTGCAGCACTATTCACAACAGCAAAGATATGGAATCAAACTAAATACCCAACAACTCTGGATTGGTGGTGTGTGCATGTGGTCCCAGCAACTCAGGAGGCTGAGCTGGGAGGATTACTTGAGCCCAGGAGTTCGAGGCTGCAGTAAGCCCAATTGTGCCACCACACTCCGGCCTGGGCAACAGAGCAACACCCTGTCTCAAAAAAAAGAAAAAAAAAACAAACGAGATCATGTCCTTTACAACAACATAGAGTTGGAGACCATTATCCTAAGTGAACTAATGCAGGAACAGAAAACCAAATACTGCATGTTCTCACTTACAAGTGAGGAGCCAAACACTGAGTACACACAGACAAATAGAAAGGAACAACAGACACCAGGCCTATTTGAAAGTAGAGATGAAAGGAAGGTGAGAATCAAAAAACTACCTATCGGTTACTATGCTTATTACCTGGGTGATGAAATAATCTGGACACACCAAATCCCCATGACATGAAATTTACCTATATGACAAACCTACATCTGTACCCCTGAAGCTAAAATAAAAGTTGGAAGAGGGCCGGGCACAGTGGCTCACGCCTGTAATCCCAGCACTTTGGGAGGCCAAGGTGGGCAGATCACTTGAGCCCAAGAGTTTGAGACCAGCCTGGCAACATGGTGAGACCCCATCTCTGCTAAAAATACAAAAATTAGCCAGGCATGGTGGCGGGCACCTGTAGTCCCAGCTACTCGGGAGGCTGAGTCACGAGAATTGCTTGAACCCAGGAGGCAGAGGTTGCAATGAGCCTAGATAGCGCCACTCCACTCCAACCCAGACGACAAAGCGAGACCCTGTCTCAAAAACAAACAAACAAAAAAAGTTGGAAGACAAAAAAAAAACTAGGAATGTAAAAAAAAGTTTTATTGAAGAAACTTTTTCCAGATTTTGCTTTGAGAAAATATATGTCTAGATAAAGTCCACAAACACTGGTCCAGATGAGAGTCAATAACTATATACAAGATCAAATGATGTTATTCTCATTTACCCTTTCTCTTATTCATTACATTCAAAGCTTTGCCTAGAACTGGTAAAAGGCTGGTAAGATTTTGAGATGGTCACTCTGATGCACTGCTGGTGAACATATATATCAAGTTAATTTTTATGGAAAGTTTGCATCCTTTGGACAAGTAGTTCCACTTCCAAAGGTACAAATTAGGGAAAAACTGTCATGGTAAATTGAAATTGGCCACAAACTCTACCACCAAGGGTAGACTCTACTTGATCTAGGTCAGACTTGCAGCTTGCTTTGACTAACAGAATATCATAAAAGTGATGCTGTATGAATTCTGAACAAGACTTGCTTCTAGTCTCATCCAAATTCCGACTGCTCCTATATGAATAAGCTCACACTAGACACCTTGAGACAGAGCAAGCCCCTGTCTCAAAATTAAAAGAGTGAAATTCTGTCCTTTGCAGCAACGTGGCTAGAGCTGAAGCTTCTTCCAGTTCTAGATCAGAGGCTTGAGCACAACGAATAAGAGAAAGGGTAAAAGAGGATAACATGATTTTGTTTCCTATATAGTAATTGACTCAAAAGTTTGTTCAAGGTCTCACAATTTCTTTTTAACTTAAAAATAAAAATAATATCTAAAGAAAAAAATGAAATGCTGCACTCAAAGCACACTGCTTCATTAAGATATTTAACAATTTAAAGCTGGGCGTGGTGGCCTGCTCCTGTAGTCCCAGCTACTCGGGAGGCTGAGGCAGAAGAATTGCTTGAACCCGGGAGGCGGAGGTTGCAGTGAGCCGAGATTGCACCACCGCACTCCAGCCTGGCGACAGAGAGAGACTCCATCTCAAAAATAAATAAATAAATAAAATAAAATAAGATATTTAACAATTTAAATATTGAGGGAAAATGTTAAATAGTTTAGACAAATACTGCCATGATCCTGCTAGAAAATTTCTAAAACTGTTATACCACCTGTACCCCCAATAACTTACAGAAAAATAAAATAGAATAAAATAAAATAAAATGCTATCTTTGCATGACCACCCGGAGGGGCCCAGCTATTCTTGCCTTTCCAGTCACCCCGCTGAGGCCCAGATGGGCCAATGGAGCCACTGGGCACCATCCAGCCAGTCCTCCAACTGCCTGTAGACATATTAGGTATGTCCAGCCCAGCTGACTCCCGCTCACAATGCCAGTCCACACAGTCATCAGTCGTAGGCCAGTGAATCTTAAGGCGGTTTATTTTACAGCAATATGTAACTAATACAAATGTCGAATGCAGGTAAAAAATTTCTGCATTGGTGTTGTTTATCATAATGAAAATTTTAAGACCAAATAAATGTCCGACAACTGGGAAACATAAAACAATCAAGATGCAGTTTAAAAACTATTTCATGGAGTGCTCAATGGTGCCCAGGCTGGAGTGCAGTGGCGTGATCTCGGCTGGCTACAACCTCCACCTCCCAGCCGCCTGCCTTGGCCTCCCAAAATGCCAAGATTGCAGCCTCTGCCCGGCCGCCACCCCGTCTGGGAAGTGAGGAGTGTCTCTGCCTGACCGCCCATCGTCTGGGATGTGAGGAGCCCCTCTGCCTGGCTGCCCAGTCCGGAAAGTGGGGAGCGTCTCTGCCCGGCCGCCATCCCATCTAGGAAGTGAGGAGCGCCTCTTCCCGGCCGCCATCACATCCAGGAAGTGAGGAGCGTCTCTGCCCGGCCGCCCATTGTCTGAGATGTGGGGACCGCCTCTGCCCCGCCACCCCGTCTGGGATGTGAGGAGCGTCTCTGCCCGGCCGCCCCGTCTGAGAAGTGAGGAGACCTTCTGCCTGGCAACTGCCCCATCTGAGAAGTGAGGAGCCCCTCCGCCCGGCAGCCACCCCGTCTGGGAAGTGAGGAGCCTCTCCGCCCGGCAGCCACCCCGTCCGGGAGGGAGGTGGGGGGGTCAGCCCCCCGCCCGGCCAGCCGCCCCGTCCGGGAGGGAGGTAGGGGGGTCAGCCCCCCGCCGGGTCAGCCGCCCCGTCCGGGAGGGAGTTGGGGGTTCAGCCCCCCGCCCGGACAGCCGCCCCGTCCGGGAGGGAGGTGGGGGGTCAGCCCCCCGCCCGGCCAGCCGCCCCGTCCAGGAGGTGAGGGGCGCCTCTGCCCGGCCGCCCCTACTGGGAAGTGAGGAGCCCCTCTGCCCGGCCAGCCGCCCCGTCTGGGAGGGAGGTGGGGGGGTCAGCCCCCCCCGCCCGGCCAGCCACCCCGTCCTGGAGGTGAGGGGCGCCTCTGCCCAGCCGCCCCTACTGGGAAGTGAGGAGCCCCTCTGCCAGGCCACCACCCCGTCTGGGAGGTGTACCCAACAGCTCATTGAGAACGGGCCATGATGACAATGGCGGTTTTGTGGAATAGAAAGGGGGGAAAGGTGGGGAAAAGATTGAGAAATCGGATGGTTGCCATGTCTGTGTAGAAAGAAGTATACATGGCAGACTTTTCATTTTGTTCTGTACTAAGAAAAATTCTTCTGCCTTGGGATCCTGTTGATCTGTGACCTTACCCCCAGCCCTGTGCTCTCTGAAACATGTGCTGTGTCCACTCAGGGTTAAATGGATTAAGGGCGGTGCAAGATGTGCTTTGTTAAACAGATGCTTGAAGGCAGCATGCTCGTTAAGAGTCATCACCACTCCCTAATCTCAAGTACCCAGGGACACAAACACTGCGGAAGGCCGCAGGGACCTCTGCCTAGGAAAACCAGAGACCTTTGTTCACTTGTTTATCTGCTGACCTTCCCTCCACTATTGTCCTATGACCCTGCCAAATCCCCCTCTGCGAGAAACACCCAAGAATGATCAATAAAAAATAAATAAATAAATAAATAAATAAATAAATAAATATAAAATAAAAATACAAAATTAAAAAAAATAAAAAATAAAAAAATAAAAACTATTTCATGATACTTGAATACCAACGATATAAGGCTATGTGAGAAAAACCAAATTCTGTAATTTATAAATGTAATAGAAGCTTGAAGAAAACATATTTAAATATTCACATGTGATAGTTTCTGGATAGGGGCATATGGTTTTTGTTTTGTTTTGTTTATTTATTGTATTTTATTTTATTTAATTTTCGAGTCAGGGTCTCATTCTGTTACCCAGGCTGGAATACAGTGATGCAATCGTAGCTCACTGTAACCTCAAACTCCTGGGCTCAGGCAATCCTCCCACCTCAGCCTCCCAAGTAGCTGGGACCACAGGCACACACCACCAGATCTAGCTATTTCTCTCTTTCTCTCTTTCTCTCTTTCCTTCTTTCCTTCCTTCCTTCCTTCCTTTTTTTTTTTTTTTTTTTGAGAGACACGGTCTCACTATGTTTCCCAGGCTGCTCTCAAACTCCTGGCCTTAAGCAATCCTACTGCCCTGGCCTCCCAAAGTGCTGAGATGATAGACATGAGCCCCATGTCCAGCTGCATGGCTTTTATTTCTAGTTTTTATACTATTCCGCACATCCCACATTTTTACAGCATAAATTTCTTAGCTTAAAAATAAAAATAATATCTAAAGAAAAAAATGAAATGCTGCACTAAAAGTAGAATGGCTTCATTAAGATATTTAACAAATTAAAATGCTGAGAGAAAATGTTAAATAGTTTAGACAAATACCACCATGAGCCCACTGCTAAAATTTCTAAAACTATTTGTGAAATCAGAATCCATGCTGAGGGAGGAAGTGCTATCTTTGAAGGATAGCTTGCTGCCAGGAAAGTGTGGATGATTCAGGCACTGAATTGGTGTCCTGGACAACACTGGAAAATCCCCCTGTGGGCCAGTGAGCCCTGACAGAAAACACTACTGTGTGTCCTTCGAGTGCGAGTTCAGTCAGCAGCCTTCAGCAAATTGTATTACAGTTATACAATGAGTGATGTAATGGCTGGAAAGTTTTAAATAGTTTAGTAAAATGCTGACTATTTTTGAAGTCTATTTGTTGTTGGAAGAAGGTTGAGTTTACTGGTAGGAATATTTTAAAAGTTGAAGCTTCTCACTGTTGTGGTTGACTCAGGTAAAAATGGTTTCCTATGTAATCACTTTAAAATTTATATAACCACACATACAGTAGTTATCACACTATATCTTCATCTACATCATAATACCCAAACAATCCCTAAACACTCTAGTTTGCACTGACCATATCTTAAAAAAAAAAAAAAACTGAGTTATGGGAACCTCTCTTCAAGAAAAGTCCCCTTCTGCCATCTCTTCCTAAAATCAGCCAGTGGTCAATTGATTAATCCAGATTCAAGGACTGCCTTGGAGGAAACAAACCACTGGAGAAAGGTCATATGACCTCATTATTTCCATTCTTTCCACAACCTAGCAGTGGCTTGTTTGGAAACATAACAGTGGTGAGCACAAAGCTAATATGACTCTACCTATCCTCCTAACAACTGCACATCCCTGCCCTGTGACAAACACGACCTAATAAAGAGTATCCCAGTGAAACCATAGCTAAAGCAAGTAAGTCCTCCTGCTACTCCCAATCTAAGAAGTAGTTCCTCAAACTCAGTGTCTAGAAGAAATTCAACATCCACAAATGCTAACCTGCAGAGAAGCAGCCATCATTGGCCAACAACTGATGATTGTGTGGAGTGGCATTGTGTGCGGGAGTCAGCTGGGTTGGACACACCTAATGTGTCTACAGACAGTTGGAGGACTGGCTGGACGGTGCTCAGTGGCTCCACTGGCCCACCTGGGCCTCAGAGGGGTGACAGGAAAGGCAAGAATTGCTTGTGACATCAAACTCAGCCAGAAGGAAGAACACTTCTGCTCTACATTCAAGGTGAAGTAACTGGAACTGGGTTTACTTTTTCACTTGAAACAATCAAAAATCAGACAAACTATATGAAACAATGTTTTTCAAGACAATCTATATCAGGCAATGAAGGACGGTGGTCACTGAGGCTGCAAACATGCAAAATTATCCCTAGAATTGCCCCAGCTTAGGGCCTTGAAAGAGTTTCTAGCCTATGGCTCGTGACATGGAGACCTGTAAAGGTCCTCGCTTGGGTAACCAGTGCATGTGTGTGAGAAGACTACTTGTAACCATCCAAAAACCATCCATAAGGATGAAGAATGGTTTCCAGTCTCCCCATATGACTGGGAACAGGATCTGTTCCCAACAGCTAGAGTGGAAATAGTCAAAATTCACAGGGCTTTTATATTAGTCCATTCTTGCATTGCTATAAAGAAATATCTGAGACTGGACAATTTATGAAGAAAAGAGGTTCAACTGGCTCATGGTTAAACGTTTAATGGTTTAACGGTTCTGCAGGCTGTACTGGAAGCATGGTGCTGGCATCTGCTCAGCTTCTAAGGAAGTCTCAGGAAACTTACAATCATGGAAGAAGGCAAAGGGGGAGCAAGCACTGTCACATGGCCAGAGCAGGAGCAAGGTGGTGGTGGGGGGAGGCGATACACACTGGTAAACAACCGGATCACATGAGAACACACTCACTATCACAACAGCAGTACAAATGGGGATAGTGTTAAACCATTCATGAGCAACTGTCCCCATGATCCATTCACCTCCATCAGGCACCACCTCCAACACTGGGAATTACAATTGAATATGAGATTTGGGTGGAGATACAGAACCAAGGCATACCAGCTTTGGGTAGAGTACTCAGGAAAATCTTGACTCAGTAGTGGGGAGTAATTAGCCCTAGAGTCTGCCAGAACACTTCTCCAGATCTGTCTAACAAACCTAAACCACAAGATTCAAAGAATCAAGCTGCTTCCAACTAACTCAACTATACACCAAAATGATACTCAAGAATATCTATAGGAATATGAAAATATCAAGCAGTCAACAAGATAAAATTCACAGTGTCTGAAATGTCAACAAAGATTAGTAGGCATGCAAAGAAGCTGGAAAAACACAATCATAATGAGAAGAATAATCAATCAAAATTCAACCAGGCTGATACAAATGCTAGAATTAGATTAGCAAAACAGACATGAAGCAAATATTAGAATTAGAAGCAAAGATAATTAGAGTCATTAACTGTATTCCATATGTTGAAAAAATTTTAAAAACAGGGATATTCAAATAGTAGAGACATGAAAAGATATAAACAAGACCTAAATCAAACTTCTAGAGATAAAAACTAAGATATCTGAGATTAAAAATAATACTAGAAAAGATTAACTGTAGGTTAGACATCACAGTAGAAAAGAATAGTGAACTTGAAGATACAGCAATAAAATCTAAAATAAAACTTAAATAAAAGAAAAATATTTAAAGGAAAGAGCATCAACAAGCTGTAGATCAACTTCAGACACCACAAAATATGTGCAATTGGGGCCTTTAAAGAGGAAACAGATGGAAGAACCAGAAAAATATACATTTGAGGAAATAATGATTGAAATTTTTAACATTTAATGAAAAGTACGAAGCCAAAAATCTAAGTAGCTCAAGATCCCTAAGTATTTTTCATACTTAGGGAAAATACCAAGAATACTACCCTAAGGCACATTATAATCAAAATGCTCAAACCCAGTAGTAAGGAGAAGAACTTAAAATAATTCACAGGGGGGAAAAACACATGAAACACAAAGGAACAAAGGAAACTATGACCGCAGATTCTTCATCAGAAACAATGCAGGTGAAATACAGTGGATTTCAATGTCCTTAAAGTATAACCATCCTTTGGTATTGGCAGGGGATTGGTTCCTGAACCCCTATATTCTGTCTATATCAAAATCCATGAGTTCTTAAGTCTCATATATAAAATGACATGGTATCTGAATATAACCTATGCATACCATCCATTATATAAATTATTTCTAGATTACTTATAATACCTAATACAATGTAAATGCTATGTAAATAGTCACTACATTCTATTGCTTTTTTGTTTGTATTATTTTTATTGTATATTGTTATTTTTCATTGTGTTTTTTTTTTTTCAAATATTTTCTACCCATGGTTGGTTTAATCCATGGATGCAGAACCCATGGATAAGGAAGGGCCAACTGACAGGTCAAAAAAGTGGTTAACCCAGAATTCCACATCAAAAACAAAGGCAAGGGATAGGAATTCCAGAATGGCAAAATGAGGAGCATGGCAGCTCTCTTTTAAATAAAGACCCATTTAACGGAAAAACATTATTTTTTAAAGCATTTAAAATCCCTGGAAATTGTTTTAAGGGTATACAGCAAAGGAAGAAACATTCAATCAAAAAACTTTACTAAATCATTGTGAGGACAATGAGAGCCTGTGGCCTCTTCCTCCACCCTAGATTCGTTTTATAAAACTCGAATCTGATACTCTATGCTGGGTAAGTTAGGTCAACACAGCAAAGCCTCCCATTTCTCTGGGCTCTCTGAGTGTAAGATAATGATTTCACTCTAGAAGGGGATGGTCACCAGTGTTTCTCACTCTCTCCAGCCCCATTTTTCAGAAGTTCTATTCCAGCCAGGCATGGTCCAGAGAACTGATATTCCTTTTCTCCACCAAGGCCTTCCTCATAGTTAGGGGGAGTTTATTCCAGGTGCTCTCACCTTGTTTACTTGAAGAGTGGGGGTTCCATGCCAGAAAGAACAAGCCAAGATCAGGGGTTGCCACCAGCACCACCCCAATGCCTGTTGTGCAGCAGAGATATCACTCTGGGAGTATTGGGCTGCTGTCCCAGGCCCTGGCATTATATACTGGCATGGGGATTCTGCCCAGAAGAAGAAGAATGCCATAAGGATTAAGAACTCTGGACAAGGAGGATGGCATCATTTGGAACAAAGTGTGGAGAATTCCATGCCTAAATGTGTTGTTGAAAACAACAAAGCTCTTGATGGAGAGCAATCAAGAAGCCGCTCTTAGATTTACAATACTAGTAACAAAAAACAAAGCAGTAGAGTAACCAGAAATTTAACAGACAGAACCAGAGAAAGAAGCAATCACAAAAAGCTCTCCTGGAATCACAGTCAACACTGGGCATCAGAAATTCTGTGCACAGGCACTAAGTTATACTCACCCAGGAGCAATTGGAGAAAAACACAAGGTAGGCTGAAAACATTTCCCAAGCCACAAATACATCAATAAAGATTGTAAATCTCACTAGGGCTTAAACACAACTGCTGACCAAATACTGGATGAACAATAAGTTACCCTGACCCAGAGGCAATTCCTAAGGGAACTAGGCTTTAAATAAAATTACTTGCATCTCTCATGATCTGAGAGACTATACATAACTAAGGCTGTAATATATCAGGAATTAGAAGGAGGAAAAATCCAAGCTACTAGTCCCTAGCTGAACATGGGACAAAATGTAAAATTCCTAAATTGTGATAACAAACTCAAAGACACACAGATATCCATTGATAAAGAGAAAAATCTAACTGTCTAAAATGACTTATGGACAAACATTGGTCAATAAGCAGAAGATAATGCTGACCTAGGCAAGAGGCAACACTAGGTAGCTGGGCTAAAAAATGAATATAAGGAGGAAGAAATTTGAGCAAATACATCTGAAGTTGCCTTCTCTGGGGGAAGTAGACTTCTTGGGATTAATACAGGTAAGTTACTAAACAAATAAAGGAACAAGCAAACAAAATCAATGTAAATGTTGGAAGGGTGGGGAATTATTATCTAGAGTTGTTATATATTTTTTCAAATGTCAAAGTTTTTTTGAAATATGAGAAATGCAAATAAATGGGTAAGTACGATTCATACACAGGAAAAAAAGAACAGCAGGCAATAGAAACTACTCTTGAGGGGTCCCAGATGTTGCCCTTAATAAAGATGTCAAAAGAGCCATTACAAATTAAATGGGTTCAAAGAACTCAAGGAAACCATATCTAAAGAATTAAATGAATATATGATAACAAAATCTTATGAAACAGATAATATCATTAAAGAGATAGAAATAATATGAGGAACCAAATAGAAATTCCAGAACGAAAAAGTACAATAATCAAAATGAAAAATTCACAGGAGACATTCAACAGTAGATTTGAGCTGGCAGAAGAAAGGATCATCAAACTTGTGGATAAATCAATAGAAAAAGTGAAATCTGAAACACAGAGAAAAAGGAATGATGAAAAACTAACAGAGATTCAGAGAGATGTGTGGTGCTATTAAATACACCAGTATAGGCCGGGCGTGGTGGCTCACACCTGTAATCCCAGCACTTTGGGAGGCCGAGGAGGGCTGATCACGAGTTCAGGAGATTGCAACCATCCTGGCTAACACGGTGAAACCCCGTCTCTACTAAAAAAATACAAAAACATTAGCTGGGCGTGGTGGCAGGGGCCTGTAGTCCCAGCTACTCGGGAGGCTGAGGCAGGAGAATGGCATGAACCCAGGAGGCGGAGCTTGCAGTGAGCGGAGATTGAGCCACTGCACTCCAGCCTGGGTGACTGAGCAAGACTCTGTCTCAAAAAAAATTAAAATAAAATAAATAAATAAATAAATAAATAAATAAGCCAGTATATACATAATTGGACTACCAGAGGAAGGAGGTTAAAGGGTCAGAAATTCCAAGGGAAGAAAAACACAAAGGAATTCATACCCAGATACAACATAGTCAAAATGTTGAAACACAGAGAGAAAATCTTGGAAGCCGCAAGAGAAAAACAATTTATGACATACAAGAGAGGCTCAACTGACTTATTACCAAAACGATGGAAGCCAGAAGACAATGTGACTGCATATTCAAAGTGATTAATATAAAAAGACTATCTCTGAAAAGTAAACATAAAATTCCCACATTAAAAAACAAGAAAGGAGACAGAGAATGTGTTGCTAATGCACCTGCATTACAAGAAACACTAAGGAAGTTCTTTATGCTGAAAGCCAGTGACCACAAACAAAAATCCAAATTTAAACAAAAAAAACAAAAAGCCCTAATAAAGATAATTACATAGATTGTCATAAAAGATAATATAATTGTATAAATCTTCTCAACTAACTTAAAAGGCAATTGCATAAAAAAGTACATATATAATTACATTGTTGGGCCTATAACAAGTAATATATTTAACAATAATAAAATATATTTAACTACATATATCTAACAATAACAAAAGACAAGCAACATATTTAATAATAACGGCACAAGGACGTGAGTAGGAATACAGCTGCATTGGAGCAGATAATGACCCCAGATGGTAACTCTAATTCACAGGAAGACATGATACATCATAAATGATAAATAAATATGTTATTTAAATGGTGCATATAAAAAAGACATAAGGTTGTACAACTAATGTGAAAATAAATTTTTAGGTTTGTAATATATTGAGATGTAATATGTATGACAGTATAAAAAGGGTGAATTAACAGAGGTATCTAGAGTAAATTTCTATGTTCAATTGGAATTAAGTTTGTATAATCTCAGATATATATTGTTAAGAGTAGCAAAAATTTCAATGACATGTATATTGCCGTAGGCTTGCTAATGACAAGCCTACTGTTACAGGCTTCTCTTGCTGATTCCAAAACAGCTTTTAATCATTAAACCAAAATCTTCTACTAGAAAATATCCACTTAACAAAAAAAAAAAGATATTAAACGAGAAAAAGAGGAACAAAAAGATTTGAGACACATAGAGAAAAAAAAGCAAAACATCAGATTAAGTCTAACCATATTAGCAATAATATTCAAGATAAATTGATTAAACAATATAATGGGCAGAAATTATGAGAATGGGCATAAAAACAAGATCCAACACCATGTTGTCTAGGGGAGACACATTCTAAATTCAAAGATACAAACAGTTTAAAATGCAAAAGATGGAAAAAGGTATACAATGCAAACACCAAACATAAAAGATACAAAGTAGCTATACTAACATTAGATAAAATACACCTTAAACTGAAAATGCTACTAGAAAATAAAGAGAAATATTTCATATTGATAAACAGCCTATGTATTGGGACATATAATAAATGTAAATATTTATGTACCTAACAACTCAGCCTAAAATAACCTAAAGAAAAAGCTGACATAATTGAAAGGGGAAACAGATAATTCAATGTGCAATAATTGGACCTTAATTCTCCACTTTCAGTAATAGAGCAATTAGACAGAAGATCAACAAGAAAACGGATTTAACAAAACTATAAAATGATGAGACTTACCAGACTTCTATAGAACACTCCATCCAATAACAGCAGAATAAACATTTTTCTTAAGTGCACATAGAACATTTTAGGGGACGGAGCATGGCTTATGCTAAGCCATAAAACAAGCCTCAATAAATTTTAAAAGACTGAAATCATGTGAAGTCTATTCTCCAACCACAATGTAGTTATATTAGAAATCAATAACAGAAGGAAATGTGGTAAATTAACAAAAGTGTGGAAAATGAAGAACACACTCAAACAATGAGCAAGAAGACACCATTTAAAGGTACAAAACTCACTGATAATAGCAAGCACCCAGAAAAACACAGAATAGTATAACACTAACTGTGATGTGGAAACCACTCTTGCTCTTAAATAGAAAGAATAAATGATGAACCAATAAATAATAATAACTACAACCTTTGAAGACATAGACAGTACAATAAGATATAAAGAGAAACAAAAGTTAGAAAGTGGGCAAATTTAAAGTGTAGAGTTTTTATTAGTTTTCCTTTTGCATGCATTTTTTTTTACTATCAGTGGTGAGTTATCATCAGTTTCAAATAATGAGTTATAGAGTATTTGCAAGCCTCATGGGAACCTCAAATCAAAAAACATAAAACGTATACACAAAGAATAGAAAGAAATTAAAGCAAACCACCAGAGAAAACCACACTCACTAAAAGAAATACAGGAAGGAAAGGAAGACTGCAAAAAACCGAGAATATCTGTAACAAAACAGCATAAGTAAGTCCCTACTTAGCAATAATCACATTGAATGTAAATGGACTAAACTTTCCAATCAAAAGACATGGAGGGCTGAATGGATGGGAAAAAAAGACCCAATGATCTGATCTGTTGCCTACAAGAAACACACTTCACCTATAAAGATGCATATAGACTGAAAATAAAGGGATGGGAAAAGATATTCCATGCCAATGGAAACCTAAAAAGCAGAAGGGGTAGCTATATCAGACGAAACAGATTTCAAGACAAAAACTATGGGAAGAGACAAAAAGGATCATTATCAATGATAAAGGGTTCAATTCGGCAAGAGGATATAATAATTTTAAATATATATGCACCCAACACTGGAGCACACAGATATATATATATAGCAAATATTATTAGAGCTAAAGAGAGAAACAGACAATAGCACAATAATAGCTGGAGACTTCAATGCCCCACTTTCAACACTTGAAAGATCTCCCAGACAGAAAATCAACAAAGAAACACTCATCTTAATCTGCACTATAGAACAAATGGACCTGATAGATATTCACAGAACACTGCATTCAAGGGCTGCAGAAAACACATTTTTCTCCTCAACACATGGATCATACTCAAGGGTATACCATATGTTATGTCACAAAACATGTCTTAAAACAGTCAAAAAAATTAAAATACTATCAAACATGTTTTCTAACTGCAATGAAATAAAACTATAATAACAAGAGGAATTTTGAAAACTATATGAACAAATGGAAATGAAACAATATGGCCCTGAAAGACTAGTGGGTCAATGAGGAAATTAAGAAGAAAATTGAAAAACTTCTTGAATCAAATGATAATGGAAACACAACATACCAAAGTCTATGGGAAACAGCAAAATTAGTACTAAGAGGGAAATTTATAGCTGTAAGTGCCTACATAGAAAAAGAAAAACTTCAAATACGTAACCTAGTGATGTATCTCTAAAGAACTAGAAAATCAAGAGCAAACCAAACTCAAAATGAGTAGAAGAAAAGAAATAATAAAGATCAGAGCAGATATAAAAGAATTTGAAGTGAAAATAATGCAAAAGATCAATGAAACAAAAAGTTGGTTTTTTTGAAAAGATAAACAAAATTGACAAACCTTTAGCCAGACTAAGAAAAAAAGAGAGATGACCCAAATAAGTAACATTGGAAATGAAGGGAGACATTACAACTGATACAGCAGAAATTTAAAGGATCATTAGTGGCTGCTATGATCAACTATATGTGAATAAATTTGAAAATCTAGAAGAAATGAATAAATTCCTAGATGATACATACAACCTACCAAGATTGAACCATGAAGAAATCCAAAACCTGAACAGACCAATAAAAAGTAATAAGATCAAAGCCATAATAAAAATTTCCCCAGTAAATAAAAGCCTGGGAACTGATGTCTTTACTGCTGAATTCTACCAAATATTTAAATAACTAATAGCAATCCTACTCAAACTGTTCCTAAAAATAGAGGGGATACTTCCAAATTCATTCTATGAAGTCAATATTACCTTGATACCAAAACCAAATAAAGACACATCAAAAAAAAGAAAACTACAGGCCAATATCTCTGATGGATATTGATGCAAAAATACTCAACAAAATACAAACAAACAGAATTCAACAATGAATTTAGAAGATCACTCATCATGTCCAAGTGGGATTTCTTCCAGGAATGCAAGAAGGGTTCAACATACACAAATCAATCAATGTGATATATCGACAGAACAAAGGACAAAAAACATATGATCACTTCATGCTGAAAAAGCATTTGATAAAGTTTAATATCACTACATGATAACCCTCAAAAAACTGGGTGTAGAAGGAACATATCTCAACACAATAAAAGCTGTATATGACAGACCCACAGCTAGTATCATATTGAATGGGAAAAAACTGAAAGCCTTTCCTCTAAGATCTGGAACATGACAAGGATGCCTACTTACACCACTGTTATTCTACATAGTATTTGAAGTCCTACCTAAAGCAATCAGAGAAGAGAAAGAAATAAAAACATCCAAATTGGAAAAGAAGTCATCAAATTATCCTGGTGTAAAGATGATATGATCTTATATTTGGAAGAAACTAAAGATTCCACAAGAAAACTATTAGAACTGACAAATTTAGTTAAGTTGCAGGATACAGTTTGACATACAAAAATCAGTCACATCTCTATATGCCAAGTGAACAATATAAAAAAGAAATTTTAGGCTGGGCGCAGTGGCTCATGCCTTAATCCCAGCACTTTGGGAGGCCAAGGCAGGAGGATCACGAGGTCAGGAGATCAAGACCATCCTGGCTAACACGGTGAAACCCCATCTCTACTAAAAATACAAAAAATTAGCTGGGCATGGTGGCGGGCACCTGTAGTCCCAGCTACTCAGGAGGCTGAGGCTGGAGAATGGCATGAACCCGGGAGGTGGAGGTTGCAGTGAGCCGAGATCATGCCACTGCACCCCAGCCTGGGTGAAAGAGCAAGACTCCGTCTCAGAAAAAAAAAGAAAGAAAGAAAAGAAAAGAAATATTAAAAGTAATCCCATTTACAATAGCTACACATAAAATTAAATACCCAGGAATTAACCAAAGATGTGAAAGATCTCTGTAATAAAAACTATGAAACACTGATGAAAAAATTGAAGAGGATATCAAAAAATGGAAAGATATTTTATGTTCATGGATTGGAAGAATAAATATTGTTAAAATGTCTATACTACCCAAAGCAATCTATAAATTGAATGCAATCCCTATCAAAATACCAATGACAGTTTTCACCAAAATAAAATTTTAAAAAACTATCCTAAAATGTATATGGAATCACAGAAGACCCAAAATAGTCAAAGCTATCCTGGGGGAAAAAAAAAAATTGAACGAATCATATTACCTGACTTCAAATTACATTACAAGGCTATAGTAACAAAAACAGCATGGCAGTGGCATAAAAAACAGACACATAAACCAATGGAACAGAATAGAGGACCTGGAAACAAATCCATACACCTACAGTGAACTCATTTTTGACAAAGGTGCTGAGAATATAAGACACTGGTGGGAAAGAATGTCTTCAATAAATGGTGCTAGGAAAACTCGATATTCATATGCAGAAGAATGAAACTTGGCCCCATCACTTGCCTTAACAAAAATCACATCACGTAATAACAGCACTTTGGGAGGCCAAGGCGAGTGGATCACGAGGTCAGGAGTTCAAGAACAGCTTGGCCAACATGGTGAAATCCCATCTCTATTGAAAATACAAAAGTTAGCCAGGTCTGGTGGCGCATGCCTGTAGTCCCAGCTACTCAGGAGGCTGAGGCAAAAGAATCACTTGAACCCAGGAGGCGGAGGTTTCAATGAGCCGAGATTGCACCACTGCACTTCAGCCTGGATGACAGAGCAAGACTCTGTCTTAAAAAAAAAAAAAAAAAAATCAAAATGGATTAAAGGTTTCAATCCGAGACCTTAAAATATGGAACTACTACAAGTACTACAAGAAAACACTGGGGAAACTCTCTAGGACACTGGTCTGAGCAAAAATTTCCTGAGTAATAGCCCACAAGCAAGGCAACCAAAACAAAAATGGCCAAATGAGATCACGTCACATTAAAAAGCTTCTGCATAGCAAAGCAAACAATCAACAAAGAACAAAGTAAAGAGACAACTCACAGATGGGAGAAAATATTTGCAAACTATCCATCTGACAAGAGATTAATAGCCAGAATATATAATGAGCTCACACAAACATTATAGGAAAAAAAATCTAATAATCTGATTTTTAAATGGGCAAAAGATTCTAATAGATATTTCTCAAAAGAAGATATACAAATGGCAAACAGGCATATGAGAAGATGCTCAACATCACTGATAATCAGAGAAATGCAAATCAAAACTATGAGATATCCTCTCACCCCAGTTAAAATGGCTTTTATCCAAAAGTCAAGCAATAACAAATGCTGGCAAGGATGTGGAGAAAAGGGAACCCTTGTACACTGTTGGTGGAAATGTAGATTAATAAATCACTACAGAGAACATTTTGGAAGTGTTTCAAAAAACTATAAACAAAGCTGCCATATGATCCAGCAATTCCACTGCTGGGTATATACCCAAAATAAAGGAAATTAGTATATGGAAGAGATATCTTCATTCTGATGTTCATTGCAGCACTGTTCACAATAGCCAAGATTTGGAAGCAACCTAAGTGTCCATGAACAGATGAATGGATAAAGAAAATGCAGCACATATACATAATGTAATACTATTCAGCTATTAAAAAATGAGATCCTGTCATTTGCAATGCCATAGATAGAACTGGAGATCATTAGGTGAAATAAGCCAGGCACAGAAAGACAAACATTGGATGTTCTCACTTATTTGTGGGATCTAAAATCAAAACAATTGAAGTCATGGACATAGAGACTAGAAGGATGGTTATCAGAGGCTGGGAAGGGTGGTGAGGAGGAGGGGAAGGTGGGGACAGTTAATGAATATAAAAGAATAGTTAGAAAGAATGAACAAGACCTAGTATTTGATAGCACAAGAGGGGAACTATAGTCAAAAATAATTTAATTGTACATTTTAAAATAATTAAAAGCATATAGCTGAATTGTTTGTAACATAAAAAAACACTTGAGGCAATGGATACCCAATTTTCCTCGATGTGATTATTATGCATTGCATGCTTGTACCAAAATGTCTCATGTACCTCATAAGCATAAATACCTACTATATACCCACAAAAGTTAACAATAAAAAAGTTGAATAAAATCGGTCAAAAACTAAATCATCCAGCAATTCCACTCTTACATGTATATCTAAGAAAAATCAAAACATTTATCCATGTAAAACTTATATACATATATTCATAGCATCATTATTTAGAATATCCACTATTGAAAAACAATCAAAATGCCTGTTTAATGTTATCAGTATCAACTGATGAAGAGACAAACAAAACACAAACATAGAATATGATTTGGCAACTAAGAATAAGATGAAAGAAGTACTGATACATGCTATCACATTGATAAACCTTGAAAACATTCAAGAAACCAGTCACCTATTCTAACGGTTCCATTTATATCAAAGGTACATTACAGGCAAATTCATAGTGATGGAAATTAGACTATTGGTTACCAAGGGCTCAAAGAAGAGTGGCAAGGATAATGTGGAGTGACTACCCCTGAGTGAGTAGCTTTCTCCTTTTTGCACAGATGAAGATGTTCTAAACCTAAATTATGGCTGCACAATATTGTGAATATACTGAAAGCCATTGGACTGTACACTATAATTGGATGAATTTTATGGTATATGAATCATATTTCAATGAAGATGTTTTCACACAGGCAAAATAAAAATATTTTCAGCCATGCTGAAAGGGTATAATATTAATTGAAGGTAGACTGTGATAAGTTAAAAATGTATACAATACTATAAATCTTTAATGCAACCACTAAAATAACAATATAAAATTGTAGTTACGGCTAATTAGGAAAATAAAGGAAGACAATCATAAAAAGAGGGGAAAGGAGCAAAAAAAGAAAGAAAAATAAAAAGATCATAAACTGAAATCAAACTGCATCAATAGCAACAGTAAATATAAATGGTCTAAAGACTCCAATTTAAAGGCAGAGATTGTTAGATTGGGCTTTTTTATTAAAGGCAAGATTCACCTATATGTCATCTACAAGAAACACATTTTAAACACAAAGACAAACATAGGTTAAAAGTAAAAGGATGGAAAGACGTATATACCATACTAACACTAGTCAAAGAAAAGCTGAAGTGGCTATTTTAACACCTGACAAAGTAGATTTCATAGCAAAGAATGTTGCTAGGTATAAAGACGTTCATTATACAATGATAAAGTGGTTAATTAATTAAGAAAACATAAAAATCCTAAATGCATTTACCCCTGGTAATAATGCTTCAAAATTCATGACTCAAACACTGATAGAACTAAAGAAAAATACAGCTACAGTTATTGCTAGAAATATCAAGATTTCACTCTTGATTAATAGAAATAGATAGAAAAGCAGCAAGTAGACTTTAACAAAAGTATAAACCAACTTCACCTAATTTGTCTAATTTATGAAACAACTGCATCTAACAACAGCAGAATATACATTCTTTCCAAGTACACAGCATGAGAGACCATATTCTGTGCCATAAAACAGCTCTCAATAAGCTTAAAAGGATTTATGTTATTCAGAGTATGTTCTTTAAGCACAGTGAAATTAAATTAGAAATCAATAACTGAATGATATCTGGAATAACCTCAAATATTTGAAAAATAAATACCACACTAAATACTACATTGGTCAAAGAAGAAATCAAAAAGGAAATTAGGAGCTGTTTTTTATTGAATGTAAGTGAAATTAAAACACTGAAATCTATAGGATGCTAATAAAGTAATACACAGGAGGAAATTAATGACACTAAATATGAAAATTAGAAAAGAACGTCTCAAATCAATGCCTTCGTCTTCCACCTCAAAACTAGAAAAACAACACATGAAACACAAAGTAAGCAGAACGGTTATCAAAATGGAAATCAAGGAACTAGAAAACGGAATAACTATTCCGATTCAGTAATTCTTGAGGTTGGGCTCTGACTTCCAGCTCTTCCGGCGGTTCTGACGTAATGCCAGGTTTGTGAACTGTTGGATTAGATGTCCTTTAGAATCCCTTCAAACCATGATATCCTAGGAAACTATGATCTTGCGTTTACATTGGTCCTTGAATTATGGATTATGAGAACGATAATCTGATCAGTATAGGCACAGTAATACTTCATAAGAGGATCTGTAAGATGTCTTGGATATGGATGTTAATTACAGAGTGATGAAATGCAGACAGCTGAACTGAAAGTTCAATGTAAGGCAAAGCATTTACGACAGTAAAGTTGTCTAAGGGCTCTATTCCGGTACTCATAAACCAACCCGAAACAGAAGCCGAAGCACTGTGTGGAGCTGGGAAGTATGGAAGGCACCTGATGCCCCCTGCCATCTTATGAATTATGGTGTGATCTCGGCTCACTGCAAGCTCCGCCTCCCGGGCTCACGCCATTCTCCCGCCTCAGCCTCCCGAGTAGCTGAGACTACAGGCACCTGCCACCACTCCCAGCTAATTTTTTTGTATTTTTAGTAGAGATGGGGTTTCACCATGTTAGCCAGGATGGTCTCAATCTCCTGACCTCGTGATCCGCCCACCTTGGCCTTCCAAAGTGCATTACCTGTAATTCTTACAGCAGGACTTGGAATATAGGTTTAATTATTTCGTTTAGAGACAGAAACCCACGGTCCAGTGAGGCTGTCTCTTTCACTCTGAAACCTGCTGGTAACTGGTGGGATAACTCATTATGTGAGTCCAGATCTTTTCTCACTCAAACACTTTCTAATCCACATTGCTCAATTCCTGGAGCAGTAATGAATAAACATAAGAAACAGATCATTTGTTATTCTATGAACTGAGCTGAATATTCAAATCAAGACCAGCACTAGATTATACCTCAGGACATGTCACCTGAGTTATTTGCCAAACAGCATATAAGAAAAAATAAAATACTTAGATGCTGAAACCACATTATATATTCCCTATTTTTGAAATCCAGCACATATTTTTAATGAACTGTGAAGTGCATGAGTGGGCTCCAACACAGCACTGTCTCACACGGAGCTTTACCTCGATAGGGGTGGCATGGTGCAATCCTAGGTGCTCAGGTGTGTGTGCGAAGGGTCAGCTGCCCAAAGTGGTGAGGAAGAGGTGGGGAAAGTTCAGCCGCCAACGTGTGTTAAGCTGAGGTCTGAACTCGGCGGCCTTTGGATGTCTACTTAGTCTCTCCTGGAGATGACAGGTATAATTTCTCTACAAAATTTATTCTCCACCTCCCTTATGCATTTGAATTAACTTTGTGAGAGAATCAGTTAACTAACTCTACAGTAATAGCTTTTACTTCAAGCACAGCAATTAAGAATGTCTGTTTCCTCTCCTCCTACATCTGTTCCGAGAGTGGAGTGAATACATTTGAATTATTTTCTGGATATACAGTAATTGCTGGTAAATGACAAGTCATTTGTATGCACGGTGGGCTGTGGATTTCAGGTGAGGACTGGCCAGGCTGAACTACATGAACAGCTAACACAGTTACCAGATGTGCATGGAGAAGGAAAAGGTTGGTTTGATTCATTGAGTCAGAGGGGTGGTCCGGCAGGCAGCCACCAGCCTGGGGCACCTAGATGGTGAGTCATCAGGACACAGTGGATCGAGGGACCCCAAAATATCTCACACTCTACCTCCAACTCCCACTTCCTTCACCTACACTGTGGCATTTGTACTTTACTCCTTTGGATTAAAACATTGTGTCTCCTATTTTTCTTAAAATACGGAAACAATCAGGATGAAGGACTATTGTATGCCTTCATTATCAATCATAGTATCTTAATCATACATCTGGTTCTTTGTACGGCCCTTCATACACTCCAAATTTCACTTAAACAGGGCGTTCCAACATAATCTCTCAAAACCTGTGGCGGGGCATGGCGAGGTTATTCCATTAACACCAAGACCAGCTCAGAAAAATGCAAGTGGGGGGCTTCGTCTGCTTTCCACTGGCTAATCCAATCCTCTTGGAGGTGGCCCATCTGTGACCAGTGCTCCCTCAGCTTCCAGCCTAGAGTTCTAAGGCAACTCAACTGTGCTTATAATTTTTCACTGAAAGACATCAAGGAGCTGCATAAGAAGACTCATTTAAAAATTATAATTCAAGGCCCATATTTTATTGCTTTTAGTTGTTTTAAAACCTAGTATCTGCAACAAAACTAACTCCTGACCTATTTGGGGGACACAGCCCCACTCTACAGTCATTTTCTGTTTTCACTTCCTCATCCAGGAACGGGCAGGGATTCCTCTCGCGCTGCCCAGCAAGGAGTTGTCTGCATCATCTCAGCCATCCTGAGTCAGTGCCCGGTGTCATGTCCAGCCTGGAAAGCTGGAAGAAAGCAAGCCCTGGTGGCACCTTCCTCCAGCATTCCTGCCCAGGTGGGGTGTGTGGGCAGCCCTGGCAGAGGAGGAGGCTGGGATCTCCTGCCATGGGCTGCAGCCATAACACACCTCACCTCCTCACCATGCAACCAGCTTCAGCACATACTGAATATTCTTATTCCATATTTAGCAGAAGTTTCAACTGAACTGGGAAAATACATTTTAGAAAAGCCTGGAACAGAAGTTCAGATATGCAAACACTTGAAGAAGCCCTCTAGCCATTGATACGGCCAAGACAAGATGATTCAGATGTTTTGCCTGGATTCAGTGAACCCATCAGTCAGCGTTGCCCAGGACTCCACAGAGTGTCTATTCACTTTTAAAAGCCAATATGTAACCTTCTGTTTTTCCCAGCATGACCATATTTGGCACAGATTGATTGCCCACATACTGGGGAGGGAATCTGTATTCTCTAATCATCTGCTTTCAGTAGAGTGGTTTAAGTTTCTTGAAACCCTGAAGGAAGTGAAATTTACTTAGGCCATTTCTCTTCCTTTTCGTGATTTTCTTAAAAGGTTTATCCTCCTCCAGCCTTTCCCAGCTCACATGACAAGATCTGTTCCAAGAAAAATGACACCCTACATCACCCTGAACCAGCTAAGGACAGGGCTGAAGCATTACTTAAAAGGATGGATAAAGAAGGGAACTAAAACAGATATATCCATAATTTAGAAGTTAGTTGAGAAGAAATAATGTCTAGGAGAGGAGTCATTATTTTTAAAACATAATGATCACAATTTGTATTATGAAAACTAATTAGAGGATTCCATGCAGATTTGTTACTTCCACGCAACATGAACGAACGAGTCTATTAAATCCCATCTATTTGTTGTTAAAAATAACAGTGATGCACAATTGTTTCCTGATGATGGATCGCCCTGCTGCAGTTGGACCACGTATGTTGGGAGATGCCAACATACATGGATGCCTCTATAGTTAGGAATTGGAAACAGCGCCCTAGAGGGAAAAAAAAAGACCAGTCCTCAGCTGTACAATGTGGAAAGTACACAACAATGCTGTAGAAACTGTTCATGTCACACCATACCACATTATCCTCAAGACAGGCCTTCAAAATGTATTATCATTGTTTCAAAGATGAAAAAACTGATGCTAGAAGAAACTCACCACCACAGTGGGGAGGTGGGGAAGGGACACGAAATGAGGGAGGGCTTCCTGTAGGGGGCGACAACGAGGCTCGAAGACAGGCATGGTGAGCTCAGCACAGACGGGGGAAAAACGGGCCAGGACAGCAGCAAAATCAAGGGTCCAGAAGAAGAAAACAGGAGGTCTAGTGTCCCTGAAGTACCCGGCACGTGATTCACAGAGTCAGCAAATGGTAGTGGAGAAGTAGAAAAGAAACAGATAATAGTTTGAGGCTTGAGGTTTGTCTCTTTATGTCTTTTTAAAATTATTTTCCTTTTAGAGACAGGTTCTTGCACCATCTACCAGGCTGGAGTGCAGTGGCACAGTCATAGCTCACTACAGCCTTGAACTCCTGGACTCAAGCCATCCTCCTGCCTCAGCCTCCTGAGTAGCTGGGACCACAGGCATGTGCCACCACACCTGACTATTTTTTACTATTATTTTTGTAGAAACAAGGTCTCTTATGTTGCTCAGACTGGTCTCAAACTCCTGGGCTCAAGCAATCTTCCTGCCTCAGCCTTCCATCTTAATGTCATTTTTAAGGGACTTGGTCTTTATCTGAGAAGCGAAGTGCAACTTTCAAGAGTTTCAAATTAAACAGGTTAATTTAGACCAAAGTGGGAGTGCCCCTATCTACTCCGAAGTGCTATCTGGAGAGTCCCCTTCTTTGTCTCTCGCCATCAGAAGATCGCAAGTGTGGAGAGCCTCCCGGGGGCTCCCAGGGTGTACCAGGGTCGGGGGTGTAAAGGAAGTGAGCAATGAGCTGGCCTCTCCCACAAACTAATAGTAAATCCATGTACAGCACATTATGTACATATAAGTTCACTGCACCTTGATAAGGGATGAGAAGGCCTGATGGTTATAGCAAATGAAATTGGCTAGATTTGAAAAAAAAAAAAAGTCATGAGAAAAGAAAAGGGATTCAGATGTTTATAGGAAGTTCTCTTTTAAAGCAGAGCCCTTCTGAGCCATGAAAGAAAATGGTTTCTAATTCAGTATCTTTTACCGGGAGAGCTGTTCTTGGGTAGTGACTCTGTTTTCTGATTGAATATCATCAAGTTGCTGGGTTCTGCCAATGATACGTGATTTAGCATTTAAATGAGACAGGCAGACAAGTCCTAATTTGTCCCAGGGATCATGGGTGCTTTCATCAGCCCCCTCTGCTGCCCCAGGGACCAGATGATGATCATGGTGGAACGTTAAAGTCACAAAACCAAAGAGGAGCATCCTACCTCATAACTTTATGTTTAGTTGTTTGTTAAAAATCTTTTCACTCACAAAGCACAGAGCATGTTCTCACATGTGATGATGACTTATGAGGACTAAATGACAGGATGCTTTAGGGGAGTTGCCTTCTTTGAAATGAACACTTGTTCTTGGTGTGTACATATGCTGTTTTATTTGGGAAATTCACAATTCCTTGTGTACACAGTGGAAAAATCTCTAGAATTGTGAATTTTGCTTGCCTATTGCACATGGCAGCACCTTAATATATCTTCTTGCAAGCGCTGCATTGTTGGGGTGTGAGGAATATTTTTGAATAGGCTTGCCTTGAGTTTTCTACAAATAGTGCAATGGTCAAATCATCTTGCTATAGAGCCAGAGAGATCTGGGTTGGAAGCCAAGCTCACCCACTGTCTCCCCATTTGCAATTTTCTACCTCAGGGGATCCATGTGGTGCCCAGTGACACCATGAGGAAGGTGCTTCACTGTAGCCTACCACAGGATACATGAACTTCCAACTGGACTTAGCTTATCCAGAGGAGCAAGGAACCAGTCTTGGGTATCTTTGCTCTCTGACTGACCAGTGTCTGACAATCAAGGAGGAAATTAGTAACATATTCTAAAGCATCTCTTTCTATATAAATGCAGAATTGCTGCACACTCTTCACACTAGAAAGATTTTCTATCTAATTAGGATGCAAACACTGTGGTGACAATTGAATTTGTGAACTTGTGCAATGGTAATTTAGATATATCACTCACTGAAGAAATATTTTAAAGCTGGAAGGAAAAGTTAAGAGTCATTTTAGTCCCTCTCTTTCATTGCATAGGAGAGGCAACTGAGGCATGAAGGGTGATATGATTTCTCCAACGCTGCACTAGACACGCATCTTCAAAGTCTCCCACACTACACACATGGATTTTGAAATTCGATGGCTACTGGAATCAGCATAGTTCTAGGTCCTGCTACAGACATGCTGGAGTCCTGGGCTTGGAAAAATGGAGGGACAGTGTGCCTGGGCAGTGTGAGTGCTAGGAAGCTATCAGGCAGTGGAGCCTCCTGAAGGAGAAGAAGCAAGCCACGGTCAGGCACATCCTGCCGACGGTGCGTCTGCTGCAATCCCCACTTCCCCTTACTGTCACCACAAGGCCAGTGCATGCCTGTACCAGCAATTGTATGTGCCACTTCCCTCCTGGCCAAATATACCACTCCTCTCTTGGGTCAGAATCTACTTTTTAATCTATCAATTGTCAATCTATTCAAATAATCAATAGAAAACTAGACAGAAAATAGGCAAGGATATAGAACTGGACAACACTATCAGACAACAGGATCCAGTCCATCCATTGATGACAGGATACATACTCTTTTCAAGACCGTGGAGCATTTGCCAAGATAGACCATATCCTGGATGGTAAATCAAACATTAACATATTTAAAAGAATTAAACTCATATAGAGTATATTCTCTGATCATAGTGGAATCAGGCTAGAAATCCGTAACATATAATAGGAATATGTGCAAGTACTTGGAAACTAAAAGCACACTCTCTTTTTTTGTACAGAAATGCTCACAGCAGTTTTATTCACAAAAGCCAAAATTTGGAAACAATTCCATTTCAAAACCTAAAACACAATGGTTAATCTCCCTCTTCAAGAGTAAAATTTGGGAATGTTTCTCAGTTGAAAAATCATGTCCTTGTTGGGATGAAAGTTCTCTATGAAACCAAGCTTGTTTTTTTAAAAAACTTTTATTTTAACTTCAGGGGTACATGTGCAGGTTTCTTATATAGATAAACTCATGTCATGGAAATTTGTTGTACAGATTATTTCATCACCCAGGTAATTAGCCTAGTATCCATTAGTTATATTTGCTGATCCTTTCCCTCCTCCCACCCTCCACCCTCAGATAGACCCCAGTGTCTGCTGTTCCCCTACAAAACAGGCTTCTAAATAATTCATGAGTTAAAGAAAAAAATCTCAAGGGAAATTAAAAAATACATTTAACTGAATGAAAATGAAAATACAACATACCAAAATTCATGGGATGAAATTAAAGAAGTACAAAAAGGAAAAGTTCTTACATAAGAAAAGAATAGTCTCAAATAAAAGAATCTAAGTTCTTTTTTTTTTTTTTTTTTTTTTTTGAGACAGAGGAGTCTTGCTCTGTGGCCCAGGCTGGAGTGCAGTGGCGCCATCTCAGCTCACTGCAACATCTGCCTCCCAGGTTCACGCCATTCTCCTGCCTCAGCCTCCTCAGTAGCTGGGATTACAGGCGCCCGCCACCACGCCTGGCTAATTTTTCTGTATTTTTTAGTAGAGACGGGATTTCACCGTGTTAGCCAGGATGGCCTTGATCTCCTGACCTCGTGATCCTCCTGCCTTAGCCTCCCAAAGTGCTGGGACTACAGGCATGAGCCACCGCACCCGGCCAAAAGAATCTAAGTTCTACTTCAAAAAGAAGAAAACCAAAATAAACCCAAAGCAAGAAAAATAAAGGAAATAATAAGTATAAAAGCAAAATTGATGTAATTGGGAACAAAAATAACAGAAAAACTATCATACAAAAAGTTGGTTCTTTAAAAAGGTCAATAAAATAAACCTCTAGCAAGACTGACAAAAAAAGGAAGATGACACAAGTTACCAGTATCAGAAATGAAGCAGGGATATTATTATAGGTCCTACAGACATCACAAAAGATTATGAGGGAATATCATGAACAATGCTAAACATATAAATTTGACAACTTTAAAGAAATGGACCAATTTCTTGAAAAAAACCACCACAACCCTAATATGAAAGTGATAATTTGAATAGACTTATTAAGGAAATGAAATAACTCCCAGAAAAGAAATCTCCTGGCCCAGAGGGTATCACTGGAGAATTCTATCAAACATTTAAAGAATTAACACAAACCCTTATATAATCTTTTCTAGAAAACAGAAGATGAGGGAGTACGTCCCAACCCATTGTATAAAGCTCATATTACCCAAGACTCAAAAAAATAGTCCCTTAAACATAGACATGCAAAAATCCTTAACAAAATATTAACAAACAGAATTCAGCAATATACAAAAGGAGGTATTATTAAACACCATGACTAAGTGGGATTTACTCCAGGAATGCAATACTGATTCAATATTTGAAAATCAATTAATATAATCCACCATATTGACAGACTAAAGAAAAAAATCATAAAATCATACCAATTGATGCAGTAAAAGGAAGTCTTTGGTGAAATTCAAAGCCCATTCATGATTTTTTTAAGTATCATGAAACTTTTTTTTAATGTATCAGAATACTAGGAATAGAGAGAACTTTCTCAACTGGATAAAGAACATGTACAAAATACCTCCAGCTAATATCATACTTTATGGGGAAAGACTGAAGGCTTTGCCCCTAAGATCTAGAACAAGGCAGAGATGTCCATTCACACCACTGCTGTTCAACACAGTGCTGGGAGTTCTAGCCAGTGCAACAGGCAAGAAAAAATAAATAAAAGATACTCAGATTGGAGAGCAAGAATGAACACTCTCCTTATTTGCAGATGACAATGATGGTGTACATAGAAAATGCCAAGGAACCTACAAAACAAACAAACAAAAAAAGTCCCAAACTTCTATAACTAATAAGTTCAGCAAGTCAGAGAACACATCAACATACCAAAATCAATTGTATTTATGTATATTAGAAATTAACACAGGCAAAATGAAATGTTAAAATACAGTACTATTCGCAATTGCTCCAAAAAACAAAATACTTAGTCATAAATCTAACAAAATACATTCAGGACATACCTCTTGAAAACTAGAAACCACTGATACAAGAACATAAAGAAGATCTAAATAATGAAGAGACCTATCATATGCATGGATTGGAAGATGCAACATAGTAGAGATGCCAGTTCTTTCCAGATTGATATCTACACTTAACAAACTCCTACCAAATCCCAGCAGGATTTTTCTGTAGTTACAGAGAAAACTATTCTAAAATGTATATTGAAAAGCATACGAACTATTAGAAGTTAAGATGAGCTAATGTTGAAAAGGAGGAATAAAGAGGTTGAATTACTTGATCCAATTTGAAGATTTATTATACAGCTATGGTAATAAAAATTGTGGGTATTGACAGAGTGACAGACACACAGATAAAACAGAGCGAAACAGAGAACCAGAAATAACCCACACCAGTCAAGCCAGCTGATTTTTGACAACTTCATAAAAGCAATTCAGTCAAGGAAGGATAGTCTCTCCAACAAATGGTGCTGGAGTAATTGGGCATCCATGGAGGGTGGGGAAAAGAAATTAGATCTAAATCTTACATATTTATTTTATATAAAAATCAAGACATAACAAATTAAAATGTAAAGGATGAAATTACAAAACTTTCAGAAGAACACAAAGGAGAAAATTTTCAAGAGCTAGGGCTTCATGCAGAATTCTTAGACAATACTCTAAAAGCATGCTCCATAAAAAAAAAATCAATAAATTGGATTTCATCAATATTAGAAACTTTTCCTCTGTGAAAGATGCTATTAAAAGGATGAAAAGCAAACTACATATTTGACATAAAGGATCATACCTAGGATATACAGAGAACTCTCAATTTCAGCAGTAAAAAAATAAAATAAGACCAAATAATCCAATTTTTAAAAGGGCAAATAACATGAAGGGACAATTCAATGAGAAGGCTATACTGATGGCAAAATAAATAAATAAATAAAATAAAAGAAGAGTTCAGTATCACTAACAATTAGGGAAATGTAAATTAAGACAACAATGAGGTATCAACCTATTAAATATATACCTATTAGAGCAGCTAAAATAAAAAATAGTGAAAATACCAGTTGCTGGTGAGGACACAAAGAAACTGGATCTCTCAGATATTGCTGGGGGAAACGAAAAATAGTGTATCCACTTTGGAAAACAGTTTGACGGTTCCTTAAGCAATTAAACATACTGCTGTCGCACAACCCAGCAATCGTACTCCTGGGTATTTATCCCAAAAATACAATCTTATGCTCACATAGAAACCTGTATATAAATGTGCTCAGTCATTTTATTTGCAATAGACAAAAACAGGAAACAATCAAAATGTTCCCCAACAGATGAATGGCTAAAGAAGCTGTGATACACTCATACCATGAACAACCATTCAGCAGTAAAAAAGAACAAACTACTGACACATGTAACAACTTGAATGAATCTCAAAATCATTTTGCTGAATAAAGAAAAGCCAGTCTCAAAAGGTCAATGATTCCATGTACGTGACATTCTCAAAATGACAAAAAAATAAATAAAAATAAAATAACAAATTGAACAAATTTGAGGCTGACAATGGTTAGAAATTTTGGGGGAAGGAAGCAGATGTGACAGTAAAGGGATAGCAAGAGGTGATACGAGATCCACTTTCGGTTGATGAAGGAGTTCTGTATCTTGACTGCAAGGATCATTACATAAGTCTACATGGGATAAAATGACACAGAGCCACGTTCCTGCATGGCACCAGTGTCAGTCTCCTGGTTTGGTATCACACTAAGTTATCTATTGTGTGACAAGTACAGGAAACCTTTCTGCACTATCTTTGCAATACTCTTGGAATTCACAATTACTCAAAAGTAAAAACTTCATATCACTACAGCATATTTTTCTATTAGAATAACAAAAAACAACACTCACTTCCAATATCTGGCCTCAGCTTTTTATCATATTCTCTTAGCAACTTGTTGAGAATAAGAGTCACGTCGGTGTCTTGGGATTTTGGAGCCAAGACCCACTTTTGGTTTGATGATGAATCTTCATATTCATCCTCTTCCACCTTTCTGGACCTGGAGTTACAGCACAAAAATGCGACATATAAGTGGCAGCAATGGCTCTAGGAAGAGCCTAAGTTTGTCCTATCCAAGTACCATGAAATGGGTAGAAAGTCCCCAGTACCCACAGCCCAACCACACACGTGAAAACCCGAAAATATTTTCTAAAAAGAAAGAAACACAAAATACGAATGATTCCATAGGAAGAATGCTACTGCTATTAACATGGTATGTTTTTATTAAATGCCAGAAGACCATCCCCCATCCCAGTTAAACTACAGACAACGTGGCAGGTAAACAACACCAGAGGGCCAACCAGCAGGCAACACACCCTTGGATCCACCCCGATAGCCTGTGAAGGTCAAGGCACAAACCTTCTAGAGGTTTTCTATATGGTGACTGCATCGTGGTGTTTCCACCCTGACCACCAAGACCTCATTTTCGTTGAAGGTGAGATTAGCTTTTGCAGAGTGGACTCATTCAAAATAGTTGAGTCTGACTCAGTGCTTCTCTTGGAGGCGGGAATCTGGGGGTCTAGGCACTTGAGCATTGTGAGGGGGTCTGCTTTGCCGGCACTCAGATTGGAGGCAAGGACAGCGATGTTCGCTGATGACTGGTGAAGACCCTCTAGCAATCTTGCACGCCTCGGTCAACACAAACTGATTCATCTCCTGCACAGCAGGCTAACACAGACATGAAGAACTAAGCTTTCTAATAAGTCTTCAACATTCTGACTTCTTAGTAAATGAGTCTCAGTGAATGCCTGGGCATCTCTGAGCTTGTTTTGTGCAGGGAGGAGCTGGACAGCCTCCTCTCCCGTGTGACACACACTGACAGGAGTGCCTGAATGGAGAGGCCTCAGGATGACCGGCTAGTTTTCCCTTTTTTTTTTTTTGGTTCTGCAGTTTTGGGTTTTTTAAAAAATGTTTGGTTTATAATTGGCACACACTTGTACTTGACAAGCTGGTTTTCTCAATGAGTGAGGCCGTCTCAACACCATAGTTATTTGGGCTTGGAGAGCAGACAGTCTCTTTCTGCCTTAAAGCAGCATTTCCAGGCAGACTACCATTGACCCCAGCAAGAAAGCATGTGAAACAAACCAAACTTTTCCTTTCTAGTTTGTCAGTGTGGATGCTTTAGTGACTTTTTCTTCACAGAAGAGAATAAAAAGAATTGAAAACTGCACGGAAGCGGATTTGTCCTGACTGTATATGAACTCTTTTCTGTTTAGCTTCCCAGATGGGAGCCAGAATGTTAGTGTCATGTCAGGACACTTGTGCTCTGGGATATAAGTTTCTGGAACTTAATTTTGAGAATTGTCTAAATTATCTATAATTAACAAGATGTTAATTTAAAAAATAAAATTTCATATTCATTTTTTCCACTTAATTTAGGTCTTCATATATATGCACATGCATATTTATGTAATATATACATGAGTCTTTTAAAGCGTGTTAACTAGCCATAACGTAGACTAGAGTGTTGGCCAGATAGTCTACACCTGTATGAACATGTACATAAATGAGAGATGTTGACAATGAGTATACGGCATATGTCTCAAAGAATGACTTCCCCACTTACGTTTTTCCTAGGCTGATCTTAAAGTATAACTCTATTTCTTGAGTACCTATTGGCTAGAAGGTTAAATTGAATCATCCATAGAAACTATAAATTGCTGTTGATTTTTATGCACATTGGATATTCACGATCGATAGGAATTTTTAAATGTGGGGCACCTATTCAGTAAGGAATATGTTGCATTTCATTATTTATTAAAGTGAACATTTACAAGTAATACTACAGAATTTTAAATGTTACTCTAAAATATTTCATGTCATCTGGCCGGGCATGGTTGTTCACGCCTGTAATCCCAACACTTTGGGAAGCCAAGGCGGGTGGGTCATCTGAGGTCAGGAGTTCCAGACCAGCCTGGCCAACAGGGTGAAACCCCGTCTCTACTAAAAATACAAAAAAAATTAGCGGGGCATGGTGGCACATGCCTGTAGTCCTGGCTATTCAGGAGGCTGAGGCAAGAGAATTGCTTGAACCCAGGAGGCAGAGGTTGCAGTGAGCCGAGATAGTGTCACTGCACTCCAGCCTGGGCAACAGAGCGAGACTCCATCTCAAATAATAATAATAATAATAATAATAATAATAATAATAATAATAATAAATTTAAAAAATATTTCGTGTCATCTGAAATATTATCAGAAATGTTAATTTTATCATCTTGCAAAAATTTTTTAAAACTTAAAGAGCAGGTTGAAGCATTTAGATAGCTGGGAATCAAGCACTGCCCACGGGACAGGGCAAATCACTCCACAGCAAGGGCATCTGGGGCAGTGAGGAGAGGCCGGTAGCTCATCTCAGCAGAATCAGGCACAACATGCTCAGGACACTTGGCGACTCAGCCCAGGTGCCTTCCTCCCTCCCTCTGCTGTCTCTGTCTTGGGCACTGTGAGGGGGTCTGCCTCACTCTTCTTCCCCTCCCCTCCCGTTCTCCTCCCCTCTCCTACCCCCACCACTACAGAGCCAGACCACAGCCTCCACCCTGTGTTATTGTCTATGGCCCTGATAATCACATACACACAAACCGAGCACAGTAACCAGCTTTTCATCATTCTCTATATACGCAGCCTTAGTTTTTAAAAATTACTTCCAGCTACTTACAGGTATTGTAATAAGCCTAATTCTCCCTCTAGTGGTGATGAGAGGGTTTTCCTGAAATTGCAAGCGCTTCCTCCTTAGAGGCCAGGACAGGTGGCAGTGAGGGGGACCAAGAAAAAGAAAGCAGGAACGTTCTCTTCCACCCCTTTGGGAGGCATATCAGGGCCCCAGCTGTGTAGCCTGGTTGGGTAGGCAGTGGGCAGAGTGAGGCCGAGATGCTCTAGGTCCCTGGGCAGTGAGCACCCTTCTCCCTCAAATCCTGAAAATGAAATAGAAGCCTCACATTGCTAGTGCCAGACCACCAGGCCCACAGGAAAATCCTTGCTTTGACAAAAATGAAATCTCATCTCAGGGGACCCATTAGAATGTGGATAATATAGAAATATTCTCTTTTCCCTAAATTCTAAGTAAGTTATATATAATCTTTATGAGCACTGTTACTTGCATTGTTGGATCCTAAACACCATTACTGAAATTAGCTTTTCCTTAAAAATAAATCAGTGATGTATTGTCATAGTCAAACAACAACTCAACCTTCAGATGTTATTTTCATGTCTTACACCTTAGCTTAAAGCGGAAGGACAGAGAAAAAGTCTGAAGTATTTTTAAGCATTAAAAGGAGTTCCTAAACCTCAGAAAGCAGTTAAGGCATCACCAAGGTCTGAGTGGGAATCAGTGCGTTTTATGATGCCCATGGGTGTCAAAATGGGGAGTCCCCCCTTCTGGGGAGCTGCTGAGCCATCACCACAAAGCACAGCCATCAGACCCTTATCCAAGGAACTTCCACAGCAGGAAGGGACTCAGAGTGCAAATGAGAAACCCCTCCAAATTTAAAACAGTTTTGAAAGATGACACTGCACATCAGATTATTTCACATGTCTGTAAAACCCATTCAGAGAACAAAGACACTCTCAAAGAAGAGGCATATAGCAATAAAGTTAGTATAAAATTTGGATTTTTTAACTGATCTGCAAGCTCTATTATGAAAGCTGGGGAACGAGCCCAAATAGAGAACAAATGAAAATCATTATGTCTGTCTTAGTAGAATGGAAGGATGAAGAATCCCAAGAGATTTTGTGTATATTTGGGAATCCCCAGTAACCGGACTGTTTTAAGGCAGAGGCTGAGGTATCTTCCTACTAAGCACATGCAGTAGTGAGGACAATAGGCAGTGTTTCTTCTAGAATGTTAAGAATCCAGAGACCTAAACAGTTGATTACTGAACCCTGAACGGCTGGTCACTCGTTTGAGTTGGTGGCAATAGAAAGGTGGCAGAGATGTGACTGCCGGCCTCAGCGTTATGCCCGGTGCTGTCTGCCTCCCTCTCCATCTCTAAACAGAGATACAACCAGGAAGAAGCAACCTCAGAAAGCATGTTTCCATTGCTTGCACCAGCTGCCTCTTGAGACAGAAAGAAACTTCAGCTGAAAGGCCCAAGGAGTGCTCTGTCTCTTTGAAAGAGTTGCCTGTGAGTCACCGGTGGAGTCGGCTTCCACACTCAACTCAGCAAAGAGGAGCAGTTGCAAGGGGGAGGGCCAGGGCTTCCTTCCTCAGGGTAAGCACCCCTGCCCAATTCAGGAGTGAGAACTGGGGGCCCCCTTCATGTTTAGTAGGATTTATTCATGTGTCTTCCTAGCTCCTTGGTAGTTCACAAATAGGAATGAAAAGGCAAGGCCTCCTGGCATTGCCTCCTGATGGTGGCCAGGCTTGTGCACGCAAGGATGCCCTCTGATTCTCTAGCTCCCAGACCCAGGAAATGGAGAAGCGTCAAAACAAGAGGGTTTGGGGGATAGGGGCACGCTGAGCTTCCTAGGGTGGGGAAAGAGGTAAAGGCCAGACACTGCTCCAATTTTCAAATAACAGGACAGTCTGCAAGCTCTAGCCAGAAATCCAGCCAGAGAGACAGAATTAAAGAAACTAAACCCAGAATCTCCAGTTGTGTTTACAGCAACAGGATTTAACCCTTTGGGTCCCACTGTCCTTGTATCCTCATGCGCCCTCTTCATCTCTTCTAGAGTGATTCTAAGCTCCCATTAGCCGGTTGGTGTACTGGGAGGAAGGTTGCGGAATTTATGGTGAGATGATTTCTTACATTACCAGGCAGAAGCCTTATTATCCATTTCGACATGCGTGCTTTATGGGGGTGGGAGTGCGTGTGTTCCTCTGTGTGAAAGTGGCTGATGTGGAAGGTGTGTGTGTGTGTTTGCAGGACCTGGGAGGGGAGTCCTCCCAGACAAGCAGGGCTTTCTTCTGCCCACCTGGTTCCAATCCCCCCGCGCCTGCCTCCAATGCATTAGCTCTTTCCAGCCCGGTCTAAACTAGGCAGTTAGAACCACGGTTCCCGGGTTCTTGGAAATTTCAGAGTGATGGAAATGACAGAGAATGTCAGCCAAAGTGTGTGTGTGTGTGAGCCCCTGAAACAGCTGAGGTGGGAATTAGGGGTCGGTAAGGAGCCAGAAATGGCCCCTGCCCCCTGAACCTGGTTCTCAAAACCCCTTAAAACCACCAGATCCTAAAAGCGTCAGGAGACGAGCCCATTAATCTGAGTCCCCACACTCCCGGCTGCAGAGGAAAAAGCAGATGACCGTGTCCAAGGGAGCTGGGACAGGTGAGGTGCAGACCGACTTCCCAGTCCCCTCCCGGCCCGCCGTGCCGCAGCCCAGCCGACGGCTGGCGCGCCAGGGACTCCAGCAGACAGCGCCCCCCGCCGCCCTGTCGCCCAGCTCGGGGCCTCCGGGGATGCGGCCCCCGCGCCACTTACCGCGCGTGCAAGCCCGAGAACAGGCAGAGGAGGAGCAGCAGCTTCGGGGCCATGGTGCCGTGGAGCTCGGGGCGCAGGGTCCGGGGCCTCGGCCGGGCGCGGCTTCCTCCGGCGCGGACCTGGTCTCCGCCGGCCCTCTTTGCCCTGGCTTCCTCCGAGGCTGCTGGCCGCGGCGGGCGGGACAGGTATCTACTCTGGCGCTGGCCGCGCCCCCGCGGGGCGCACACTGGACGCACACGGGACGCCGGGCCACCGCGGCGCGCCGCCCCCACCCGCGCACTAGCGCCGGTCCGCGCAACCGGGCGGCGGGAGCAATGGGCGCCGGGGACCCCCTGGCGCGGCGCCGCCCACCCCGCCTGGAGCCGCGAGCGGGCGCGGGTGCCCAGGCCGGGGCTGTGTGCGCTGTGCTGGGAGGTGGGGGCAGCTGGGCGGCTGTCCCCTGGCAGCGCCTCCGAGGCGGTCCCGGCGGGGAGGAGTTTCCCCAATTACACGCCTGACAACGCGCAGGGCGAGGAAGGCGAGGTTTGAATGGACTCGGAGTTTGAGGCCAGGAAGGGGGCGGAGCTCCGAGGGGGAGGGGAGGCTGGGGATCCCGCAGGGAGCCTGAAGAAAGGTCCCCGGGGTTGGCACCATGAGAGCGAGCCCGCGGTCCGCCTTCCTCCAGCCATTTCTACCCCAGTGCAGGTTTCCTCCAGCGCTCCCTGACCTCCCGTGCCCGCCGTCGCCCGGGGTTGAGACGGTTTGCCAAAAGCAGCCCTTCCATCGCACTCTTCGTGCTAAGTCGGCTGAACTCCTAGGCACTGATAAGATTCTGTGCTTGGAAAGGTGGCTTTCTGCGGGAATATTTGGGAAAAAAGCACCCCAGATTTATGCCTTTCTTACAGAAAAGAGAGACTAACACATAGCAATAAACAGTAGAGGTGGAAAGGCATGTTAAAGGTAGGAGCTAGAAAGATCCTAAGGCAAGAAGCCAAAGACGTTCCGTTTGGTGGAAGCATGAGGTGCGCCTCATTCCATGTATTTTCATATTCCAAAAACCGAAAATGGCATTTACGCTTTCATTTGTCATAATCATTCAGAAAGTTAGTCTTGCACCATGTAAGTATTGCAATCGCAACAGTGTAGTAAATCCACTAGGAATTTTACATTTCTATCACCCCCAAAAAGTTCTTAGAAAATGTTTTATAACTGCTATTCATAGAATTATGTAAGGGTGTGATAACTGTTTCTTTAATATTGTCAAATAGCTTTGTTCGGCCAGGCACAGTGGCCCAAGCCGGTAACCCCGGCACTTTGGGAGTCCGAGGCAGGCGGATCACTTGACCCCAGGAGTTCGAGACCAGCCTAGGCAATGTGCAAAAACCCTGTCTCTACAAAAAATAGTAAAGAATTAGCTGGGCATGGTGGCATGGGCCTGTATTCCTCTGGTGTGTTCCCCCTTGTTTCTGGATAGGCATGAAGTGGAGGGGAGTGCAGTTGTTAATGACAATATTGTTTTTCAACAATGGAGCTGTCATCTCCCTGGCATCACCTTTCTGTCTCTGTGAGGTGCTGAACTCACCCAGCTCCCCGCCTTTCCAGGACTCTTTCTGGCATTCTCATCCTCCTCTGCCCAGCACATCCCTCCTACTTAGGTGCACATGCCCTATAAGGTCCCCTCTTTGATGAAGACTCTGACGCTCCTGCATTCTTCCACTTCCAACACCTGTACCACTCCTTTAGGCTTCAGGGGAATATGAGCCTTTATCATACTCTGCCCTAATCTCTAATTTTCTGTACCAAAATCTGAGCACTTTAAAAATCAGTTAGATGATGATTTATTGTTCCTTCATTGCTTATGTCGTCTCCACATAAGAGACTTGAGTCTCACTCTATCGCCCAGGCTGGAGTGCAGTAGTGTCATCTGGACTCACTGCAATCTCCACCTCCCGGGTTCAAGTGATTCTCGTGCCTCATCCTCCTGAGTAGCTGGGATTACAGGCACCCACCACCACGCCTGGCTAATTTTTGTATTTTTAGTAAAGATGGGGTTTCACCATGTTGGCCAGGCTCTTCTGCAACTCCTGACTTCAAGTAATCTGCTCGCCTCGGCCTCCCAAAGTGCTGAGATTACAGGCATGAGCCACCACGCCTGAGTGTGCTGCAAGAATGCTGCAAGTAGAAACAATTCTTTTGTGTTTCCCTTCTTAACACAGTAATAGGAACATAAGTAAAAATAACCATCTGACATTGATCACATAACAGGGGCCAGGGCCGACAGGAAGGCTTTACATTGATTAACTCATTTTAACTCTCACAACATTATTTCCGTTTCGCATATAGAGAAAAAGCACAGAGAAGTTAAGTCGCTTACCCCAGGATCACACAGCTAGTAGGTGAGGACTGGGGGTTAAAAGCCAGGCAGCTGGCTCCAATGTTTCATTCCTAATCACTATACCATACTGTCTGCCTGAGTAGGTGCTCAGCTGACATTTGTTGTTGGGCTAGTTGATGAAAGTTTTGGACTTCTTACCATATTATTTATTTTTTGAGCATGAGTTAAAATACTCACAAGTTGTTTATAATAGAAATAGACTGTTACTTGAGTGATTTTGTAAAATATCAGTAAACAAGAAGTGTCCTGAGATTTGTTTGTTGTTATTATTTTTTTTACAATTCAATCAGTGAACAAGAAAACGCAATACTGTTTTTACATCCCTGTGTTCTTTATTCTTTTCCTTTCTTGCATATTTCAACGTGCTATTATGAATGAATGCAAGATGATCCCCTCTGGCCTTTGGAATGCTTCGCTTCATTTATTAGATTGAGTAGGTCAACTTGATACGTCTGAACATTTTCTCTTGGAAAGCCCCTCCCCTCTTCCTGGAACGAGATTTTGTTTTTTAAAGCTAAATGAGCTGAAAGGTTGGGGAAAAATCAAAGCAAGCTTTCTAGGCGTTAAGTGTGAAAGCAAAATGCAAGGTTAAGAATCTTCAAAGGGGCCGGGCGCGGTGGCTCACGCCTGTAATCCCAGCACTTTGGGAGGCCGAGGCGGGTGGATCATGAGGTCAGGAGATCGAGACCATCCTGGCTAACAAGGTGAAACCCCGTCTCTACTAAAAATACAAAAAATTAGCCGGGCGCGGTGGCGGGCGCCTGTAGTCCCAGCTACTCGGGAGGCTGAGGCAGGAGAATGGCGTGAACCCGGGAAGCGGAGCTTGCAGTGAGCCGAGATTGCGCCACTGCAGTCCGCAGTCCAGCCTGGGCGACAGAGCGAGACTCCGTCTCAAAAAAAAAAAAAAAAAAAAAAAAAGAATCTTCAAAGGAGAAGCCACAGGCTTTCATGTCTCTCCCTTGCCCCGGTTGACCTGCGGGGATGCTCTGCGGAGCATGCGCAGTGCGCACTCTCCAAGCCGCCTCAGCCTCTCCATTTTCAGCCCTGGAGAAGCGGGCGGGATTTACACTTTCTCCCCCTAGCTCGCGGGAATAGAAAGGGAAATAAAAAGTAAGTGAAAGCGAGCGCCACCAGAAGACTGGCTCTTAGTCCTAAGAGGTTAGGGTAACGAATCGGTTCTCACAACCGAAGCGCAGACGTGGCGGTAATGACGGAACAGCTCCAGCCTGGCGCGCTGCTTTGCTCCTGGCTTGGCGCTGGGTCCTCGGCTCCGGAGGTTCTGGGGAAGACCTGGGCTGCCCGCGCAGCTGCGGGTTGGACTTCACCTCGGCGGGGGCGGCGGGACCCTAGCAGCGTTGCCAGGAAGCGCCTTTCAGATCCCGCGGTGGCGCGCTGCGCCCCGCAGGCCGCGGAACCACCCCGCTGCCCACGCGCCCTTCAGCGCGCATCCGCTGCTCCGTGGTTGCCCCAGGTTCTGCTTTGAGAAACATCTCTCCCACTCCCAAAACTGTACTTCTGGGTTACATGATGTTTCGTGGTTTTATATTTTGAAAAAGCGCCTTTCCCTTGTCAATCAAAACGGTACTATCAAGGGATAATGCACACACAACAAAAATGCACCGATCTTAAAAGTATGGCTCAGTGAACTATTTCGCATGTGTATACCATATGTATATGAATAGCATATGTATAGCATCTGGATTATTATATATAACAAATATATAATTATGTAATTCCCAGTGGCTGGGCCATCTTCAAGTCAGTGCCGACACTGGGTAACCAACTATTCAGGCTTTGGCCACAGAAGCCTGGTTTTGCCCAGTCTTGCACCTCGCATACATGTGGTCATGCAGTATTATCCACTTAGCCTCCGGCTTCTCTCACTCAGTGCAGTGTCTGTGAGATGTACCCTTATTGCTACATTACCAGTCATTCATTACTTTTTACTGCTGTGCATGATAGTTCATTGTGTGAATACACCACACGTTATTTATTTGTTCCTATGCCAATGGATTTTTGGGTTTGAAACTTTGGGATGTTATGAATAAAGCTAACATGAATATTCTTGTCTTTTGATGGACATATGTGTTCATTTCTCTTGGTTATCTGACTGAAAATAGAATGTCCAGATCACAAGGAAGGCATGTGTTTCATGATTATAAATATTACTACAGAGATTTCTAAAGCAGTTATATTCATCACGCATTGGCAATATATGAGTTCTGGTGTATACCCTTGATGAAATGTGGCCTTGCCATTATTTTTGTCACCATTCTGATATTTCTTTTTTTTTTTTTTCTATTAGACGGAGTCTCGCTCTGTCACCAGGCTGGAGTGCAGTGGCGCGATCCCGGCTCACTGCAACCTCTGCCTCCCGGGTTCGAGCAATCCTCCTGCCTCAGCCTCCCGAGTAGCTGTGACTACAGGCGCACATCACCACACCCAGCTAATTTTTTTGTATTTTTAATAGAGACGGGGTTTCATCATATTGGCCAGGATGGTCTTGATCTCTTGACCTCCGTGATCCACCACCTCGGCCCTCCCAAAGTGCTGGGATTACAGGCATGAGCCACCGCGCCTGGCCTGCCATTCTGGTATTTCATTCTGGTTTTGATTTCATAGAACTTCTTTCAAATTTTTACCAGCCATTGGAATATCTTCTTTTATGAAGTGTCATTTAAGTCTTTTGCCCATTTTAAAACTAGACTGTTGGCTTTCTTTTTATTTGTAGAAGCTCTTTTGTGTTTTCATATTTTTTTGTTTACCATTACATCTATTGCTTTAATAAATACCACCAATATTATACAAATATATGATTTACAATATCCCTATTATAGCAAAGAATAGAGTCATAAAATAAAATGTCTTTTAGGCATTTATTATGCCACGCATGCAAATTATTGTTCTCATTATGACATAAGAATAATACTCTTTTGGTGACAAAAGATATATTGTATTAGCTCAAAGTCCACTGAAGAGCTTCCAGGAAGTTCTAAATTAAAATCTGGCCATGTTTTCTATACAATAAACAGAACAGCAACAACCTCTGCTATCCCTTAAGCATAAACTATCCCTTTACATAAACTTAAGTAAATGGCTTGTTACGAATAAAAATAAATAACATTTTAGAAACTAGTTAACATCACTGGCCCAAATGTGGTTTTTACTTTCTTGCGTATGTCTAAGAAATGTCAACGTGAAGTATATATTAAAAATTAACAATAATTTCTAAGGTATACATGAGCCAAGCTGCTCACTCTTACTGTGGAAGCAAAACTTACTTCGGAAAGTAATATACAGAAGTAATATGTAAACATATAGAGCTTGAGATAGACTAAGAACATCCTTCTGTGTTCTATGGACCAAAATACAAAGGTCTCCATTACATATGTAAATGAACACACTTTCATTAGTTTGGGATATATTGATATGACATGACTGTGTGCATATTTTATGTACACCATAAAACAAATGTTGACAATGTCTTCAGTGACAACATGCATTCTAGCCCCAACTACTGGAAAGGATATAAAAACTTAATAAGAAAACTACTTTGCTTTGCTTTAACTAAAGATTTTAAGTGAAAAACAAAGCCAACATTCCTTGTTGCATCATGGACCGAGGTCTAAAATGTTCAGAGTCAACAATCTCTGTTTGCTCCCCACTGTAACAAAGCACATAAGCATTCTCTCTCTGTTCACAAAGTCTGATCATCCTCAGTGTTTTGTCTTAAAAACTGCTTTCCAAGTATGAGGGACCCATGCTGGTTACATTCTTTCCGTTGCCTATTTACACCTGATGTAGCCATATAGGTTGGCACCTTGTAGCACCACACTCATGATAACCACTGCTAACCACTTTACCCTGAAGGAGATGAGGCCACTAAAGATAAATATCACCCACAGCACTGGACAGGCATTAAGTCCCAACCAAAAGATTTGATTCAGCCTCTGAGACAGTTTTGTCCTCCCGAGAGGATGCCTTTCTGGACTCAAGCACCCAATGGCTCTTTCCATCTTCATCATGTGATTCCAACACCGTAGACCCACCACTAGTCTACCTGTGACATTCGTCACTGCCCTAAAGTCACATGACAAGATAGTTGTCACCATACAAGCAGTAAAGCTGCTGCTGACCAATTTGCAAAGAAGGTAGACCACAATTGCACAGACTTGAAAGAATAGCTGGAAACGTGAGGCCACTGGATATCTGATTTTGGATTGTTTTGTTTTGTTATTGTCTCTTCCACATCCAACACTGAAATGTCTTCAGTGTCATCATTACTGTACTGATGCAACATGGTAGCCCTGTGCCGGCCCCCTAATATCACATTTAAAAAATTACTATGGCCTTTCATTTTCTTAATATCTATTATTGTTAGTGCTCTGAATTTGTTCATTTATTTGTTTACTTATTGCTGTTCTAGGTTGTTTGCATCTCCGTATACATCAGCTTTTAAATTTTCCCCCAATTTTTAAAACTGTTCTCTTGGAAGTATTCACAAGTTTACAAATAAATGTGTAAAAATAATACTATAAGTTTCTATAATATTATCTAATCTACAGTACATAGACTAATTTTTCTAACTGATCTAATAATACCTTCAATAGCATTTTTCCCATATAGCCCAGGAACCCATTCAGGATCACACATTTCACTAGTTATTGTGTCCACTTGGTCTGTTTTTAGTCCAGAACAGGTTGTGGCCATTCTTGATCTTTCACAACACAGTAGTTTCAGTAGACAAAAGTATTTTGTAGAATGTACCTCTGTGTGAGTCTTTCTCATGATCAGATTCAGGTTATGTATTTTGGGAAGAAATATGACATAAGTAATGTTGCTTTTCTTGATGCGTTATTGTAGGAAACACACGATGTTGGTTTATCTCATTGTGGATCACACTGATCACTTAGTCAAGCTGTTATCTGCCAGGTTTCTCCACTTTAAAGTTCCTTCTTTTTCTTTCTGAATGGCTGACTGTTCTTTGGGGGAAATTATTTGAAAATGTTTAACTACCTTAGTTTTAACATGCATTGATGATTCTTGCTTGCTGCTTGTAAAATGGTGATTTTCTAACTTTACTGTTCTTCTACATTTATTAGTTGGTATTATAGGAAGCACTCCTCCTCTTTTTCTAGTGTTACTTTCTGTAGAGACTCATGGTTTCTTGTTTTATTTAATGCACTTTGATCCATTACTGTCATTATTTATTGTTGTTCTCAAATCATCCAAGATTTTGACAATAGGAACCTCTTCAAGCTGACTCCTGTATTTAGCATGCCCCCAATATTTATTGTTTGAGATTTGTCTCAATTCTTTTATCTTTAAAAAAATTTAAAATTTTCCCCAGGTGTATTGAGGTATAAGAGACAAATCATACAGTACGTATTGCAGGCATACAAGGGGATGATTCGATACAGGTATACATTGGGAAGTGGTTCCCATATAAACCAGTTAGCAGAGCCTTCACCTCACATAGTTACCTTTCTTTCCCCGCTTACTTTCTGAAGCAACAGGATTGCCACTCATATTTTCTTTTTCCCTACCCTTGAATTCAAAATTTCCCCTTGGTTCCTTTTAATAGAGAATGGTATTTGGAAAACAAATCTAGTTGCTCTGAAGTATTCTTGCTTTCAGACCTTTTAGAGGACAGAATGCATAATGTCATATATTATGATATAATAATACTATTTAATCACACACTAGAATTAATGAGGATGTACTTATGTCACCCATAAAATCCTTCCTTGTCTTTGAACTTTCCCTATTTGTAACTCCTTCCATAAGATTCCCAATTTTCAACAAAATTAATATATTTTTTAATTTGCTCAACGTGCAATATACACGATATAGTTTCAGAATTACAGTAACCATGCTACAATGAAAAGAAGACCCCTAGGTTGAGTTCAGAATGTGTTTTCAGATGTTTCTGCTCTCCCCCTTTAAGCTAAGAATACAAGAGAGTAATCAAAATGCTATGCTCAAAAGTTATTTGATTTACTTTTTTTTCTCCAGTGCGGTTATGTTATTAATTTAAAGTGGAGCTGAGTTCATTAGTTTCTATTTGTATTACACTCTAGGGCTTTTCCTCATTATTATGGATTTAATTCTATTTTTGAATATGTGAAATTTTAACATGATCCCAAAAATCCACACTATACAAAATGAAACAAGACATATCAAGAGAAGTGCCATCCCACCCCATTGTTTCTACTTGTTTCTGCCACACAGATACACAGACACCTCCTCTACATAATACATTTCATGAATTTCTGCTTTATTTTTTTCTTTCTCCAAAAATAAACAGAAAAATAACTATTTTCTAATTCTACTTCCTTTCTGACATCAAACATCACACGCTATATAAAACTTTTGCATTCTGATTCTTTAACTTCTTCAGTATTGTACCTTGGAAATACACCAGTTAATGCAGCTCTTACTTATCCTTTTTACATAGCTGCATAGTATTCTATTGCATGTAAATATCATAATGTTTAAATTAATGTACTTTGTTGGGGTATTTTCATAGTTCCCAATATTTTGCAAATACATATAATACTGAATCATATAACTTTGTGCATGCCAATTTTTATGCTGTTGAAGGTGTATTTTCAGGGTAAATTTCCAGAAGTCAGATTTCTAGGTCAAAGGGTACATGTGTAATTTTATCATATATTGTCAAATTTCCTTCTCATAGGGAAGTTTTCTCCATTTCTCATTCCCACTATCAATGAAAGAAGACACCTATTTTTCAATAGTCTTGTCAGTAGTGAATTTTCAAATTTGCTAGATTTTACCAAGCTAAGGGGTAAAAAGTGATATCACAACACAGTTCTAATTTGTGTTTTGTTAATTATGAGTATATTGAACATTTAAAAACATTTAGGACCAGCTGGGCGTGGTGGCTCATGCCCGTAATCCCAGCACTTTCAGAGGCTGAGGCAGGCGGATCATGAGGTCAGGAGTTCAAGACCAGCCTGGCCAACGTGGTAAAACCCCATCTGTACTAAAAATACAAAAATTAGCTGGGCGTGGTGGTGGGCGCCTGTAATCCCAGCTACTCAGGAGGCTGAGGCAAGAGAATCATTTGAACCTGGGAGGTGGAGGTTGCAGTGAGCTATGATTGTGCCATTGCACTCCAGCCTGGGCAACAGGGTGAGACTCCGTCTCAAAAAAAAAAAAAAAGAAAAGAAAAGAAAAAGAAATATTTAGGACCATCTTGTATTTTAGCAAATTATCTTTTTTGTCCTTTGCACAATTTTCTATCAAATTTTTTCATATTTTGTCCTCAAATTTTACATGTTACAGGCATTTTTCTGTGGCATAACTTGCAAATAATTTCTTCCCATTTATCCGTTGTCTTTTGATTTTGGTTATACTTTACTGATCATGAAATTTTTACACCTGTTTCTCTAGTCAAATTTATCAATATTTTTTGCATCTGGATTTGGGGAAATAATTAGAACCTTTCCCGATAACTTTCACCCAAGTTATAAAAGGGTTTGCTTATGAATTATTCTGGTATCTCTATGATTTCATCTTCTACACTTACATCTCTGATCCATTTGAATCACAATCTTAAGTAATATGTAAAGTATTGATGTAATTTAAATACTTTCCATCTAACCATCCAGGTCTTCCCATACTACTTATTCAAAAGTTCAACTTTGTCACACTAATTTGAAATACCATAATTATCATATGCTAAGTTTCCATGTATACCTGGATCTATTTTTGTATTTCTTTTCAATAGCTAATTAATGAGTAATCTGCTTGTACCACTGTGTTAATTATAAAGATTTTGTGTGTGTTTTAATATCTGGTTGGCCTACGGCTAGCAGTTCATCTTATTCAGTATTTTCTTGTATTCTTGCATATTTTTTCTTCCAAATTAACTTTAATCTCAACATATATAGCTTCAGAAAAAAAATTCATATTTTATTGGGGTTCTATTACATGGATAAGTTAACCGAGGGAGAATCTGCATCTTTATAATATTGAGTTATCCTACACAATAACAATGATTACATTTTCTGTTTGTTCATAAGTACTTCTCATAGGGTTTTCATACTTCTTACTAAGTTCATTTGTGAGAATATTATCTATCTTTTTGATACTATTTTAAATGGTATTTTCTCTTCCAGTGTCCTCTGATTGCTTACTAATCATGAATATAAGCATTTCTATTATTTTATGTAATTTTTATATCCTCCTTGCTTTCTGAATTCTCTTAATATTGTGTTAGTTTTATCACTGGTTCTCCAGTGTTTTCCAGTTTTACTATCATATTATCTGCAAGCAGAAATAGATGTACTTCATCATACCCAATTTTCATGCCCCTAATAAATGTCTTGTGTCTAACTGCAGTGGCTAATGCCTTCTGTAAAAATGATAAAGGCAGGAGATAATAGGCACACTCTTCCTATTCCAGATCATCCTGGAAAGGTCTCTTGTGGAGGCAGACAGACTGACAGAAGGAGAAAACAGAGGAGATGCCCATACCTTACTATTTTCAGGGTTTTTATAAAAAAATCAAGAATGGGTGTTGAAACTTGTCAGACCCAATGGGGAGCATCAATGGAGAGAAATATTTCTTCTCCACAGTAAATTATATTATTGAATTTCTTTCTAATGAATCATTCTTCTACTCCTAAAACTAAATTTGTAAGTTTTCCTTAATTTTGTAGGTTTTGGAAAAATTTATTTGGCATCAGACTGGCATGATCTTTATATGTTTGGTAGAATTTCCCTGTAAAGGCACCTGGGCCCTTTGTCTCTCTCTCTTTCTCTCTCTCTCTCTCTGTGTGTGTGCGTGCGTGCATGCGTGCGTGTGTGTGTGTGTGTGTGTGTGTGTGTGTGTTGGCGAGTAAAAGTTCCTTGGTAATTTTCTCTTTTTTCCATAGCAAATGGCCCCCTTAAGCATTCTATCTATAATGGGGTCAATTTCAGTAGTAAAATATATTTCCCCAAGAAATTCTCCAATATGTATATGTTCTAAATTTTTTGAATAAAGGTGGGTAAGTCATCTGTTATGACTTTTATTTTTACTGTGTCATTTCTTATTTTATTTATATTCCCCATTTTTTCTTAAATGGTTTGTGTATTTCATTTTATTAATCACTAGAGTTTTGATTCATTCATTACATCTCTTGTTTTTATATTATCTATCTGATCAAATTCTGCTTTTATCTTTATTTTATTTACTTTATGCTTTCTTTTGGTTTATTTCTAGTTTTTGAGTGGGAAGTTAGTTCATTTTCTTATATTTTTTATTGATATTGATATATGCTTAACAATATGAATGTTCTTCTAATATGCTTTAAAAGTATCTCATAAACTTTTAAAATCAAGTATTATTCTTTTTTAGTTTATAATTCCACTTTTTAAAAATTGAGAAATAATAATTGGACATATATTTAGGATAAAATGTGATGTTCCATTTGTATACGCATTGTAAAAAGGTTGAATCAAGCTCATTAGCCTATCTACTACCTCACCTGCTGATCATGTTTTGCAGTAAGAACATTTAAAAACTATTTTAGCAGTTTTAAAATAGTCAATACATTATTATTAACTATGGTCACCATGCTGTGCAATAGATCACTAAAACTTTATTTCTCCTCTCCGAAACTTTGCACCCTTTGATGAACATCTCCCCCTTCCCTACCCTCACCCCTACCCTCTCGTAATGGCCGTTCTACTCTCAGCTTCTATGAATTTGTCTCTTTTAGGTTCCATATATAAGTGAAAACAAGCAGTATTTGCCTTTCTCCACCTGGCTTACTTTAGTTAACATAATGTCCTTTAGGTTCATTCATGTTGTTGCAAATGACAGAGCTTCCTTCTTTTAAAGACTGTGTAGTATTCCACTATGTATATAGACAACATTTTTCAATCCATTTATCCACTAATGGACACTTAGGTTGCATTCATTTTTTGGCTATTGAAATAATTATGCAGTGAACATGGAAGTGCAGCGAGCTCTTTGACAGACTGATTTCAGTTTCTTTGCATATATACCCAGAAGTAAGATTGCTGGATGGTATTGTAATTTTATTTTTAGTTTTTTGAGGAGCTTCCATACTGTTTTCCCAAAATAGCTGTACTAAGTAACATTACTACCCACAGTGTACCAGGGTTCCCTTTTCTCCACATCCTAACACTTGTTATCTTTTGTCTTTTTGATAATACTCATTCTAACAGGTATAAATGATATCTTGTTGTTTTAATTTGAATTTCCTTGATAATGAGAGATGTTGAGCATTTTTTTCATGTATCTGTTGCTCATTTGTGTGTCTTCTTTTGAGAAATGTCTGTTCAAGTCCTTTGTTGATTTTTTAATCAGGTTATTTGTTTTCTTGCTATCGAAGTGTTTGAGTTCCTTATATATTTTCAATATTAACTCCTATAGAAAATATTTGAGGTGGGTGTGGTGGCTGAGGCCTGTAATGCTGGGAAGGCTTCCAAGGTGGGTGAATCACTTGAAGCCAGGAGTTCAAGACCAGCCTGGCCAACATGGTGAAACCCCATCTCTACTAAAAATATAAAAATTAGCCAGGTGTGGTGGCGTGCACCTATAGTCCCGGCTACTTGGGAGGCTGAGGCAGGAGAATGGCTTGAACCAGGGAGGCAGAGGTTGCAGTGAGCCGAAACTATGCCACTGCATTCCAGCCTGGGTGACAGAGCAAGACTCTGTCTCAAAAAAAAAAAAAAAAAAAAAAAAAGAAAGAAAGAAAATATTTTATTTGCAAATATTTTCTCCCAGTCCATATGTTTTATCTTTACTCTGCTAGTTTTTTCCTTTGCTGTGCAGAGGCTTTTTAGTATGATACAATCCCATTTGTCTATTTTTGCTTTTCATTGCCTGTGCTTTGGGGTCCTATCCAAAAAATTATTGCCCAGACCAATGTCACAGAGCAATTCCCTTAAATTTTCTTGTACTGTATACAATGAAGGCCATATATGACAAGCCCATAGCTAACATCATACTCAATAGTGAAAAGTTCAAAGCTTTTCCTCTAAGTTCATAAATAAGATGCGGATGCTCACTCTTATCACCTCTATTCAGTATAATTCCGGAAGTTCTAGCCATAGCAATTAAGCAAGTAAAGGCATCCAAAAAGTAAAAGAAGAAATAAAATTGTCTTTTTTATTAAAGATTTTCTATGTAGAAAACCCAAAAGACTCCACCAAAAGGTGTTAGAACTGATAAATAAATTCAGGGAAGTTACAGGATACAAAATCAACATAAAAAATCAGTAGCATATCTATACACTAACAACAGACTATCCTAAAATAATTAATGAAACAATCCCATTTACAGTGCCATCATAAAATAAAATAAAATAAAATACTTAGGAGTAAATTTAATCAAAGAGGTGAATGATCTGTATACTGAAATCTATAAAACATTAATGAAAGAAATTATGAATAACACAAATAAAAGGAAAGATGTCCTATGTCCATGGATTGGAGGAATTAATATTATTTAGATCTCCATACTACCCAAAGCCATCAAAGATTCAATGCAATCCCTATCAAAATTCCAATGATTTTTTTATAGAAATAGAAAACAATTCTAAAATTTTTATGGAAACACAACAGATCCCGCATAATCAAAGGAATCTTGAACAAAAAGAATGAAGCTGGAGGCATCATATTACCTGATTTCAAAATACATTGCAAGACTACAGTAATTTAAGCAGTATGGCACTCACATAAGAACAGATACATAGACCAGTGGCTAGAGATAGAGATAGAGAGCCCAAGAATATACTCACACAAGTAGAGTCAATAAATTTTCCATGAAGATATCAAGAACACACAATGAGGAAAGGACAGTCTCTGCAATATATTGTGTTGGAAAAACTAGAAGCCACATGTAGAGGAATGAAATTGGGCTCTTATTTCACACTATGCACAAAAATCAACTCAAAGTAGATGAAAGACTTAAAAGTAAGACCTGAAACTATAAAACCATTAAAAGAAAATATAGGGGAAAACTTTTGCTACATTAGTCTGAGCAATGATTTCTTGTATGTCATAAATTTTTATGTGTAATTTTAAATTAAATTTGACTTTTAGAAATTTTATGACATTTTAAAATCTTTATTTTCATCCTTTTGTTATTAAATAGAAGAAATTTTAAATTTCTAGTTGGAAGATACTTTTTTAAAAAGCTGTTTTCATTTGCAATATTATTACTTATGACCAAAGTGTTATTTTATAACATTTTTATATTATTGGCCTGCATGGTGGCTTATGCCTGTTATCAAGCACTTTGGGAGGCTGAGGTGGGTGGATCGCTTGAGGCCAGGAATTTGAGACCAGCCTGGGCAATGTAGTAAAACCCTGTCTCTACCAAAATACAAAAACTGGCCAGTTTCATGACCTGGTCTCAAAAAATATACATATATATAATGTCTATATTATGAATGTACCAATATTTTTAATATTGATATATGACCCAGCATGTGATTAATTTTGTAGATTTTTCATGTGTACTTGAGAATGATAAATGCTTGAGGTGATGGATGCCCCGCCCCATTTACTCTTAAATGATTACTATGCACTGAATGCCTGTATCAAAATATCTCCTATACCCCATAAATATATACACACACTATGCCTAATACCAATACAAATGTGAAAGATAAAATAGGAATGGGGCATGGTAGAATTTAAGACTAATTCATTGGAAAATAAAGTGCATGTTTCCTACAATGACCCAATTAAAATTGGTCTAACAGAGGCATTGCAAACTCAAAGGCCTACAGGGTGAGGCAGGCTTCACACTGGAGATGACTAAAGTATGGATTGGATGAGAACTATATGATGGATTCCTTGCTAAAGGCAGGATGAGCACAGGTTCTAATTTGCTCAAGAGCATTTTAATTTATGCCTGTTGTTCTGATGTAATTATTATCGTTATGATTCTTAAAAGTGTCCTGGTTTGAAAAATAGATTCCTAATTTAATTCCATTGTTTTTTGAGAACATACTTTGTATGATCTCAATCTCTTTAAAATTATTAAGACTTGGTTGGGCACAGTGGCTTATGCCTTTAATCCTAGCACTTTGGGAAGCTGAGGCAGGTGGATTTCTTGAGCTCAGGAGTTCAAGACCAGACTGAGCAATATAGTGAGACCCTGTCTCTACAAAAATAAAAATTAAAAAATCAGCTGGGTGTGGTGGTGCATGCCTGTAGTCACTTGAGCCTGGGAGGTCAAGGCTGCAGTAAGCCCTGATCATGCCACTGCACTCCAGCCTGGGTGACAGAGAACAACCCTGACTCAAAAAAAATAAAAATAAAAATAAAATTATTAAGCCTTGTATTATTGCATAAAAAAATGCTCTATTCTGGAGAATGGCCTTGAAAAGGATATGTATTCTGCTGCTGTTGGGTGCAGTGTTCCTTAGATGTCAGCAGATCAAGTTGGTTGATAGTGTTGTTCTGGCCTTCTACATCCTGGCTGATTCTGCATCTTGTTGTCCTACCAACTATTAAGAGTGGAGAATGAAGTTTCCAACTACTATTGTTGTACTGTTTATTTCCCCTTTGAATTCCATCAGTTTTTGCTTCATATATTTTGGGCTCTGTTGTTAGGTACACAGATACATATCTGTTTTTAATTGTTATATATTCCAGATAAATTAACTGTTCTACCATTATAAAATGTCCTTCTTTGTCTCTAGTAATATTATCTGTATTAAAGTAATTTTTTCTGATATTGGTATAGTCCTTCTAGCAGTCTTTCAGTTACTGTCTGCATAGTATATCTTTTCCATCCTTTTACTTTCCATTTATTTGTGTCTTTGAATCTAGAACATACCTCTTATTGAAACTATATGGTTATGTCCTTTTTAATTAATCCAGTCTGACATTCTCTGCCTTTTGATTGGACTGTGTAATGCATTTTCATTTAATTATTGATGTGGTTGAATTTATAGCTGATATTTTGCTCTTTGTTTTCTTTTGTGTTATTTTCTAGTACACTATTTTAATTTCTTTGGATTGTTCACTACCTTTTCTTTTACTTATTTTTTGTGGCTGCTCTGGGGATTAAATATGCATCCTACCTTAAAACAATTTAGTGCTGATTATTACTAACTTAATTTCAAAAGTATATAGAAATTTCCTTCCAACATCATGACTTGTCCTTCTCCAAGGTGATAGTATTGTTATACAAATTATGCTTATAAACTCAACAATATAGCTTCATAATTATTGTTTCATACAATTGTCTTTTAAATTGGTTGAAAGAAGAAAAGAGTAAAAACTTTATTTACATTTTATATTTACCCATGTAATTTCCTTTATGGTGATCTTCCTTTCCTTGTGTGAGTTCAAGTTAACATTGATTTATCATTCCTATATACCTTAAAAGACTTCCTTTGGTATTTCTTGTAGAGTAGGGCTGCTATAAATGTATTGTCTCCATTTTTATTTACCTGGGCATGTCTTTATTTCACTTGCCGTTTTGAAGGGTAATTTTGCTCAATATAGAAGTTTTGGTTGATGGTGGGGGGTTCCCTGCTTTGTTTCAGCACTTTGAATATGTTGTCTCACTGCCTTCTGGCCTCCATGGTTTTTTATGAGAAGTCAGCTGTCATTCTTATTGAGGATCCTTGTATATGATGAGTCTCTTCTCTCTTGCTTTCAAGATTCTCCCTCTGTCTTTGGCTTTCAACAGAACAATTACGTTGTGTCCAGGTGTGTATCTCTTTAAGCTTACTATATTAAGACTTAGTTGAGCCTCTTAGAAGTGTAAATTAATGCTTTTAATAAATTATGGGAAGTTCAACCATTATTTCTTATTATTATATATTATATTCTTTCTTCTTATTATTATTAAATAGCTGATTTAAAGTCTATTTACTAAATCCAACTTCTGGGCACCTTGAGGGCCAGTATCTTTTGATGGTTTTGTTTCTTGTATACAGGCTGCACATCGCAATTTCTTTGCATGCCTCCTAATATAATAAACTGGAAACACTAGCCATATATTTTAATACCATTGAAATCTAATCATCCCTTTCTCCCACTATTTATTGTTGTTGTATTTTGTTGTTGTTGGGGTTAGGCTTTGTTTGTTTACTTTCCTGGACCAGTATGCTAGTGTTTGCATTCCCTATACTGAAGTCTCTGTCTGTTTTCATTTTTAGTCCTGGCTTTATAGGGGTCACCCATATGTCAGCATAGCTTAGGGCAGCCAATGATCGGTCTTTAATTTTCTTGAATGCTTTATGGTAATACATTTTTCACCCTTTGCTGTGAGGATCTGTGTGTAGTTTGGAGCATGCTTTCAAAGTTTAGGCAGATTAAGTCTTCCTTGTCTTTCACTTTTTGCTTTCACAGGACATCAAGGTCAGCCAGGGATGAGTAAGTAACTAAGACTCTCTCTGCTCTTTCTTGACTGTTCACACGACCCTGCACATACACACAGGCTTTCAGATCCTCAGGAATATGTCTGAGATTTTTATAGTCCACTGTGAACTAGATCTGATTCCCCAGATCTTCCTTTTACATGTTTGGCTGGTGTCTTTCTTGCCTTAGCTGGCATCACTGTCTTGAAGGCTTCAGAGTTCACCTTCCTCAAGTGATGCTGATCATCATTATCATCAACAATGCTTTGGGAATAAAACTTTCCCATGGAGCTCCAAGTCGGGTCAAATAGTGGCAAAACTCTGGGGATGGGGCATTTTGTAGAGTTCCAAATTAAATCATCCCCCTCTGGTGGCAACAAGGCTTCTGGTCTTCATGGTACCATGCCAAGGAGCTGAGAGGGATATAGGCAAATCTCTAAGTTAAAATGGCATAGACCTCACTGTTCTTATTGAAGTTCAGTACTGTTTCTTCAGTAAACACTTTTAATTTGTTGTATGCCTTTGATTTTATTTCCGGAGTTCTGAAATGTCTGCTTTTATATAATCTTGCCAGCGTTTTCATTGCTTTTTGTGGAGAGAGGATTTACGGAGGACCTCAATCCACCACTATGCAAGTCTCACGTCTGGAAGATAAATTTACGTGGTCACCCGACCTAAAGGAGCAGCCTGTCACTCAAGCCCAGACAATTGTCACCTTGTGGGATCATGTTCCTAATGTTGTTAGGTCAACTATGGATAGGTTTACACAAATCTTTGAAATTCTTATTTTATAAATTCTTAAGAAAGGATTTCCTTTGGGTGGAATATTACCACCAATTTGCAATCCCTACCTGAAGGAGTTTCATCAAATCCAGTCCACCCACTTATCAGGATTCATTTCTTCAGTCAGTTCACATTCATCTAGCTCCTGCTACAGGCCTGGAATAATACTGGCTGGTAGGGAGACAATGATAGCATCATGAAGAATGTAGAATAAATTGGATTTAAATGAGCATATTGGATCAATTAGAGCTCACTTCAAATTTTTCCTTCTGAGGTCTTACATTGCAAAATAGAGTGCCTGATCCTTGGTTTATCTGATTTTCAATCTGAACTCAGAAAAGTTAAGTAAACATTTCTTCAGACTTTTTTTTTCCTTAAATATCTCTTCAGACTTTTATATTAGGGAAATTGTGAAGAGTAAATATTTTTCAAATTACAAGTTTCCATAAAGAACCCACACTCATTTCAAAACAGGCTACAGAGCATTTGAATTTAGAGTAGAGATAGTCTATTGAAAATGACAGTGAAAAACAGATAATCATGTAAATCTTTGATGAAATGAACCTTTTTGCAGACTTCAAAATCATTACCTTATATCACTGCAAACCTGGCAAGTAATATCAGTGATCAGAGTAATTCATATTCAAATGCTCAACGTGTTTGCTCAGGGCACTGATTGTCCCAGATGTGCTAGTATATGGTAAAAAGACATTAAGACTAATTTTTAAATATTTAAAATACTGTTTTCACTGAGTAAACTGTGGAATTTCCAATTTTCCAAAGAAAAGGTTCTTTTTGATTTGAAGTTAGTTCTTACAATGAAGGATGATGTTGATTGAAGACTCAGTGTCACAGTGAGTTATGCTTTCTCTCGAGGCAGATCCCTCCCAAGGCAGTCACATCATCATTCAGGTGGGAGCTCTGGGAGGAACAATCACATCAAGATCCTTGGCTCTAGTCAATCAGTGCTCCTCTCTCTCTCTCTCTTTCTCTCTCTCTCTCTCCTTGAATGGTAGTTGGGGGGAGTGCTACCCTAACACAGGTCCATTCCATCAGGAGAGGTTTTGAAGATCACAGAAGCACACCCTTCTTTATATAAGAAGGGGCAAACTTAAAGATGATGTTTTCAGTGCAAAAAAGTGCAAAAAAAAAAAGTTTCTCTAGGGCATTGTTTATAGATAATCACTCAATCAGGGCTTGAAGCAAGATTTTCCATTTTAGGTTACATTTTTGTTCTAAATCAACTTCCATCTGGAAGCAATCGCATGGTATTGTGAGCCCTGGGTTAGAAATTATGAGGACTAAGATCTAGGCCTGCATGTCCTCCTAACTTTTGATACGATTCTGAGCCAATGGATTAACCTCTTTGGGCTGCAGTATCCCTGTTTATAAAATAGAGGTTACTCATTTAGTGTACCTGCTTCTCATAATTTGTCCTGTAAACTAAGAGTGTCTGACTGAGACAGGTCTTCATCAATTTAGGAAGTTTATTTTGCCAAGTTTATGGATGTACGCATGACACAGCCTCAGGAGGTTCTGACAACATGTGCCCAAGGTGGTTGGGGCACAGCTTGGTTTTATACATGTTTGGGAAACAGGAGACATCAATCAATATATGTAAGATGTACACTGGTTTGGTCCAGAAAGGTGGGACAACTCGAAGCGGGGACAGCGCTTCCAGGTCATAGGTAGACAGCCTGGTTTAGTGAACCAGTAAAGCAAAGAAAGCAATCAGATATGCATTTGTCTCACGTGAGCAGAGGGATGATTTTGGGTTTTGCCTGTCCTTTGTCCACAAGGAACTTCTTTGTGGGCAAATTGTGAGGGAGGTATGTAGCTTCTTATCTTTGTAGCTATCTTATTTAGGAATAAAATGGGAGGCAGCTTTGCCTGAGATAGTTCCCAGTTTCACTTTTCCCTTGCTTTAGTGATTTTGGGGTCTTGAGACTTATTTTCTTTTCACAGTCCCATGAGAGACATAAAGCATTATTTCTAAGACATGAGAATGACAAGTAGGTCAGAAGATTTACAACCTCCTTGTTAATCTTCAACAGAGGATGTTTGCTGTGCTATTTTAAGTTTGATAGTTACTCCAGGGGCATTTGAACCCAATTTTTTGTATACAGACACATACTTTGAGGACAACATTAGTCAAGGCTTTTCCTGGATAGGTCTTTAGATTCCAGAGAAAGTACAGAAGTAATACTGATTAAAAACACATTAGAATATTCTCTCTATTTGTGGTGATGTCAAAAGATATATGTGTAAATATCCTTGCTCTAAAAGTATGGTACTGTAATTTATAATTATTTTCAGAACTTTTTATTTCTTGCCTTGTTATCATTATCCCCAAGGTGATTCTTATTATGTTCTCATTAAAAATAACAAATGCTGAAATATCTACAATACAAAATCAGAAAGTAGAAAGCTAATGTGACCTTTTTCACTAAATATTCATCAGAATTAAGGTTCAGCAGCTTGTAAATGTGGTAGGCGTATCTTCAAACTGGAGCTCATTGGAGGTTTTCTGTAATGAAGGCTAGAACTTGTCAAGAAAGTTACTGACACCTGATATGGAAAACATCGTTTTCTACTGTGGCAGGGATTTGAGTTACACACAATGTACGTATCTGTCCACACTCAGCAAAGGTGCCGTTAATACTTGTGTATTTCACACTAAAAATTTTGCTTCAAATGAATAAAGCAGTAAGCTAGTATTGGACTCTAGTTATAATGACATGCATGCTGACATATGGAGTGGGAAATGCATTGCCATCTGAAATTTATTTTGAAATGTAGCAAAAAAAAAGAGATAGATTGAGGATGGGTGTATTGATGGACAGATAGAGGGAGAGATGACAGGTGGTGAGGACACCTGTTGCTTACTCTTCTATCGATGGATTGAGATGTTTAAAGAGGGTGTTTATGCATGTAACCATTTGGACATAATTTACAGTATATTTTTCTCCAAACCACAGCACAAAGCTAAACTCTACAGACTATAGGAGAGGAATGTAACTATATAGTATACGAAAACAGGATCTTCTACTGAGCCTTAGGTTTGTTTTTTGTTTTTGTTTTTTTTTTTTTGGCTGGGATTTTTGCTGTGGTATAAGAGAAAACACTCTCATTATACAAATATCATCATTATTTATAATAGGGAAATGCTTCTTCATGTGCGCACTGAAGAGTATCTTTTCTGCTGGTCTTTACCCTTCCATTTGTGAGATCCTAAAACCAGTTAATGAAGGGGCAACGCAGGAGTTCAGGACTAGCCTGGGCAACATAGTGAGACCCCTGTCTCTTTGAAAAATTTAAAAATTAGCCAGGCATGGTGGTGCATGCCTGTGGTCCCAGCTACTTAGGGGTCTGAGGTGGGAGAATTGCTTTAGCCTATGAGGTTGAGGCTACAGTGAGCCATTATTGAGCCACTGCATGCCAGTCTGGGCAACAGAGCAAGACCCTGTCCCAAAAAAAAAGTGGGGTGGGACGGGGGGATAATGAAATCTTCCCATATGTAAAGAACCAAGTAGTCACCATGCCCACAACAAACACCCACCTTGAAACACACTCAGAGAAGACTCTGTCAAGTAGAGGCCCAAGCGACACTGCACCACTGAGAAATTTGTGATGGACTATACCTGCTTTTAGCTGTCTACCCTCGCTGTGGTTTAAGTAAGTTTTCTCTCCAGGTGCTACTCTGTGGAATTAGGTTGGACCAGAGACAAGCCACCAAGTAAACGTTTTGTTTTGTTTTGATTCGTTCCCAAGCAATTTCACGGTGGGTTCCATTTATGCCACTTTCAGGAAATGAGTCCACCAAAACATGAAATTAAAAAAAAAAAAGAATCCTATATGTCCACAAGATCAGTTCATTTTTTATTTTTTAATGAACATTTAAGATTCATATACAAAAGCTGACAGAGCAGTAAGTCCAGTCATGAAATACATACAAGGAAATAAAATGGAAAATAACTCAATTACAATTTCTCACCACTGAAGCACTACACGCTGGCTGTAGGGAGAGGTGGTCAGTGTTTCAGAGACAGCGATCACATGGGCCAAGTGCTGAGAATGTCATCAAAACACTGTTTGTTTTAACATCTCCTTTCCTTTCTTGGCTATTGTTCAGGTAGTGGGTGGTGTGGGGTAAGAAATGTTTCTTTTTCTTCCCAAAAAATTTAAGCAGTTGATTTTTTTTCCTCAGGGAAATATTTTGTGTATCTAACATATGATGTATTTCTGTTATTAATCTGCCTGCATAAAAGTTTGCCTATTCTATTTCTTCGTGTAAGATCATGCAGTACTTTCCTAATTTCAGAACAGTAAGAATTATCAAAGGCAATTCATTTTGTACATAAATGTCCAAGTTTCCTCATAATGGAAAACGTGCTCTTTATGATCTCTGTTTCTCGCAATATAGTTGGTCAACTAATAATCATGGAGAGTTTCCTAAAATATTTATTCACTGGGAAAATTTGTATGAAATGACATTTGAAGTATAAAAAACATTGTTAGGTAACACTTGAAGCAGTTAAAAATATACGTATCTTGTTTGTAAACTATCAACGTATGATACTGGGCATCTGAGTGTCAGTCATCGTATCCTGTTTTTCCAGAAAGTTGTTTGCTCGAATTATCAATGGGACATCTTGGAAACATCTGAAGTTACATATAGAAACATCAAGGCAATATTATTTGTACATATTATTAAACATGCAAAAATTTCCTGAAAGATAGTGCTCACATATGGAGAGTCCCTGTGAGCAAGACCTCTCCTTGGTACCATTTCGCTGGAAGTATGGCTGTCTTGGAGTTTGGGAGTGTGGCCGGTTATTTTGGAGAGGCGGCTCCTTTTATCACCGGCTCCCTATTCAAATACGTTGCCCAGTAAACTAAGTTGAAAGTGCCGAACAAGACTGGGAATACGATTCGGGACATTTTGTCAATTTTGCTGATACTGTTGTAAGTCTTTTTGCTTTCAGAAGTCTTCTCTTCAGAGGGTTTTACTGAGACTGAGGTTGTATTCGACGTCCCTGCTGGGGTCTGTTCCTTCGGAATGTTTGGGGGGTGAGACATCTTCCCAGTTGTAAAAGCGTTTGTTGACTTATTTAGTATGACTTCACGCTTTTTCTGCAAAATATAATACGAATGTAAGGACACGCCATTTGCAGGCAATGGTCAGCTCACCTTGGAGTTCTAAAGGTATACCTCTCAAAAGAGAGAAACACCTGTTTAGCCTGGGAGAGGGCCCTCCTCCACTGATGTCGCCAGGTAGCCTGCAGACAGGGCACACATGAGAGCTATGATTGCTATTAAAGTCTGGCAATCCCATAACGGGATACATTCCCAGAGGAATACGGATCATTCTACCATAAAGACACATGCATGAGAATGTTCACTGCAACACTATTCACAATAGCAAAGACATGGAATCAACCTAAATGCCCATCAATGACAGACTGGATAAAGAAAGTGTGGTACATATACACCATGGAATGGTGCAGCCATAAAAAAGAATGATAAAAAGAATGAGATCCTGTCTTTTGCAGGAACATGGATGGAGCTGGAGGCCATTATCTTTAGCAAACTAACACAGAAACAGAAAACCAAATACCACATGTTCTTACTTACAAGGGGAAGCTGAATGATGAGAACTCATGAACACAAAGAGAGGAACAACAGACATTGGGGTGGAAGGTGGGAGGAGGAAGAGGAGCAGAAAAATAACTATTAGGTACTAGGCTTAGTACCTGGGTGACAAAATGATCTGTATAACAAACTCCCATGACATGAGTTACCTATACAACAAACCTGCACATGTACCTCTGAACCTAAAATAAAAGAAAAAAAATAAAGTCTGGCATTTCTCAAGATCTTGCCATAAACGGAATTAGGACTTGCCCCCTGCAAGGCAGCCATCGCTTCTTTACCTTCAAGTGCACCAGCGGGAGGGAATACGGTGTGTGGATATAAGGGAAGCCCTAAGATGTGGCCTGCTGGGAAGGAGGAAAGGATGCGATTAAACATCATGGTACAGAATGCATTCTTTTGGGAAGGTATCTTCCACCCAGCACAAGGCTTTTGAGAATCACCCATATTGCTGTGTATATCAGTCGTCCCCTCCTTTTTATGGCTGAGTGACCTACCTTTGCATGAATGTGCCACCGTTTGTTTACTATCCTATCGATGGACACCTGGGCTTTCTAATCTTAACTCTTACGGATTAAGCAGCTATGAACATTCTTGTATACATTTTTTGTGAAGTTTTTTTTTTGGATATAAAATTCTAAACAGGTAAGTTACATTATGGTGGAAGAAATAAAAATAGTGGATATGTTTGGAGAGGTGGGGTCAAGCACTGCCTGGGAAGAGGCATGGTGAGCTTTCTGGAGGCTGGTGATGTCCTCTACTGTGGCAGGGATTTGAGTTACACACAATGTCCATATTTGTCCACACTCAGCAAAGGTGCTGTTAGTACTTGTGCGTTTCACACTACAAATTTTGCTTCAAAGGAATAAAACAGTAAGCTAGTATTGGACTCTAGTTATAATGACATGCATGCTGACATATGGAGTGGGAAATGCATTGCCATCTGAAATTTATTTTGAAATGTAGCAAAAAAAAAAAAAACAGATAAATTGAGGATGGGTGTATTGATGGACAGATAGAGAGAGAGGTGACAGGTGGTGAGGACACAGGCATACGTAAGTGTTAACAGCAGACAGGTTTTCACCGTAAACCTCTTTAAACATTGCTGTATGTTTAAAAATGTGCACAATAAAATGTTAGACAACCTGTGTTCCACTACTAAAGTAATATAGTCTCATTAATTAAAACTTGAAAAACACAAGAGAGTAAAGAAAATAAGTCAACCATTAAGAATAAAGAAAAGATAAAAAGCAGAAAGCCCAAGCGTGGAGCAGGCGTCAGGGGAAACAGGTGAAACAGGTGAACCAAAACCAGGCCAGGGGCAGGGGCATGAGGACCCCCTGGGGAAACCGTGCGGGAGCTTGAGGGAGGCGGGCCACACCTCGGAAATGCGATGGCAGTTTTGCCGTCCCCGCCTTCCCCACCATCACTGAGAGCTCATGCAGATCTGCCAGAAGAAATCCATACATGTGAGTTACTGCTTAGAATGGTTCTATCTCTGGGTAGAACCAAGTGAAGGGCAAGCCCTTTAGAAGATACTGCTCTGTCCTGAGGGTGTGCGTTTTTACTGGGAAGGAATGTGCAGCAGGGGTGGGGGCGGGTGGCAGGGAGCACCCGCCTGGGACTCAGCATAGTCACGGCGCTGGTGGTGGAGATTTACACGCGCCCTGGAATCCGCCTTGCCAGAAGGACGTGCTCCCCAGCTGCAGGCAGTGTGGCCAGGTGTCAGAACTTCTGGCAGCCTGAGTTGCAGAGGGCTGTCTGGCCAGAGTCAGGCCCTTCCTGGGCAAATCAGACACATCTGGTGGGCAGCGAGGCAGGAGTCTAAAGCCCTGGCCACATCCCTGACATGAGGCAACTCCACTGGGCATCAGCTCACACGCCCCAGCGGGTTAGCCTGGGCTTTGCTGGGCCTGCATCATGGTTCGATCTCTTCCTCTCTGAATCTCACTGCCTCCTGTTTCCTTTCCCAAACGTTCACTCCTAAAAACTGCCTTACACCCCAAACTCTGACCCAGTGTTTGCTTCTGGAGATCCCAACTTGGAACAATGGTGAACACAGTCTATTTTTTTAAAGTCCTCTCTACTTCCATGGAACAGTTTACTCGAGTAGGCTGACACCAGGCTGTGGTATTCACGCTCGCGCCAGTGTCTGACCGCGGGGTGTGAGGCCTGCATGCCTGCAGATGCACCATGGCTTCCAGCACGCAGAGCCTTCCTGGCAGCAGGGGTGGAACCCCCAGCGCCACTGCCTTCCCAGGAACGAGTCTGAACATTCCACAAGCCAGCTTGAGGCACGCGGCTTATTCTAGAAGACCCTTTCTCTCCTCGGATTAGACAGTGCAGGTCACTTTCATCCTCTCTCCTCCCTCCAACCCTCCATTCAGAATTCAGATCTATGGTGATTAGATCAGCCGCCACAGGAGGCAGGGCGGACATGGTGATTGACAGTGTCGGCGACACCCAACAAGAACACCCAGCCACAGGTGTGCTCTCTCCATTCACCCGGGGGCTCACGTTCCTCCTAGACTCACAGGCATGAGCCCAACAACCTCAGTGACTGCCAGGGACTTCCGGCTCCTCCCTGACCTCAGACCAGGCTCCAGCCCACTATCCATCATGCACCATCTATGTCCCAGGCAGGTGACAAACAAGCACCTTCCAGCAACACAGTGCAGGGTGTTGGGAAGCCCCGTCTCCCCAGACTCCATTCTCGTTCCTCCCCACACAGCACCTTCTCTGGACCCCTGGTCTGCAGGAACAAGTTCAAACGTGTCGGCCAAGAACCTCTATCGTCTGAGAACAGCCTGCTCCCAGCCCCCGAGTCCCTATCACCCAGTGCAGTCAGATCACTCCTGTCCCTCCTCTCAGCCCTCAAAGCATACCCATGCCCGAGGCCCTTCCTCCGGTTTCCCCTTTCCTCCCTTCATGAGAGCACCCAGAATGGGTCCTGCCAGGCCTTCCTCCAACCTGGGAGCTAGGCTTGGAAGTGGGGCTTCTATGCTGAAACTACAGTGGGGGAGGGGCTCCTGGCACTTGGAAATAGTGAAGGCCCAACAGGCGAGGTCAGGCCAGAACTCCTGACAGCAGAGTCAAACCCTCAGAGCAAGCACGGGGCTGTGGATGGGATGGAAGCAGGTCTCCCAGTGGAACCAGGGCCTCCTGCTCTGCTGTAACTGGCTTGTGGCCCTTGGCTGGGAGGTCGGACTTACACTTCGAGGCCTCTCTAATGCCTTCCAGGACTCCCTTCATGCTGATTTTCCAAAGGACAGATTAAGTTTTACTTTCAGGTCGCCCCGATGGCTCTGACCTCCTGTTCTCTCCATACAGAGATTTGTGTGTTTGTTTTCTGTGTGGCGAAATTAGCCGTTCACCACATGCTGCTTTATTTACCGTCCACGAATGTTATTCTTATCTCCCCAAGGAAACAGTGCAGCTTGGAATAACATTTTTTCTTCAAATGTTTGGGCATAAATCATCCTTTAAATACTTGGTGGTTCTTTGCTTTGAACAGAGTAATGCTTTCACAACAATTTATGTGCCTGGTGTAAGGGGGTTCAATCATGCACTCGGTGGGGCTTGGGTGTGCTTTGCTGAGGAACTCCTTCCATTACATTGGTGCCCCCTTCTCGACCTGAGGGCCACCTGAAGAGGACACCCTGCATGGTGAAATGAGATAAAATGAGCGTAAGAACAGATTCCACAACTAAAACCAGACAAGTCGTCCCTCAAGATGCAGGAGTTACTTCTGCCAAAATAATAGGCTTGAATATAAATAGGGCCAAGCCATTCACACCCCATCGCCTTTTGCTGGAGTGAAATTGGACCTGTTGTCAGTAAGACTTGGTAAGGGCCTTGAATATGAGGAAAGGAGCATTCGGGGGCTGGCGGGTAGGAAGGAGCAGCACCTTGTCTCATGTTTGGATAGAATCAGGCACACTTTCTCTGTCAAGGGGACCTGGAAGAAAGGAGGAGAAATAGTCAGTACCTTGATCTTGGCTGCTTCCAAGGCTTTTTTGCCATCCCAGGCCCAGCCTCTCTTGGTAAAGTAATTGACCGTGGCAAACTCTATCAGCGCCGAGAAGACGAAGGCATAGCACACGGCTATGAACCAGTCCATGGCGGTGGCGTAGGCCACTTTGGGCAGAGAGTTCCTGGCGCTGATGCTGAGGGTCGTCATGGTCAGCACCGTGGTGACCCCTGCGGGGGTCAGGCAGGGCAGAGTGAAAAACGGAAACAGGGGTCAGTGCTGGCACCCAGGACCCCAGTACAACATGCCCAAAGTGATAGACACAAAGGGGACTAGTCATTTTTATTTTTATTTTTATTTTGAGACAGAGTCTTGCTCTGTCGCCCAGGCTGGAGTGCAGTGGCACAATCTCGGCTCACTGCAAGCTCTGCCTCCCTGGTTCAAGCGATTCTTGTGCCTCAGCTGCCTGAGTAGCTGGGATTACAGGCAGGTGTCACCACACCTGGCTAATTTCTGTATTTTTAATAGAGACGAGGTTTTGCCAAGTTGGCCAGGCTGGTCTCGAATTCCTGGCCTCATGCGATCCACCCACCTCGGCCTCCCAAGGGACTGGTGATTTTAATCCCAGCCTGCGCCTTCCTCTACTGTTTTGCTAACATCTAGCACATTCACTGCACTTAGATAGATGATTGCTGATGTTCTGTGTCTTGATTGTCCCTTCCCTTTAGAATGTGAACTGAGGAGGGCAGGGATTCAGGTCTGATTTTGGCTCCCACTGCCATGAACAAAGCCAGGCAAACAGCCAGTGCTCAACAAAGACGTGTAGAGTGAGTGATACGATTCTGCAGCACTAAGGCAAGATCCAAGGCAGAATGACAGTCACATTCATGCCGCAGCCAGTAGGTGCCTCCCAGTGACTTACTATGCACCTGGAAGTAGAGGGCTCCCTGCAAACAGGTGAGACAGACTTTCACCCGACTGCAGACTTGTAAGAGCCAGAGAGTAACAGAAGCGCCATATCTAAATCTGGGTCTGGGCATGTCACTCCCTCAAAGAGGGAACAGTATCCCCTGGAGCCTGCTGTGCATGGTGCCTGTGGCCACTAGGAAAACTTTGCAGTGACCACACAGCCAGGCTGGATCCCTGGAAGGGGACAGTCCTTTGGACTGGCAGATTATGCACCAGCTACTGGGTCCACTGAGTGTCAGACTCTCGTCTAAGCTGCACTCTGGATGGGTGTCAGTATCCCTGTTTGGCAGGTGGAGGAGCCTGAAGATTTAAAAGTGTTTAGCGAGGTGCCCAAGCTCGCCAGCAAGGAGATGAGACTACCCACACTGGGAGCCAGGCCTGCTGGACTCTCGCAGTTCACATAGCTTCCACCTGCTAGCCCTGCCTTCTGCATAAGCGTGCACCTGTGTGGGCGATGGGGGTGTAACACACCTGCTATTGGTCAAACTGTGGGCCTGCAAAATTCATATGTTGAAGTCCTAACCTCCAGTACTCTAGATTACAGCCTTATTTGGAAATACAGTATTTAAAGAAATAATTAAGTTAAAATGAGGTCACTGGGATAGGCCCTCATCTGCTATGACTGATGCCTTATAAAATGGGGAACCTTGGAGACAGACATGCACACAGGGAGCATGCCGTGTGAGGGCGGGAGTGATGCTGCCATGAGCTAAAGAGCTACCAGAGGCCAGGAGACAGGCCAGGAACAGATCCTTCCCTTGCAGGCCTCAGGAGGAGCCAGCCCTGCCAACACCCTGATCCCAGCCTTCCAGCCTCCAGAAGTGTGAGATGATACATTTCTGCTGTATAAGTCCCCAGTGTGTGGGACTTGGTTACGGCAGTCCCAGGAGACCAGCACAGCACCAAGGACACGTAGTATGGCTGGGGCTTCATTCAATGCCATCCTTCACAGCTCTACAAGTACTCCATGAACGTCATTCCCTGCATGAAATCAACACTTCCAAAGGAATCAATAGAAATCTTTGATTTTTTTTTTGAGAAATCCACTTAATCACTGTGTTGCGGGGGAAGTGTTCTATGCATGATCTTAAACAAGCCTCTTGAGTCTTCTTCTTGGGCCTTTAATATCTTAACATGCATTGGGAATCTCCCTCCACCCCCCGCCAAAAAACCCAACAATAACAGGCAATACCCTCCCAGCTTTTTTTCTGCCTACCAGCTAAATTTCCCCTAAAGAGTTCATCAGGCACATTAACTTGGGGAGCACTGCCTGGCCACCAGCCAACCTCCACACCTTCCTGAAACAATCCTGATGCTCGCTCAGGCTTGGTAAGTGAAGCTGGACTCTTGACTGGAGGCAGAGTGATGATCAGACGGGAGCACCCCTGTGCCACTCACTCCTGAACTCCCTGTGCTCTTGATCAGCCTACACCCTGGGGGAGCATTAAGATAAAATGCACGCTAATATTTTCCTGCTTTGGAAAGGAAACTGCAATAGCAAATGCTGATGTGTGAATCGTACTTTACAGTTTACAAAGATGTGAGCATCCAGGATCACGACTGACTGGCAAAACTGCCTTTAGTATCTTCCTGAATCTGAGGAAGCTGAGCTTCGAGGTAATTAAGACTCAGACGCTCAACTGTGCCTGCTGGGCCGAGGTACCTCCTGAGTTAGAGCTCTCCCAATTTAGTTTATGTCTTAGGGATGTAAAATGATGCTGCTCTAGATTCTTACCAGGTATATATATTTAATTTATTACTATTGTATCTCATTGATTGTTATTTGGTGGTTAATTTTAAAGTGGCAGGCACATTTCAAAGAAAACTGCCTAACTTACAAAGTCATACTTGGTGAGAACCAAAAATTCTACAGACTGAGTATCCTTATTTTAAAAATCCAAAACCTGAAACGCTACAGAATCCAAAACTTTTTGGGCACCGACGTAATGCTCAAAGAAAATGCTCCGTGGAGCTCATTTCGGATTTTCAGATTAGGGATGCTCAACTGGTATCATGCAATTCTTCCAAAATTTAAAAAAAATCTGATATCTGAAACACTTCCGGTCCCAAGCATTTGGGATAAGGAATGCTCAACCTGCATAGCAAAATCTCACATAAAACAGATACATGCTGGCAATGTCAAACCACACAAAAAGGCTTTTCAACAAGTAAATAACTATCAAATAGACCATGTGATATTCCTTAAACCCTTCTTTGGAGAGAAATCCTAAACTCTAATCCTTAACATTAAATTCTTAATTAGTGGGTCAATTTCTTTTCCAGGTCACACAACAAAGAGGCAGCACTAGAAGTTTCGTGGAGGTTGTTGCTGTTGCTTCCGGGTGGTTAGGGTCAGTCACAAAACACCAGTGTCCAGGCCTGGCTTGGGGACACTCACCAAAAACTGTCCTGGCTGGGACTGATTCCCGGTTCAGCCAAAAGGACACCTGTGATAAGATCACGGTCATTATGCAGGGAAGGTAGGTCTGGATGACAAAGTAGCCAATCTTCCTTTTCAGGTGGAAGTGAGCTGTCATGATTGTGTATTCGCCTGCAAATAAGCAAATGACTGCACATCAGTCCCCTAGAGTCTCTGCTTGCTGCATCCAAGGAGTTCACCAGGAGCCTCCCTTCCACTCCCCTGTCGGTTTGGACAAGCATTCATTTGTATGATCTGGGTTAAGGAGAGGACACAGGAGGATGCATGAATTTGTTATCGGTCATTTTATAAGTAAGTCTTATGACCCCTGGTCTCTGAAGAGCCTTTGATGACGGATGCTCTTCCTGGGGAAAATCAGATTTGTGTGTTTTACTAATCTCCAGTCACAATCTGTGCCTCTCTCCCCCCACTCCCTCGCCTGCTTCTGCAATTAGGATTTCAGGATTTAGCCTCCCCAGATGTAACTCAGGATTTCACAGAGCCCTGCAGAGGGTGGACAGAGTCCTTCCTGTTTCCAGTCTAGAGGCTCCAGGGAGGTGAGACGACCACTCCCACCAGCAGCAGGCCCTGTGCTGGCTGTGTCGCAGGTGCAGAGTGAGATGCAGCAGCTCAGGAGGCTCTGGGTCCTGGCAGCTCAACCCTTCTGCCACCTACCAGAGAGGTGTCGCCTGTTCTTTGAAATCGGGGGCATTTCATTGGCGATGCCCCAGTGCCTTCTCTGGATTTGCCTGGCTGTGTGGGAGGCACGAGGAGACCTCCCATTCATTGCTGAGAATGATGCCGTCCTCACGGTGAACTGGTAAGGAGCTGAGGTCGGGAGCTGTGGTCAGGGAGTGTGAGGCCCGCTGGGCCAGTCTTCTTGCTACCTGGATTTGCCTCACCTTGGGGAGATGGGAAGTGTTCTTTGAGGGGTGGAGGAAGAGCAATTCAAAAAACTTTGGCTGAATTGCGAGGAGTGGATGGTATGGCCAGAGAGCTGGGATGCACTGTGAACGTGGGGAGAACAGGCTTTGGGGGCTCCATCAGCGCAGGCCCTGGTCTGTCTGTCAGAGTAGTGGTCTGCTGCTGCAGGGACTGCGTGTTGGGACATTAGAGTCTGACAGCACAGTTGCAGTGCTTACTGTTGGGATGGAAGCCCACAGCTCAGCAAGGGCCACTGTGGATGCTTCACTGAGTGCCAACTCAAAACATGGCATATGTCGGAGACGAAGGAACCATAGCAATCACATGTGGCAAAAATCTGCCCTCTAACACAAGAGGAGCCAACAATCTCAGCAGTGCCTGGACAGGCCCGCAGTGCAAAGGTGCACTTTCCCCATAGTCCGCAGCAGGTGAGGGAGCAGAGCCGAGAAATGGGCAAAGAAGAGGCAGAGGGTATGTTGGTAGCAAGGACTGGATCTCTACTGGTGATCCAAGTCTTTGTCTCCTTAGCACTTGAAGAAGTGAAATGGCATTCTGTTTTACAGTAGGACTTGAAATTACTCTCCTACTTCTAATTATTTTGGCGGTAGTTCTTTTCATTTTGTTTTATTTTTGAGTTGAGGGTAGGAAAATTTGGTAGTGTTTGTTTTAAAAGATTGTAGAATGCAAATAGGAGTAGAAATCCCAGTTATTAATATTTAAAGAACTACATGAAACAGCTCCAAACTGGAGCATCCTCCCTCAGCATCGCAATTGCTTACACCAAACTCCTGCTGCACTACTTTCCACTGGTTTGCATAAAACCGGCCGGTTCCCTCTGCCTTTCCCTTTAGCATGGTAACCAAATGGTGAAGCCATCCTCCCAGACTCTCATATCCCCCAGGGATGCCCAGCGCGCAGGCCCATGGGTCAACAGGGTGCTGACTGCGTGTGTGTGCATGCAGAACAGGCTATGCACTAAATGGCCTGTGTGCTCGGCCAGCTGCAACGGTAGGGGTGCTGACAATCAGCTATGCTGACAGAGCGTTCCCCTGAAAATATCCTCTGGGGCTTAGAGCTCTTTCTGCCATCAGGGCCCCCTCCCTCCCTTTAGGCTTTTCTCCAAGGCTGCAGAGGCTCTTTGGAGCTCAAAATCCCCTCCCTTGCTCACAGCACCCCTGGTGACCTTGACCTCTATGGCTGGGCCTTCCTGTCCTGGAGACATCTGGCCACATAACTTGCAGGCTCTGGAGATGCAATGCATCCTGTTTCTTTGGTTTCCCCACCAACTTTGTGTCAAGGGAAGCCAGGCTGGGATGGGGCTATATTGGCCCTGCAGGGCTCAGGCCAGCCCAGGGCACTTGGCATTGAGAGCATCTGCTTCCTTCTTGTACATTTCAGCTCTTCTCTGTAGGCTGCCTGGTTGTGCTTTCCCAATTTCAACTCCAGGGAAATCTCTGCACTGTTTAAAGCAGGAGGTGGGGAAGCAGGTAACTGGGGTATTTGTAGGAAGCTGTCTACCTTTCCTGCTTAGGGGGGTGTTATATAAGCAGGTCCACCGCAACCCCCGGCCACAGCTGGTGCCTCTGTGTGCAGCTGCAGGGAGGGGCAGGCTGGGAGGATTCCTTTGGCCAGCTCTCATACAGCTGTGGCCCATGGAGAGCACAGCTGGCCAGGACAGGTTGTGTGGGAGGCTGCTGTGCGGCCTCCCACGTGGCCCCTGCAGAGAGGTGCTGGGAGCAGCAAGCTCTCCAAGGGTGTGGTGTCCTGAGTGCGCCTGGCAGCACAGCGCGTGCCGAGCCCTCACCTGTGCTGGTGCTGATGTTCTCAGTGCCCACCGTCTGCCCCATCAGGTGGTACTGGTTCAGTCTGGAGCCATCTTCCGCCACCACCACCGACTTGGTGGAGCCGTTGGTCCAGACGTAAACGACTTCAGAATTAGGGTACGCATCTGTATGAGGAGGGGGCAGAAAGTGACATAAACATGAAATCATTCCCAGCCTGGAAAACACAGAAGCTTTTACTAAAGTAGCAAGAGAGAGGATGAGAACGTTTGAAAAGTCAAGGTTCCATGACCTAAAAAATGCATAGGGTGGTTGGACCAGGGCAGACGCCACTGCAGTTCGGCATCTTCCCATGTCTAAAGGCCTGGGTGCCAGGCTGCTGTCTGGCACTTCCCGGTACACTTGTGTTTCTCTGCAGAGCGCACGATGGTGCAGGAGGTGAGAACATGAGCTCTGAGACCAGAGTGCCTGGGTCCCTCCAGCTCTGTGACTTTGGCAGGTCACTTATTCTCTGTGCCTCAGTCCCTTCATCATAGAATGGGATAAAAACAGCAACCATGTCTGAGGGCTCTGGCTATGACTGCATGACCTACATCGAGATTTACAAGCACAGAGCACCTGAAGCAGCGCCCGGCCGCATTCCCTACTCCAAGCCTTCCACTCTGCAACAGGCACCTGCTGTCCACGCCATCCTGGGTGTGAAGGTGGTGTGGCAAGCAGGACCTGCACCCCTGGTGTCACACTTGTGAATATGGTACCTTACTTGGCAAAAGACACTGTTGCACATGGAATTCAGGTTCTGGACCTTAATATCAGAAGATTATATGTGATTTTCCCAGGGGGCACAATCTAATCACTTGCCTCCTTAAAAACAGAGAACTTCCCTAATCAGAGAGATTAGAAGCATGACAAAAGGGCTCCACTCACCACTGCTGGCTTGAGGATGGGGTAAGGGGGGCCATAAGCCGAGGAGAGTGGGCAACCTCTAAAAGATGTGACTAGGCTGGAATATATTAATCTGGAAGCTTGCAAAGGAGCCCAAAGCTTAGGGCAGTTCTGGGAGTCAGGGACTGTATTAGTCCGTTCTCACGCTGCTATGAAGAAATACCCAAGACTAGGTAATTTATCAAGAAAAGAGGTATAATTGACTCACAGTTCCACATGGCTGGGGAGGCCTCAGGAAACATACAATCATGGCGGAAGGCACCTCTTCACAGGGTGGCAGAAGAGAGAATGAGTGCGAGCAGGGGAAATGCCAGACGCTTATAAAACCATCAGATCTCGTGAGACTCACTCACTATCACGTGAACAGCATGGGGGAATTGCCCCCATAATCCAATTACCTCTACTAGTCCCGCCCTTGACATGTAGGGATTATTATAATCCAAGGTGAGATTTGGGTGGGGACACACAGCCAAGCCATTTCAGGGGCCATCTGAGAACACAAACATTCACCTAAACAGTGTGCAGAGCACAGGAAACAATGCTGCCCTCATCAGCCGATGAGGAGCTAACAACTCAATGCCAAATCTGCTCAAGGATGAAAGGGAAGCAGGGAGAGGAAGAGAAGGAGAGATGCAGGGGGGAGGATATAGGGGTCCTCTGGGACTTGTAGAGGTCTGAGGGTGGAGAGGCCTCCTGCAAAGGCCTGGAGGGAGGCAGACTGAGGACATGAGACGCGATGGGATTCGTGAAGTGTGGAGGCTGTGGCCCACTCATCACTTTCCTCAATCGGACTGGGGACGGCACAGTCACTGATGGCTCCTCCTGGACTCGAGGCCAAGTGGCATACTAACCCGAGACCAGGGGCACGTGCCTGAGCACTGCCAGCAAGGAGAGCTGTGGGGAGGCCGGCTGGGGCCGAGGCCAGCCTGACCTGAGGCCTCGCTGGGTGCAAGTCCTGTGAGCCGCTTTCTCCATGGTTAGGGGGCAGAGGTTGGATGATAATCCTTACCTTACAGTAAGAATCCAATGAAATAATCATTGTAAGGATGAAAGATACCTAGAATCACTGAGTGACATATAATGCATCATCATAATTCACGTGATCTTGTTTTTCAAACTACTAGTGAATATTAAATGACCTCTTGATATTGACGATGTTAATAGCATTAATAATGACAGCAGCAAGAGACAATGTGGTTGCAGTGCGTCAGCTGGACATCACCAAGTTCTGCTCTCCTCATCACATTAAGGGTGGGAATAAATGACCCCTTGTGTCCATTTCAGCTCCACTGTTCAGCAACCAACACTAAATTCCTTCTCTGTGTCAGCAGTGTGGCGTTCAATCTTTTTGCCGGGACAAGAGTAAATGAGGCAATCAGGTTGCAGTGCCATTTGTCATGATTTAGAGCTCTGGAAAACATAAAGCTCACCCTCTTCTGACCACACATCAGCAGAGCCAGGCAAGAAGGTCTGAAACATTTTCACTCGCATCGGGCTTGGAAATTCATCACCGTTTTCCTTCAGGCTTCTTCCCCTGAGTTGACCCTGCCTGTCCTCTCCTAGCCTTGCAAATCCTGAGTGGGAGGTGGCAGTGGCACAAATTCTCAAGGTATTTCAGAAACCATGGGTCTTCTGAATAACTACAAAGGAAGTAAGGCAGCATGGGCCTGACACTCACTACCAGGGTGGACTTGAGCAACCTCTTTGAGCTCTCAGCCTCAATTTCCCCATCTGTAGATCGGGGAAAAAACCCCCATCTCCTAATACACTGATGACAAAGTGGATATGTGAATGTCGAGTATTTAGCACGCACCTGACTCACAGTAGGTACTTCATCAACAGCAGCTATAATGGACATAACCGTGTGGGGAATGATTTTTGCTTGGTGTCAAATCCGAAAAGGTCTTTCTACTTTAATTTACTTTCTTATTCTTGGTCCAAAGCAAACTCAGTTTGTGAGTCTCTGGTAAGCTCCGGCGACTGTGTGACTCTGTGTTTTCACTGCTTGTGACAATGCAGATTAGAATGTAACAGGTTCTTGGAATTTTTGGGATTTGAAAAGGTACAGGGTTTGAGTTATCTAAACCCATATCTCTAGGCTTCCCATTCTTTCTTTCTTTCCTTTTTTTTCTTTCTTTCTTTTTTTTTTTTTTTTTTTAAACATTCTCTTTCTATCACCCAGGCTGGAGTGCAGTGGCACGATCTTGGCTCACTGCAATCTCTGTTTCCCGGGTTCAAGCGATTCTCCCACCTCAGCCTCCTGAGTAGCTGGGATTACAGGTACCTGCCACCATGCCTGGATAATTTTGCATTTTTTGTATAGATGGGGTTTTGCCATGTTGGCCAGGCTGGTCTTGAAGTCCTGGCCTCAAGCGATACACCCGCCTCAGCCTCCCCTCTCTTTGAAAGCCTGGGTGGGAATGAGCAGAGTAACAGCAGCACAAGACCTTGTCACAGCACCCCAATGACACCATCTGCAGTCTCCTGAGCTGAACACCAGGTCAGCACCTAACACATCAATGGTAAAACTTTGAAAAATACAAACAGATAAAGACATGTTATCTCTGATGGCCTACTGGACACCCAATATCTCTGCTTTAAATTTGACAGTAAAAATGACGTGAGTGGGGTTTGGCCACACCCTTTCCCTTGCCCAAGATCAAATGGGAAGTAAGAGGAATAAGCCAATGGGGATGAACAGATAACACGTCTGCCCAGGTACCAGTGAAGATACACTCCCATCACTGTGCCACAGTAAGACCTTGCAGAATCACATAGGGTTATGGCCATGACTGGCCTGACAGGGAGAGAGTCAGAGACCATGCTGTTACTATTTATGAACTTAATGGGCCCAGATCAGGAAAGAAGAAAAAGGACTGTCACTCTCCCAGCAGAAAAGACTGTTTGCCCTGCAGACAGCAGTGAGAAGCAAGGCAGGAGGCCAGCCGTGTTTAGGAAGAAATCTCTCATGTAACAATTGCTTACCCCTCCCTCATACTCCAATTGGCTTTTTTACCTTCAATGCACCAGCTCCTTCCAATTATTTCCAATTTCCTCATGGAAAACAGTATTTCCCAAGTCATCTGGTCTTAAAATGGAGTGGCTGTCTTTGAATTACGTCCCTCTTTTCCCCTCTACATCCACTTTTCATATCTGGCCACCACCCTGCTCTCTGCTCCCTCACTTCTAATGACTTCATGGGAATTCCCAGCTTTTGCTTTCAGCCCCACAAATAGTGATTTTTGCATGTTCTTCGTCTGCTCAACAAACATCACTCACACTGCCTGCTACTTTTTTTTTTTTTTTTAAGTTCCGGGATACATGTGCAGGATGTGCCTGTTTGTTACATAGGCAAACATGTGCCATGGTGGTTTGCTGCATCTATCAACCCATCACCTAGGTATTAAGCCCAGCATTCATTAGCTATTTTTCCTGATGCTCTCCCTCCCCGCACTACCCCACCACAGGCCTCAGTGTGTGTTATTCCCCACCCTGTGTCCATCTGTTCTCATTGTTCTAGCTCCCACTTGTAAGTGAGAACATGCAGTGTTTAATTTTCTGTTCCTGTGTTAGTTTGCTGAGGATGATGGCTTCAGCAAAGGACATGATCTTGTTCCTTTTTATGGCCGCACAGTATTCCACGGTATATATGTACCACGTTTTCCTTATCCAGTCTATCATTGATGGGCATTTGGGTTGATTCCATGTCTTTGCTGTTGTGAATGGTGCAATGAACATATGCGTGCATGTATCTTTATAATAGAATAATGATTTATATTCCTTTGTATATACCCAGTTATGGGATTGCCAGGTCAAATGGTATTTCTGGTTCTAGGTCTTTGAGGAATCACCACGCTGTCTTTCACAATGGTTGAACTAATTTACATTCTCACCAACAGTGTAAACTCATTCCTATTTCTCCACAGTCTCACCAGCATCTGTTGTTTCTTGACTTTGTAATAATCACCATTCTGACTGGTGTGAGATGGTATCTCATTGTGGTTTTGATTTGCATTTCACTAATGATCAGTGACGTTGAGCTTTTTTTCATGTTTGTTGGCTGCATAAACGTCTTCTTTTGAGAATTGTCTGTTCATGTCCTTTGCCCACTTTTTAATGGGGTTGTTTTTTTCCTTGCAAATTTGTTTAAGTTCCTTGTAGATTCTGGATATTAGACAATTGTCAGATGGATAGCTTGCAAAAATGTTCTCTCATTCTGTAGGTTGTCTGTTCACACTGATGATAGTGTCTTTTGCTGTGCAGAAGCTCTTTAGTTTAATTAGGTCCCATTTGTCAATTTTTGCATTTTTTGAAACTGCTTTTGACATTTTTGTCATAAAATCTTTGCCCATGCCTATATCGTGAATAGCATTGCCTATATTTTCTTCCAGGGTTTTTATAGTGTTGGGTTTGACATTTAAATCTTTAATCCATCTTGATTTGATTTTTGTATAAGGTGTAAGGGAGGAGTCCACTCTCAATTTTCTGCATATCCTGCCTGCTACTTTGACTCTTTCATATTTAAGACCCTTCCTGTTTGAGTGGTGATGCTATCCTGTCACTTCCCCAGATGAGGCTTCTCCTTTGTTTCAATATCTTGACAACTGATCGGTGGCCATTTGTGTTTTGTTCTGTTTTCCGTTATACCTCTTTCCATTCAAATCCTACCAGATTCAGCTCAAAGCATGGTCCTCATAATAAATATTCCCATCTATGAATTCCAAATGGTTTCAACTGCACAAAGGTATTTAACCCAATTTTCCAAAAGTGCCCATAATGAGCTCCTTGGAAACAGGCCATGGTTCATGCTTCTGTGTTCCTCACTGCACCTAGCTGAGTGCTGAATGCTTAACACACCTGCTATAGACTGAAAGTTTGTGTCTTTCACAAAATTCTTATGTTAAAATCTAATCCTAAATGGGATTGGTTGTAAGAGCCTTCGGGAGGTGATTAGGTCATGATGGGGGAGGCCTCATAAAAGAGGTCTCAGAGAGACCCCTCGCTCCTACCACCATGTGAGGGCACAATGAGAACATGGCCGTCTGTGAACCAGGAAGCAGACCCTGACCAGATATCAAATCTGCCAGCACCTTGGTCTTGAACTTCCCAGCCTGCAGAACTGTGAGAAATACATTCCTGTTATGTATGAGCTACCCAATATTTGGTATTCTGTTATAGCAGACTGAATGAACCCAGATAGAAATTGGCGGCCGGGCGCAGTGGCTTGCACTTGTAATCCCAGCACTTTGGGAGGCCGAGACAGGTGGATCACTTGAGGTCAGGAGTTCAAGGCCAGCCTGGCCAACATGGTGAAACCCCGTCTCTACCAAAAAAAATACAAAAATTAGCGGGGCATTGTGGCAGGTGCCTGTAATCCCAGCTACTCAGGAGGCTGAGGCAGGAGAATTGCTTGAACCTGGGAGGTGGAGGTTGCAGTGAGCCAAGAATGTGCTACTGCACTCCAGCCTGGGCAACAGAGTGAGACTCTGTCTCAAAAAAAAAAAAAAAAAAGAAAAGAAAGAAAGAAAGAAAAAAGAAAAGAAGAGAAAGAAAAAAAAGAAAGAAATTGGCACCAAGACTGGGGTGCTGCTATAACAAATACCTTGAAATGTGGAAGTGGCTTTGGGACCAGGTTATGGGTAGAGGCTGGAAGAGATGTGTGCTAGAAGAAGCCTACATTTTCATGAATGGACTGTTTAAAGCAACTCTGGTGAGGGCCCAGAAAGAAAAGAGGAGAGTTGTAGAGAAAGTCTCCATTTTCTTAGAGAATATATAAGCAATCCAGAGCAGAATGTTGGTTGGAATATGGACAGTAAAGGTCATTCCAATGAGGTCTCAGACAAAAAATGAGGAACATGTTATTGGAAACTGGAAGACAGGTGATCCTTGTTACCAAGTGGCAAGGAGCTTGACTGAACCATGTTCGTGTTATAGTCATAGTTTTCGTGGAAGGTGGAACTAGGAGTAATGGAGTTGAATATCGGCTAAGGAAATATGCTAAACAAAGTGTTGAAGTGACCTGTTTCTCTAATAGCTTATTGTAAAATGGGAGGAGAGGGAAATGACTTAAAGATGGAATTGTTAGTTAAGAAGGGAGCAGGCTGGGCATGGTGGCTCACACCTGTAATCCCAGCACTTTGGGAGGCTGAGGCAGGCAGGTCACCTGAGGAGTTTGTGACCAGCCTGGCCAATATGGTGAAACCCCGTCTTTACTAAAAATACAAAAATTAGCCAGGCGTAGTGGCGGGCACCTGTAATCCCAGCTACTCGGGAGGCTGAAGCAGGAGAATCGCTTGAACCCGGGAGGTGGAGGTTGCAGTGATCGTGCCATTGCACTCCATCCTGAGTGACAAGAGTGAAACTCCATCTCAAAAAACAAAAAACAAAAAAAAAAAAAAAAGAAGAAGAAGAAGAAGAAGAAGAAAGAAGCAGAATTTAAAGATTTGGGAAATGTTCAACCTATCTATTTTGAAAGGAATGAGAAAGCCTGTTTGGGAGAGAATACCGGGATGGGTGTGGCCAAAGGACCATTTAAGAAAGACATTCATTAGTCAGCCACCCCAACAGAAGCCAAGAGCTGCTGTGCAAGACAATGGGAGAATGCAAAGGAGGGATGCTGGTACCTGCAGGACGGAGAGGCGCCCTGCCCTGCCCTGATGTGCACTGCCTTACCTCTTGGGCTCTGCTCCCTGCTCTCCAGCACCACACTCCTCAGCCACCCCAGCAGGGGTTCTGGGGGGCCCTGGTGTGGTGAGGGCTGCGCTCAACAGAGCAGAGGGGGCACAATGGCCTCCACCTAGATTTCAAAGCACTGGGCTTCCAAGCACAGCCATTAGGACCCCAGTCCCAGAGAGCTGTGGGGCACAGGCATAAGCTGCTACAGGGGCAGGGGATCCCCAAAGTCATGCGGCCCAATCCCTGCCTGGCAAAACTGCTGGGACACAGCTGCTGCCCCAGTGTGACTGGAAGATATGGAACTCTTTCCCCATGGGTCTGCAGGGCAAAGCGTGGGCCAAGGAGGGCTAATCTGAAGCTTTAAGGTCTGATGGAACTTGCCCCGCTCGGTTCTGGACTTTCTCTGCACCTCTCACTCCCTTCTTCCTTCTCACTTCTTCCTTTTGGAATGGGAATGTCTATCCTGTGCCTGCCCCCATTGTATTTTGGAAGCACACAACTTGTCTGGTCACAGTTTCACAGCTTGAAAAGAATTCTGCCCAAAGATAAATCATACCTTGGGTCTCACCCATATCTGATTTAGAGGATATTCAGCTAAGACTTTGGGCTTTAGACTTTTGGACTGAAACCATGTGAGAAGAGCATGAATGCTGGGTGTCCAGGGGAAGAATGTGATAGACTAAATAACTGTGTCCCCCCCAAAATTCATATGTTGAAATCCTCAGCCCCAAGATGATGGCATTAGCAGGTGGGGCGTTGGGAGGTGATTATGTTATGAGGATGGAGCCCTCATGAATGGGATTAATGCCCTTATAAAAGGTGCCCCTGGGAATTCACTCACCCCTTCCATCGTGTGAGGGCACAGTGAGATGATGCTGTCTTAACCAGAAAGCAGGCCCTCACCAGACACTGAAACTGTTGGTAACTTGATCCAAAACTTTCCAGCCTCCAGAACTGTGAGAAATAAGTTTCTGGTGTTTTTAAGTCCCTCAGTTTGTGGTATTCTGTTATAACAGCCAAACCAGACTAAAGCAACACTCAGAGTATCTCTTAGATGGTAATTGTTTTAGTCTGCTTGGGTGCCTTCTCATTGTCCTCACATGGCAGAAGGGACGGGAGAGCTCTCTGGGACCTCTTTTATAGGAGCACTAATCCCACGCAGGAGGACCCCCCACCCTCACGTCCTAATCACCTCGTAAGGGCCCCACTTCTTAATACACTGGGGATTGGGTTTCAACACATGATTTGGGGAGGAAACAAACATTCAGATTCCAGTGACAACCAAGGGTAACTAACGCATCAACGTGATTGTTGAAACAATCTAAATTCAGACACCGCACAGTTAAAACTTCAGTATGTTTCTACAACTGTCGAGACTGTAACATGTTCACACGAGGCACTCAGAAACCTGTGTTCTAGATCATCCACGCTCATCCTGAGTCACTAGAAGCTGGGGATGATGAATGCAACAGCAGGCATAATTCATGTGTCTGAATGGAATAGTAGCTCACTCCGGTGAAATTCACCCCTCATTTCCTGAAATTCTCTCTACTGGATGACTACCAAAGAAGCTTCCAGTTCTAATTTAGTACATATTTTCGTGAATCCAGATGTCATCTCATGGCTTAATATTTAATGAATCACTCCACAAATAAAATGAATGACATAATCTAAATATATTTTTTTCCTAAATAGTCTTGTTGTGTTTAAGTATTTGCTTCCGAATGGACACCATGCCATTATTTTTAAGGAATTTCCTTATGGACCGAGAAACATCCTTTTGTAAGCTGAGACTAATTTCAAGATTTGATGGAATTCTTAAGAGTAGAGATACCAATAACAGAAATGTCTGTTAATTCAGTTCTGCATTAGAGAAACTAGAGCATGTGGCTCATTAGAATAATGACACATATTGCATTCCTTTGTCTCCTAATAGCAGAGAACTGTTGAATTGAGTAATTTGAAACTCATTATACTATCACATTTAGCCTCTGCATGCTCAGATGCCAATGGTATAAGTGAACAAGTTGGCCAAGCATCTATTTTTAGTAAATCTAAAAGATGAAAGACAAGTAAGAAAAAAACTTTGTTGAATAGCAATTCTTCTCTTAGAATTATCATGTGCTGAGCTGAAATCATATAACTGAGGAAAGGTGAAGTGTGTACAGTTTTCTAGCTCTTGGTCAACAGTTTACACACAATACATGACATATGAATAAAATCATTCTTATTGTTTTTCATAGTAATAATATTAACAGTAAATATAAATGAATGATCAACCTCTGAAGCAAATCATATCAATCTCAATAGCAGGCAGATATGCCGGGCGCAGTGGTGCACACATGTAATCCCAGCACTTTGAGAGGCCGAGGTGGGTGGATCACGAGGTCAGGAGTTCAAGACCAGGCTGCCCAACATAGTGAAACCCCAACTCTACTAAAAATACAAAAAAAAAAAAAAATTAGCTGGACATGGTGGCGGGCACCTGTAATCCCAGCTAGTTGGGAGGCTGAGGCAGGAGAATCCCTTGAACCCGGGAGGGGGAGGTTGCAGCGAGCAGAGATTGTGCCATTTCACTCCAGCCAGGGTGAGAGTGTGAGACTCTGTCTCAAAAAAGAAAAAAAAAATAGCAGGCAGATAAAAATAAATTTGACATAAGAGTTCAAAATTCCTACTGAGTTCAAGGAGCACTTCTATTGGTTTTACTTCTTATATATAATATGAATCTTATTTTATTTGACTGAATATAGAAAGTGAAGAGCTTTCACTGAATGAGTATTTTAGCTTTGAGTGTGATAAATGATTTAACTGCAGTTGGTTCATTGTTAAAGATGAAAATTTAGGAAATAATCAGGACATCACGTAGTTTTCTTTACCAAAACTTACTTTTGTGCTACCTGCCCTGCTCACCAGTAGCATTACATCTGGGTATCACGTTGACTTGAACTTAACCAATGATCAAAAAAACAATCATCTTTGACTTAGAGTGTTTTATTTTTGATCACATCAAAAGCACAATTTTCATATACAGAGTGGCATAATTTCAAGTTGTACAACTCCACTTCCTCTGAGGATATAAACAAGTAATTTTCTTTCAAAGACATCAATCAGTGATTCCCAAATGAAATGCCTCAGGGATCTTCAGAGGGTCCTTTGTTCTAAGTAATGATGTCCCCAACCACCCCATGGAAGCAAATGATTTAAATAAATCCCAGAGATAGTCCCTTTCCATTATACTGGCCTCCTCAAATAAATGTATATCTTAATCTCTGTATATATCTAAAGATCATAGTTTGAAAAAGTTGAATTATTTCCATCTAACCTAACTTTTGGCTCATCACTTATAATTCCTCTTCTAATTCCAAAAATCTCTTTGGAATGATGGAAGTAATATAAAATGAAATTCTTGAAATCAAAACATTTTCTGCATCCAGGAATGGCAGAATGCCTGCTATGAGGTAACATCCATTATCTCTGGATGTCAGATGAAAAACTACTCCCTGAAAGCCCCGGAGAGACTCAAAGACAAGCAGAAATGGACAGGAGTTGCCATTTAGAGGAAAGAATGGCTTTTCACTTAAGAAGCTGTGGGTCAGCGCTGCAAGGCAGCTGATGCTCAGATAGGACCCCTCCATCTCCCTTGCTTGAAGAACCTAAAGAAGAGCCTGGAACTATTAAAGCAGCAGCTGGAGAGTGAGGTGCAAAATCCTAGAAGGAAAAGAACCACAAGAGAGGCCCACAGTGATGTATACAGATGTACATCATCTCTCCCCAGATCTCTAACTCGCCCCTCAATTATGCATATGCATGCGGGGAGCATAAGCCTATACCAGCCCAACTCCAGCGCGAGAACCACCTGTGTTTCAGGGCTTGCCTGCCACAAGGAAGACAGAACTGGGAGTTCACACTCAGCCAAGTTAACTGGCTTAAAAACAAATAAATAAAAATGAACACTTTAAATTTAACAGAATCCAGAGCCTGTACAATATAACCATAAAATATCCAGGAGACAATTCAAAATTATTATACGTAAAAGAAACAAAAAAAAAGGACCTGTGCTCAAGAGAAAACGCAATCAGTGCAGACTAATCCCAATAGGATTCAGATGATGGATTTAGCATCTAAGAATTTCAAAGTAGCTATTATAAATATGCTTAAGAATACAAAAGAGAATATGTAATGCTTTATAATAAAAAATTGCTGTAATAAAAAACTAACAGTAAATCCTAGTAGAGAAATTGAAACTTTAAAAGAATCCAATACAAATGCTAAACTTGATACATATTGTATACTGAATAATGAATTTATTGTTTAGGCTTAAGAACAGATTGGAAATGACTGAAGAAATAATCAGTGAACTTAAGGCACTAAATATAAATTATCCAATATAAAAAATATAGAGGCAAGACAATGGTTAAAAACATGAGCACACCCCTAGTGATCCATGGGATTATACCAAAAGGTGTAGTACATGTAATTAGAACCTCAGATAAAAAAGAGGAAGAAGATGAGACAGAAAAAAAAAATTAGAAGAAATAATGGTCAAAATGCCTCAAATTTGGTGAAAGACAAATTTAGATTCAAGAGGCTCAGAAAACCACAAGAAGTATAAATTAAAATGAAAACAAATCTAGGGGGATTGCCACTTTCAGAAAGATGAAAATGCATTTTCCTCTATTCCTCCCACTAAAAATAAATATCATATATTTATATTTATAAATAAAAGTGCATATTATACATAAAATAAATGTAGGAAAAATCTGAATGGTAGAAAGAAGCAGGCAGATAGGTCTTGGAACCGAAGGGATGGCCTAGTGGTGACTGTCTGGTTTTCTTCCTGTCTTACACATCCCAGGTTTGGAGCTAAAGAAGCTGGCAACTTGGAAACACCAACGGGCACAAACAGACAAAAACTGATGCCTGTGCGATCTAGCCACAGGACCAGAAAGGGTGCAACCTAGTAGGACAAGAAACCTTTTAGACACTGGCCACTGTACTCCAACCAAGCATCCCCCCAAAAAACGTGGCCCTGCCCTATTCCAGGCTAGCAAATGCTGAACAGACAGCTAAGACTTCTGCCCTCACCAGGTGCCCAACCCACTGATGGAGTGACACCAGAGAAGGCCACAGACTAAGGGGGCCAGGACGTTGATTCCTGCCAAGCTGCAATGAGGCCCGTCCCCTAATGGTAGTAAAAGCCATGTAGGAAGCCTGGAGTTTCATCTAAACCAGCAGGGGCAACTCCCTCTTGCTCTTTATGGGAGTCATGTCAGAGGATTAGTAGATGTTCCAAACTTTCTCCACCACTTGGCAGTAATGAGGCCATGCATATGGTGTCAGTGAAAGCTATGTGGAAAGTGACAAATCACCTCAGCTCCTCCCATCTAGGGAACTATCAGTAGAGGCCTAGCATGGATCTGGAAGTCCTGTACACACTAGCATTAACAAGGAATCCCAGGAACTCTTGTATCAATAGAGGCTAAGCTGGAACCTGATTTCTACCCTGACCCAGTGGTAACGAGGCTGTACCACACCTTCCCCTGACAAAGCAGTGAGAAAAAAAAAAAAAAAAAGCCTTGTATTATAATATACAGAATATCCAGGTTATGATAGAAAATTATTCGTCAAACCAAGAATGAGGGAGATGAAACTCAATAAAAATAAATCAAGCAGAGATGACAGAGATCAGAATTACTGGACAAAGATGTTTTTAAAGCAGCCATTGTAAAATGATGCAACGACCAAGTACAAACATGCTGGTAACAAACTTTTAAAAAACTGAAAGTCTCAACACAGAACAGAAGCTATAGAAAAAAAAATAGAAGTTTTAGAATTAAAAAGTAAAATATCCATGATAAAAAGTTCCTTAGAGGAACAAAATAAGATGGAGGGGAAAAAGGAAAGAATCAGTGAATTGAAGACAGAACAACAGAAATTGTCCAATCTGTAAAACAGAAAGAAAGTAGATGAAAATGACAGTGTAACAAAAGAGCTGAGATCCATGTCTTGGAGGTCAGGGAAGAACAGAGACAGGCTGGACCAGAAAGAGTGTTCAAAGAATTAATTCATAAAACTTCCCAAACTTGACCAAAACCTACAGAAACAAGCAAGCACACCAGAAAGGCTATTGGTGTAGACCAATAAACCTATAAATATCATATGCCTACACCAATAAACATCATAGTCAAACTTCTGAACACTAAAAACAAAGAAAAAAAAAGTCTTTAAGGTAACAAGACAGAAATGAGACCTTACCTATAAAGAAAAAAAATTTGAAAGACAGATTTCTCATCAGAAACCTGGAGGCAAGAAGGAAGTGGCACATTTTTCAAGCGCCAAAAGAACTGTCAAAGCTTAATCCCATATCCAGTGAAATATCTTCAGTAATCAAAGGCAGAAGTCAAGACATTCTTAGATGAATAAAAACTAAGAGAACTTATTGCCAGCACACCTACCCTGAAATAATGGCTAGAGAAAGTTTGCTTAACAGAAAGATAACCATAAAAGAATGAATCTTGGAACACTGAGAAGGAAAAAAGAACACAGTAAGTAAAAATATGGATAAATATAATAAAATTTCCTTTGTCTATTGAGTTTTCAAAATTAAGTTTGATGGTTCAAGCAAAAATTGCAACTCTCTCTGATGTGGTTCAAGATGTATGTAGAGGAAATATTTAAGACAACTGTGTTAAGATTAGGGAAAGGTAAAGGGACATAAAGGGAGGTAAGGTTTTCATATTTCACTTGAACTGGCAAAATGAGTATACAGCAGACCGTGATAAATTTTGTATATATAAAGTAATACTGGCCAAGCACAGTGGCTCATGCCTATAATCCCAGAACTTTGGGAAGCTGAGTCTAGAGGATTGCATTAGGCAAAGAGTTTGAGGCTGCAGTGTGCTATGATCACCCCATTGCACTCCAGCCTGGGCAACAAAGCAAGACCTTGTCTCTTTAATTAATTAGTTAATTAAGTAAGTAACACCTAGAAGAACCACTGAAAAAGCTATACAGCAATGTACACATGATAACATTATAAATAAATCAAAATGGAATAGTAAAAAATGTCCACAGTAAGACAGACAAAAGAAAACAAAGAAATAAAAACACAGAAAAAGCAGAAAGCCAAAGAAATGGCAGACTTAAGCCTTAACATTTCATTCATTACATTAAATATAAAGAGTGTAAATATATCAATTAAAAGATAAATATTGGGAAAGTAAATTTAAAAATCTGAGCTATGCTATTTATAAGAAACTCACTTTTTATCTAATGATATATAGAGGCTGAAAGTAAAAACATGAAAAAATATTTATCATTCAAATATTAATCAAAAGAAAGCAAGACTGGCCACATTGATATCAAGTTATGTGGACTTCAAAGCAGAGAAAAATTTCCAGAGACAGAGAGAAATATTAAATAGTGAAGACAAACAATTATATATGTGTATGCACCAAATAATACAGCTAAAAAATATGTGTAACAAAAATTGATTTACTTGAAAGTGGAAATAGACAAATAGACAATTATAGCTGAAGATTTCAGTGCCCCTTTATTAACAACTGATCCACAACAATGAGACAGAAAATCATCAAGGATAGAGGTGAAGTCAGCACCATCATAATCAAGATAATATAATCAAAATTTGTAGACAATCCACCCAGCAACCACAAAATGCACATACTTTTCAGATGTTCACAGAATAAATATCAAGTAGGCCATATTGTGCATAAAACAATGCTCACAAATTTAAAAGAATTGTAATTATACAGAGGGCATTCTCTGGATATGGTGGAATTAAACTAGAAGTCAATGACAAAAAGATAACAGAAAAATCTACAAACAGTTGGAAACTAAATAACATATATCTAAATAATACGTGGGTCAAAGGGAAAGTCTTAAGGGAAATTTAGAAATACATTTAATGGAATGAAAGGAAAATACAATGACTAAAAATTTGAGCAAAACAGCTAAGGCAGTGCTATAGAAACATTTATAGCATTAAATGAGCACACTAGAAGGGAAAAAAGTCTCAAATCAATAACCTAAGTTCCCACCTTGAGAATCTACAAAAAAGAAATGCAAACTAAATGCAAAGTAAGCAAAAGAAAGAAAATAAAAAGATGAAAGCAGAAATCAGTGAAATAAAAAATAGAAAAGCAATAGAGAAATCAATGAAACAAAGAGCTACAAATAATAAGATCAATAAAATTGAAAAACCTCTATCAATCTTGCTGAAAGAGTAACACAAATTACCAACGTCAGAAATAAGAGATATCACTACAGACACTGCAGACATCAAGACAGTAATATAACAACTATGAACAACTCTACACAAATTTAATATAACTTAGATAAAATAAACCAATTTCTCAAAAAGCGCAATTTACCCAAACTCACCTAATAAGAAGTACATAATTCAAATAGTCTTAAATACTAAGAAAATTTAAATCATAAATATCTCCCTAAACAGTTACCTTCAAGCCCTGGTGGTTTCAGTGAAGAATTGTAACAAACATCTTAAATAATCAACACCTATTCTATACAGTATTTTCTAGAAAATAAAAAAGGTGGGAATACTTCCCACTTTATGAAGCCAGGATTACCCTGGCACCAAAACAAAAGATATTATAAAAAATGAATATATATGCAAAAACTCATTTACAAAATATTATCAAATTGAATTCAACAATATATAAAAATAATTATATGTGATAACCAAACAGAGTTTATTCCAGGGCTGCAAGGCAGGAATGTAACCCACCATTTTAACTGGCTAAAGAAAACTCACATGATTATATCAACTAATGCAGAAAACGCAGAAAGACAGCTTCTCTGAGGGCTGTCGGAGGAACCGATTTCAGTCTTGCTTGTCTCTGAGTGCTAGTGGGATCCAGCAGACCCTAGATGCCTAGGAGCTGCTTAGAATAAAGAAAGTGAGTTTGACTAGCACCAAGGTTGGAGAGGTCCCCAGAATCTCTGGCAAAGGTGGACTGGTGAAGGTCTTTCCCTGTACAATGCCAGTTTATGAAGATTGGGAGAGGTGAATGTTTTATTTAATGTGCACACCAAATACAGAATATAAAGAAATGAGGAACAGGGATATATGTTCCATAAAATGAAAGAAGACAAATCTTCAGAAACTGAGCCTAATGAAATGGAGTTATATAATTTATCTGACAGAGAATTCAAAATAACCATCATAGAGATACTTACTGAAAACAATATATGAACAAAGTGAATTTTCAATAAAAAGACAGAAAATATTTTTAAATTACCAGAAAGAAATCACGGAGTTAAAGAATACAATAACAGAACTGAAAAATTCCTCAGAGGGATTCAACAGCAGACTAGATCAAGTAGAAGGAAAGATCAATGAATTCAAAAATAGATCACTGGAAATTATTCAGTCAGAGGAGCAAGAAGAAGAATGAAGAAGAGAAAAGAAAGCTTAAGAGACTTATGGGACACCATCAAGTGACTAATATGTATACTGAGTTTCAAAAGGAGAAGAGAGAGAGAAAGAACAACAACAACAACAACAACAACAAAAGCTTATTTAAAGAAATAATGGCTGAAAATTTCCAAACCTGGGAAAGGAAATGGAGAAACAGATCTAGGAAGTACAGAGGATTCCAAATAAGGCAAACCCAGAATCCACACCAAGACACATTAAATAAATTGTCAAAAGTCAAAGAAAGAATTTTCAAAGCTGCCAGAGAGAAGCCAGTTGTTATAAATAGTCATGTCATAAGATTATGAATGGATTTTTTTTTATCAGAAATCTTGCAGGACAGCAGGGAATGATAAAACACATTCAAAGTGCTGAAAAAAAAGTATACCTGGCAGAACTCTCCTTCAAAAATGAAGGCAAGACAAAAACTTTTCCAGAAAAACAAAAGCAGAAAGTATACAAAACCACTAGACCTGACTTGCAAGAAATACTAAAGAGAGTTTTTCAAGTTGAAAGAATGCTAAATAGCAACACAATAGCATAAGAAAGTATAAAACTTGTTGGGAAAGGTATTTACACAGGTATTTGTCTGTATTTACACAGACAAATAAAGAATACTGTATTATTGTAACAGTGATGAATAAGTCACTTTTAATTCTCGTATAAAAGTCAAAAGGCAAAAGTATTAGAAATAATTACAACTAAAAATGTTAATGATGCACAATATAAATGGATGTAAATAAGTGTGTGGGAAATAGTAGTAAAGTGTAGTCTTTATATGTAATTGATGTTAAGATATTATCATAAGATAGTGTTATACGTTTAAGATATTTTATATAAGCTACACCGTAACCACGAAGATAATAACTATAGAAGTTACAGAAAAGAAGAGAAAGGAATCAAAGCATATCAATACAAAAAAAATAATGAAGCACAAAGACAGCAGGAGAGTTAAAGAGGAGCAATAGATAAAAGACAAATAGAAACAATTACCAAAATGCCAATAGTGAATCCTTCCCAATCAGTATTTACTTTAAATGTAAATGAATTAAACTCCTCAATCAAAAGACACAAGAGAGTTTGAATGGATAAGAAAACAAGATCCGACTCTTTTTTTGTGTGTGTTTTGTTTCTTGAGACAGGGTGTTACACTATTGCCTAGGCTGGAGTGCAGTGGGGTAAATATGGCTCACCTCAGCCTCTGCCTCCTAGGTTCAGGTGATCCTTCTGCCTCATCCTCCCAAATAGCTGTGACTACAGGCATGCACCACCATGTCTAGCTAATTTAAAACTTTGTTTTTTGTAGAGATGGTGTTTTCCCACATTGCCCAGGCTGGTCTTGAACTCCTGGGCTCAAGCAATCCACTCATCTCAGCCTCCCAAAGTACTGGGATTACACAACTCTATTTTATCTACAAGAAACTCACAGTAGATTTAAGGACACACATAGACTGAAAATGAAGGGATGGAAAAGGGTATCTCATGATAAAGGGCCATGAAAAGAGAGCAGGGATGGCTATATTTACATAAGACAAAATAAATTTAAGTTAAAAACTGTCACAAGAGATAAAGAAGAACAATATGTAATGATAAAAAGATTGATTCACCAGAGAGATATAACAATTATAAGTAAATATGCACCCAACGTAAGAACAACTGAAAATATAATGCAAACATTGACAGAACTGAAGGGAGAAACAGCAGTGCAATAATAGTAGTAGATTTCAATACCTCTCTCTCAGTTATGGATAAAACAACCAGACAGAACATCAACAAAGAGGTACAGTGGGCTGGAACAACACCAGACATACATAAAACATTTCACCTGCAGCAGAATACACATTTTTCTAAAGCACATACAGAACATTCACATTTTATGTCACAAAACAAATGTAATCAATTTAAGAAGACAGAAATTTCCTACCACATGGAATGAAACCAGAAATCCACAGTAGAAGAAAAACTAGAAAATTCATACATATGTGGAAATTACACAACACACATTTGTACAACCAATGGGCCAAAGAAGAAATCAAAGGGGAACTTAGAAGATACCTTGAAACAGATAAAAATGAAAATGCAGCATATCAAAACTTATTGGCATCTAAGAAAAGCAGCACCAAGAGGAAAATTTATAAACAACCTAACTCCTTCGGGAATTAGAAAAAGAAGCACAAACTAGTCTAAATGTAGTAGAGGGAGGAAAATAATAAATATTAGAGCAGAAATAAACAAAGTAGGGAATCTAAAAACAATAAACAGAATCAGAGAATCAGCAAAGAGTTTGTCCCTTGAAAAAAAATAAAACTGACAAACTTTTATGTAGATTCAGAAAAAAAGAAAAGTCAAATAAATTAGAAATAAAAGGAGACATTGCAACTGATGCCACAGAAATAAAAAGACTTGTAAAAGACAACAATGAACAATTATATGCCAATAAAATGAATAATCTAGAAGAAATTGGTAAATTCCTAGATACACACAACCTACTAAGACTGAATCACAAAGAAATAGGAAGTCTAAATAGATCAATAACTAGTAAGGAAGTTGAATCTATAATCAAAAACCTCCCAACAAAGAAAAGCCCAGGACCAGATAGTTCACTAGTGAATTCTACCAAACATTTAAGGAAGAATTAATGCCAATCCTTCTCAAACTCTTCAAAAAAAACTAAAGAGGAACAAAGACTCAAACTTATGAGTCCTGCATTACTCTCATATGAAAAGTGGTCAAAAATATTCCAAGAAAAGAAAACAAGAGGCCAATGTCCTTGATGAATATAGATGCCAAACTCCTCAATAAAGTATCAACAAACTGAATTCAGCAACACATTAAGAGATTCGTATCCAAGCAGAATTTATCTCTGGGATGCAAAGAAGGTCCAACACATGAAAATCAATTGATGTAATACATCACATTAAGAGAATGAAAAACAAAAACCATTTGATCATCTCAGTAGATGCAGAAAAAGTGTTTGACAAAATTCCACACCCTTTCATGATAAAAATTCTCGATACACAAGGAATAGAAGAAAATTACCTCAATATGATAAATGCCACATATGAAAATCCCACAGTGAATTGCATAGTCAATGGTGAAAAACTGACAACTTTTTCTCTAGCATCAGGGACAAAGCAAAGATACCCACCCACCATTACCACCTCTATTCAGTACAATACTTTAGGACCTAGCCAGAACGATTCAACAAGAAAAGGAAATAAAAGGCATCCAAATCATAAAGGAAGAAGTGAAACTCTCCCTATCTATAGATGACATCATCTTACATACAGAAAACCCAAAAAACTCCACCAAAAGACTTTTAGAACTAATCAATAAATTCATTAAAGTTTCACAATACAAAATCAACATCAAAAATCAGTTCCATTTCTATATATTAACAATGAACTATCTGAAAAAGAAATTAGAAAAACAATCCCACTTATTATAGCATCAAAAAGAACAAAATACTTATTAATAAACTTAACCAAGGAGATGAAAAATCTATACACTGAAAACTACAAAATAGTGATGAAATAAATTAAAGAAAACACAAACAAATGGAAAGATGCCACTCGTTCATGGATGAAAAACTTAATATTATTAAAATGTCCACACTACCCAAGTGATCTTTAGATTCAATACAATGCCCATCAAAATTCCAGCAGCAGTTTTTATAGAAATAGAAAAAACAATGTTTAAAATCATATGAAATAACAAAAAAACCCAAATATCCAAAACAATCTTGGGAAAAAAGAGAGCTGGAGGCATTACATGTCCTGACTCCAAAATATGTTACAAAGCCACAGCAATTAAAACAGTATGGCACAGGCATAAAGGCTGACATAGAGAACAATGGAACAAAATAGAAGGTCCAGAAATCAATCTATGCATATACAGTCAACTGATCTTTGACAAGAGTGCCAAGAATACAAAAATGAGGAAAAGATAATCTCTTCAACAAGTGGTGTTTCTTTTTAAAGAGGAAAGGAAAATAACTGAAACAATAAGTGTAAAAAAATTAATACTTGGAGAAATAAATATTTCAGGAATATTTTTAAACATTCTAATTGTCACAGTAAGGAAAATGGATTACATTTTCCAGTAAGACACAGAACTTTTCAACTTGGATATATAATGAAACAGGAAACAGACAAAAAAGGAGTAGAAAGATATCCCAGGCAAGAATTAAAGAAGAAACTGGTGTGGCAATATTAATATTTGACAAAACTTAGTTCTATAGGCATTACATGGTGAAAGAGAGATGATTTATAGTGATGAGACATGCATCCTGTCAAGAAGCTATAAATATAATGAACTTTTATGGTAATGATGATGATGGGCATTTATTGAACACTTTAACTGGTGTTACTCTGCCAGTTTCAAACATATTATAACAGCCCTCATCTATTTTACAAATGAGGAAAGAGGCTCAGAGAGTCTAATTAACTTGCCCACAGTTACTCAGCAGAGGAGTGGGATAGCCAGGATTCAAACCCACACAGTTTTCATGCTTCATCTCAAGGAGAACATTCTGCTTTCAAAGTGAAAACTTCATATAGCATGTGCACAAGTGAAGAGTAGAAAGAAAGATGGAAACTAGATCAGTTTCAAGTCTGCTCCCAATAGCTCACATGTGGGGATGATGCTGAAACAAGTGTAACAAAATTTAATACTTGGAGAAATAAATATTTCAAGAATATTTTTAAACATTCTAATTGTCACAGTAAAGAAAATGGATTACATTTTCCTGTAAGACACAGAACTTTTCAACTGTCTCAACTGTCAATTCCTCTGTCTGGAATGGCTGGAATCCAGGAATTCCTATTAGAATTGTATAAGTGTATACCTATAGTATTGTGATATGAATAATTTGTTTATTTGTTCAAGCAGCACATATTTCCTAAAATGCTGAGTGTTGTGGGTGAGCACTGACTATGAACATGACAGATGAGGCTGTTGCTCTTATGGAACATTCTAGAAGAAGTGAGTCAACACAGCAATGATTACAGCACAATAAAAAATATCACTGGCTGAGTACTGGGCACTGGTCACCTTTGACCAGGTGACCTGTAATCTGAGATGCAAAAACAAAAAAGAACTGCCCGGTTGAGATCTGAGGAGAAACACCCCCAGAGGGGCACATTCCAGATTGTTCAGTGATGTCACTGGCATTGTCATAGTTTATCCTAATCTGTGATGTATGGCAGGTGTTAATGACCCCATTTTGCAGACAAGAAAGCTAGTCTGGGGAGAACAATACACTCTCCACGCTTCTTAAACAGACTGCATCCTATTGTGCTTATGTATATGCAGAACCTAAATTCTTCTGAATAAATGTGGAATTGATCCCCAAAGTATATGTCCAAGGCTCTTACTTGTGAAAATAACTTACAGCTGCCAAATTTCAGAGGGCAAGCGTGCGCATCCATCGGGAAGTCCTCAAGCTGCATGGGGCACTCTGCAGAGATGGTCAAGCTGAAAAATAAAAGATGAAGACCTTTGAACGACTCTCTCACTCTAGCCATTCACTGAGCCACCATCGTGTCCCAGAAAGCCATATTAAGTACTTTTAAAAATTAATGTCTCTTATGAGATTATCTGAACTATCCCCACCAAATTACGTAAGTTTGTGTTGTAGGTGAATATCATTCAGAAATAAGGCTTAAATCAAATCTACTCAGCACTTCGGTGGCTTAGGGTGTGTACCTATACATATATTACTGCTTGTAAAGCAATTTAAGATGCCTTTAAAAGTTATTTATTCTTTGTTTCCTATCCCTTATTGAGCATTATCATAAAGCTTTCCTTGACGGGACTGAAAACATGCATTTTCTAAAATTGCTTATAAGCTCAAAAAATATAAATGTAGAATAAATGCACATATATTCGTAGAATATGGGAAAATACAGAAAAAGTTGAAGTAATACAATTACAAATATCTACTATTTCACTTATAACTTCACGTGGTACATTTAGTGCAGAGTTTTCCTACACGCCCAAATTTTGACCGGAACCTGGCTATAACCATTGTGTAATGGGCCAATATGAAACTGTATAGTAAGTGAACCTGTAATATCATAACAATCTTCTGGTACACCCTAATTATTATTTTTTAATCCAGGCCTAGTCTTCCAAATTATAATATCACCGAGCACTACCACTGTCACTGGTAACTACAATAATGATGGTAACAAGAGCTGGCATGTCTGTGCCAGGCAGCCTGTGAGGGATTCTACCTGCATTGACTCATCTCACCCTAACAGCACGGGGAGATCTGGTGCTATAACCATCTCAGTTTACAAAGAAGAAAAGTGAGGTGCGGATATTAAGGAATTCGGGGCCTAGAATGCAGAGCTGCTCAGTGGTGGAGCCATGACAATAACAATCACCCAGGCTGCCTGGCCCTGGCTGCAGAGGTCCCTGAAAGGCACCACCACAGGCGGCATAGGCAGGGCTCTGTTGTGTAGGAAGCCAGTGCACTCCCAGAGCCGCCACACTGTGGTGCTTTCATTTCTCTACCACCTTTGCCAATTACGGATGATTCTAAATTTTATTAATGAGCCCATCTTCTGTTTGTTAGTTTTTCTTTCCATTATTTAAAATAAATGAAATTACATACAATGAAAGATGAAGATACAAAACGTTCAACTTCAAGTGCATGTTATAATTCTATTTTTAGAGCAAATAATAATTCAAGGTTACAGTAGTGCTATTGTTCATTCCTTGTTATATAAGACTGAATGTCGCTGATTAGCCTAGGGTGAGAATCAAAACATAAACATCCATTTTTGCTTTTACTACTTCCTTCTGTGAAAATAGATTAACCTTTTGCTGTTAAATTGGTCACATAATTCACATGGTAATTGCAGACTGAGGAGTCAATGTATGTATTTTCTGAATGAAACTAAAATACATGTCAGTGGAAGGGAGGTCTGTGTCCATCAAAGATACGAAATCTTCTGTTGCCACAACTTTTGACGGAAGGTTTCCCCAAAGATGGAGTGACTCACAGAGGCTTGTGTGTGTAGATGACCTAGAAC